>NW_019805490.1:0-302885 GCF_000001405.40 Homo sapiens | reverse complement strand
TGGCATCCTAAGCATGAGTGTCATTGCCCACGAGGGCCCTGAGCTGCGGGCATCCACATCCCCAGGCCACATCGCTGCATGTGAGGCCAGACGTATCATCCCAAGGCCACCACACCAGGTGGCTGCAAGGCCGGTGGGACAAACCTGGCTCCTGCCTCCTCCTAAGCCCACCAGTCCTCTCTGCCCTGGAGCAGCGCTCATAGTACAGATGGGAAGACTGAGGCAGGAATGGGCAGCGATTGGGTCCCAGCCACCCACAGTGGGTACAGAGGTCTGGCTGGCCTAGGACCAGTTGGGAGGGATGGGGCTGCCCCCCACATGTGCCCCACACCCTTGGCAGCGGCAAATCCCAGCCCCTGCTCCAGGGCTCCAGGTGTGTGGACAGCAGGTTCCTTTGCAGGGAGTGCGAGCAAGAACACAGGCCAGGGACGCCCAGCGACTGGAGTGGGTCACCTGGCGCCGGGGGGAGGGAGGAGCGGGTCCCAGGGCAAGGACGACGCGGTCTTCACGGGAGCCTCGGCATGATGTGGGAGCGGAGTTGTCCCCCACCCCCCAGGTCAGCTGCCCGAGCGCCGCCGGGCGAGGCCGGCCGCCAGCGGGCCATCTGCATGACAAAGGCGCGCCCCGGCGGTGCGAGCGGGAGAGGGGCGCCCCGAGCTCCGCCCGCCCGCAGGCCCGCAGCTGCCCTGCTAAGCCTCCACCCCGCGGCCCGGAGATTTGGGGGGCGGGGGCGGCACGCGAGCCCGGGCGCTCAGCTGTGTTTGCTCGGGGGGGAGCCAGGCGGGGCGGCGGGGCTGGGGCGCGGGACAAAGGCCCGGATCTGACCGACCCCGCAGGTGGCGCGGGGGAGGGGGCGGACGCTCCGGGAGAGGGCGATGGGGGAGGGGCGGCCTCCCGGCTGCCCAACCCCAGCGCCCAGAAGCTGAGACCCCCTCGGGGGGCCGCAGTCCCCGAAACCTGGCCTGGGGATCACCTGGGTCCTCCTCCAGGCCCCCGGCCCTTTCCTGGAATTCCAAATGTTCAGCAAATGCGGCCACCGTCCGGGCGGGCTGCTTGATTTGTCCTCAGCTCCAACAACACTTTCTCCCTGGTGCCTCCTCCAGTGCCAGCAGGGGTGCCCAACGCCATGTCCCCGGACCACCCTCTCCTGGGAGCCTCTCTCTTCACTTTCCCGCATGTCCAGGGAGCCAGCTGGCCTTCCCAGCCCCACATTCACCGCAACCAGCCCCTTCGCCTTTCCCGCTCCAGGAAACAGTCCCTCCACACTCCCGCTGCCCAGGCCAAACCCGCAGGCACCGGCCTCCACGCCTCTCTCTCCGCTGGCTCCACCTTGGACGTCTCCCCAGAGGCGTCTCCCCCTCCCAGTTCCGGCCGCTGGTCCCGCCGCCATCGTGCTCACCTGGACCAGTGAGCACCCTCCCTCCTGTACGCGGCTCTATCCCGCTGCAGCCCATTCTCCTGCAGCAGCCGGAGGGTCTGTTAAAGCCAAGTCAGAGATCCTCCCTCCTCTGCTCCACACTCTCCCTTGGCTCCCACCTCACTCACAGGAAAAGCTCACCCCGCAGTGGGCTCCAGGACCACCTGATCTCACGACTGCCACCTCCCCCATCTCTGGCCTGTCTTTCCACTCAGCCTCCCCAGTCTCCTTGGTTTCTCCTTGGGCGGCCAGGCCTCCGGCCTCTGCATGGCCGCTACCTCTGCTTGGAACACACTTCACGGGACATCTGTGTGCCTCACTCCCGCGCTTCCTTCAGGCCTTTACTGAAATGCCGCCTCCTCAGTGAGGCCCTCCTTGGTTTAAAATGTCAGCATGCCTTCTTCAACTCCTTTTGCCTTGCTGTCTGCCCTAGTTTTTCTCCTCGGCACTTCTTCCTATTGGCATTTCTGCACGTGGTACTCATTCCCGTTGCTCATTTTGTTTTTTGTCTTTCCCATTGACTGTAAGATGCACCAGGGCAGAGACTGTCTCCTGTTGGCTGTTGTGACCCCCAAACCTAGCATGGTCCCTGGAACACAGTAGATGCTCAGTAAATATGTGCTGGATAAATGAGTAAATTAAATCCTTTACGCCTCCACAGCACCCTGTAAGGTAGGCCCTCTGTAAGGTAGACACCCTCCTCCCCATTCTACAGATGACAGTGCTGAGGCACAGAGAGTAAGTCACTTGCCTGGGTCTCATGGCTAGAAAGTGTGGGAGGCCGGATTTGAATCCAGGACCTCACTTCCCAGTAAGGTCTCAAACTAGTGGCCCACACACTGTTTTTGGCTCTCAGAAAGGTTTTGTGTGGCTCGAACAGTTTCAGAAAAAATTGAATAAACTGTGGCCATTTAAAAATCAGGAGGCCAGGCATGGTGGCTTACGCCTGCAATCCCAGCACTTTGAGAGGCTGAGGCAGGAGGATTGCTTGAAGCCAGGAGTTTGAAACCTGGGCAACATAATGAGACGTCCCCCACCCCCACCTCTACAAGAAATAAATATAAGACTGGCATGATGGTACATGTCTGTAATCTCAGCTATTTGGGAGGCTGAGGCAGGAGGATCACTTGGGCCCAGGAGTTTGAGGCTGCACTGAGCTAAGATTGCACCACTGTACTCCAGCCTGGGCAACAGATTGAGACTTCATTTCTAAAACACAACAAAACAAAAAAATCAGGATGCTTTATGCAAAATTCCAGACCTCCAGCTTTCCTTGCAAAATCGGAACCTCTGGCCACACCGTGTCCCCAATCCCACAAGGCAGCCACTGGCAGGGGCTGAGTGGCACTGCTCCTCAGGACTGGCATGGACTGCCTTCATGCCCAGTCTCCACCCCACTGCTCCTGCCCCTGCCCCAGGCCTCCCTCCCGTGAGCGTGAGCATTCTGTGCCTCTGCTCTTGCTGTTCCCTCCGCCTGGAATCCTCTTTCCACAGTTCTTGGCCTGGCTGTCCCCTTCTTGTCACTCAAGGCTTAGCCCCTCCGGAAGCCCTCCGTGCCCACTTTGGCTAAGGATCATGATCTGAAGTCACTTTACGAGTGTATTTGGTGCCTGCACACTGTCTGTCTCCCTAAGGAGGATGGCAGCTCCAGTCGGCAGGAGCCAGTTCAGCCCATTGCTCCCGTCCAGGGCAGCACCTGTGCCCACACCAGGCTGCAGGCTTGTTGATTGACGGAATGAATGAGCCGATGAATGAATGAAGAACTTGCGGGTGGCAGCCGCTGTTGTGAGCACTTCCCATGCCTGGAGCACTGTCCTCTGTGCACAGCAGGCTTCTGTGCGAGCTGGGGCTGGGTCACACACAGATCTCTTGCCGGGGATTCAAGCTGTGGTGGCTTCTGTGTTCCCAGCCAGGGCCTCAGGCTCTGTGACAACCTTGAGAGGCATGGGCAACCCTATCCCCCACTCCAGTGCCCAGCTCTCGCTGCAGATCTGGGGCTCTGAGTCTTCCGGGTCAGCTGAGCTGGGCCACATGAGGGTCACCTTCCTGGTGTTGCAGGGGCAGCCCTGCCCCCTACTTGCCCAGAACGTCCCCCAGGTTTCAGAAGGAGATAGCTGTGTGAACTGGCAGTGTGCAGGCTGATTCCAGGCCCAGCTCCTTCTGTTTCTTGCTGTGTGACTTGATCAATTTATCTCACCTCTCTGAGCCAGTTTCCCCTTCTATACAGCGGGAACACTGCCCCTGCTTGAGACTTACTGTGAGAGCTCCTGTGCACACCCCCAGCGCCAGTGCCCAGCGGGCACTCAGCACACAGGACACGGTCTGGCCTCCCCTCTGGCTGCCCAGGTGGAAGGCCTCCCCATGACATCACTCCTGCACAGGGGCACCAGCAGCCAAGGGCCTGGGGTCTGTACCAGCCGGCTGGTGGCGGCCCTGTGTGCACACTCATGTGTATGGTCTTGGGTGAGGGTGTGACCATGTGGATTGTGTGTGTGCATGTGGCTACTTGTGACTGTGTGTGAGTGCCCACACATAGGATCACGTGTGTTGTGTGAGCCTGTGGTTGGGGATGGCTGCTGCCCGGGCATTGGCTCTGTGTCACGGCTTGTCCGTAACTCTGTGTCCCGGTGTGTGATGGTGATGGTGTGGTTGTGGGTGAGACACTGGACGAGGTCAGGGCCAGGTACCCGAGTGGTCCAGCCAGTCCTCGGCAGCTGGGTGGGCTGGGTGGGAACACGCTCGCCTGGCTCTTCAGGCAGCCCTCAGGTGGGGAGTGCACTGGGCCCCAGCTGACCCGGGCTGGCTGGGCAGTCTGAGCCAGAAGGGGCCGGTTGACAGGGTTTCGGGAGGCCACTGCACCCCGGGCCATCTGTTCTCAGGACCTGCTCTGCTGGTCATGCTCTGGGTCCCAGGGCCCGGGATGGGGGCAGGAGGCTGCCTTGCTTATTGCAGCCCTGGGAGCCCCTCTTCTGACGATGTGTCAGATACAGCGTCCTGCGTGTGGCCTCCCCGCTCACCCTGCCTCCACCGCGTGCCCTCACTGTCTGCCCAGCCTCCTCCCAGTAGCACTATGTTCTGCACCCATCTGGCTGTGAGATGAGGGCAGGGACCCCTTCACCACCCATATCACGAGGACACAGGGCCCAATATGTTCATCCAGCACAGACCCAGTTCCCTGGGGTTTGTCGATGGAACGAGTCAGCTGGAGGTGGTGGCTGCTTCCACCCCTGGCCAGGTCGGCCTCACTGCTGGCCCCTGTCGCTGGGGGAATCGACAGCTCCCTCCCCCAGCTTTCCAAGGACCTCAGCGGGAAGCACAGACCCTCCCAGGGACCTCCACTTTTCCCTGCCAAGACTCCAGGCTCTGTGGTGGGTCTGGCTTGTACCCCCTCCCACACAGTTCCCCAAGGCCTCAGGCCCCCCAAGTGGAGAGACACCTGGCAACCTGGACCTGTTGGAGAAAACTAAGCCTCCGTAGGGACTCAGTTTCCCTGCTGGACTGGCTGGGGCTGCTTGCCTGGGGAAGCTTCCCTTGGTCTATCTCGGGTTCAGAAGAGGGCTTGGCTTGCCAGGGCAGGGGCAAGGCAGAAGCCCCCAGGACCCCTGCCTGCTCCTCAGGTCCAGGAGGAAACCTGCGAGTGAAAGCAGACTTAGTGGGGAAACACACCCAGCCCCAGGAGGCTGCCCACCTGGCGGGCCTCGGGGTCCTGAGCCTGCGACAGAGGTGCAGAGACAGAACCAACAGGTTAGGACAGGGAGAGAGAGAAGCAACAGACACACACATCACACACTCTGGGGCAGGGGTCATGCACCGGGGCCAGGCAGCTCCCCAGGTTTCTTGGATCTGGACTTAGAATGCCAATTGTTAATGCCAAGCCCAGAATGGCTCTGGTTGTCAATTCCCAAATGGTGTATATGTGACTGTGACTTTGTGTGTGTGCACATGCATGCGTGAAGGTACGTGAGGCTCATGGGTCTGGTGGGCATGTTTGCAGAGCCTGGCCGGTGTGTGTTATGGACGAGGGACGGAGATTGCCACCTGCCTCTAGCGTGTGTCTGTATGCATGGGAGGCAGCCTGCTGGCCTCTGTGACCGTGCCCCAGTGTCCCTGGGCAAAAGTGTGTGTGATGTGTGGCCTCCCTCAGTGGCACTGCCAGAGCCAGGCTGGGAGCTTCAGTGGAGGACCTGCCCTCAGGGCCCCTAAGTACCCCTGACCCTGGCCCTGGCCTCAGACCTGGACCCCGAGCAGGAGCCCTGGCTGGCCCACATGGGGGCTTTTGTCCATTTCTGAAGTGACAAGAGACACACAAAAGGGCTTTTAATTAAATCAAAGAAGGGGGAAACGGGCCAGCCGGGCCGCTATTATGTTACCAAACGCGAAAATGAAAACTTATTTTTAAAGCTCTGGTATTAATTTGAGATTATTCAGATAGTTAATTAAAAGTGCAGCATGTGTTAAATATTATTTCAACAAAGATTATCATCAGGCCTCCATGTAATGTGATCCTTGGGCTTGGGAGCTTTATGCAAATGGCTGCAGCCAGGAGGAAGGGCCCTCAACAGAAGGGTGGCAGGCAGGCGCAGGGAGGGCAGGAGCTCCGCGTAGGCCCACTCACTCCCCTCGGGTCTGGCTCCCCCAGACACAGATGGAGTCTCAGCCAGGGCCCCCTTTCCAAGCCCTAGGTGAGTAGGGGCCTGACTGTCTGGCGGGTCTCGAGCCCACCAGCCAGTCAGCAGCAGGGCCCCATACAGTCTTCTGGATGGCACTGTGGGCCATGAGGGAGGCTGGCCACACTGCCTGCCTCGAAGACCAGCACACCTGTAGGTGTGTGTGCATGGGCGTGAGCAGGGGGTCTGGGAACAGCAGTGTGGATGTGTGTGCTCCTGACGCTGTCACAAGACTGGGTGTGCACAGGTGACGCTTGTGTATGAGCTGGGAGGCTGGCAGCGTGTTTGTGTTCAGGGTCTCTCCATCTTACCCGTGGACTCTGGCACTGACAGTCTGGGCCCCTGCATGTGTTATGAATATTTGTGTGTGGTACACATGGGCATGGGGTGGGCACTGCTGGGTGTGTGCCCATAACCCACCCTGAGCAAGTCACATCACTGCTCAGCGCCTCAGCTTCCCCGTTTGTAGAATGGGATAGGTAATAACAGTAAACGCCTCACTGGGAGAGTTGGACGGGATTACATGGGATAACACAGACATCCAACTTAGGCCTGTCCTGTAGAGACAGAACACAAGCGGCAGGTGAGAGCCATCTACCTAATTTTATATCTTAGCCACAATTTTAAAAAGAAAAAATGAAATTAATTTTCATATTTTATTTAACCCAGTAGATCCAAAATATTACTATTTCAGCTCAATACAAAAGGTGATAAGTGTGATTGTTTAGTCTCTCTTTGTCACAGAAGGCCTTTGGAAGCTGGGGTGTACTGGGCCCTGGGTATATCTCATCTTGGACGGCCACATCACCGGTGCTCAGAGCCACGTGGGGACGTGGCGGCCTTTGAGCCTAAGGCCCTGCCCCCCAGGCCGGCTCTTCGCAGACCCGGGGCCAGCGCTCTCCCGGAGAGACTCCCGGGGCACCTCGCTGGATGGCGGGGACTGGCGGGGTAGGGGTGGGGTAGCCCGGAGACGGGTGGGCCCAGGATCCCTCGCTAACCTCCTCCCCCACACCGTGCACTGGGTCCGTGTCCCTAGGTCGTGCGTCCCAGACAGTCCGACAGGTGTTTGCCGCAGTCCTGAGACCACATTCGGGCTCCCGCCCGCGCTGCGCCTCGCCGGGGCCGCCCCTGCCAGCCCTGCCGTGCGCTCTCGGCCGCTGGGCGCGGGCCGCTCCTGCCCTCTGTCGGCGCCTGGCGGCAGCGCAGTCCCGCGGCGGGCCGAGGAGGGGGCCTGGCTGGCTACGGCCCTTCGGGGCGGAATGGGTGCGTGCCCACCCCACCGTGCAAGGGCCCCACCGTTCCAGGACATTTTCACACCTCATCCCACAGGATGCTTACGGCGGGCTGCGAGGCCAGCAGCGCCAGCCCGGTTTTACAGACGGGAAAGCGGAAGCTCAGAGAGGACCTGTGACCTGCCCAGGGCCACACAGCAGGACTGCAGGCAGGGATTCGAGCTGAGGTGGGAATCCAGGTGTTCAGCGCACTTCCATGAGTCCCGCCGGGTTCAAGTGCTGGCTCTGCCCCGCGTGGCCTGTGCAGCGAGACAGGTGACAACCTCTCTGAACCTGAGTGGCTCTGCTGTAAGCTGGGGGCGACAGTAGCCCCTCCTGCGTAGGACTGCTGTGAGGATTGAACAGGGGATGACTGTAAGGTTTCTAGCAGGTCCCTGGAACTCAGCATTCATCCAAAAAGTCGCTGAGTCACAGCATAATAACACGATTCACCTACCTCGGGGCCTTGGCACCTGCTGGGCCCCCGCCTGGAAACCCTTCCCCCGGATCTTGGATGGGATGGCCCCTCTGCCTTAATCTCGGTTCAAACTCACCTCAGCAAGGCCCGCCCCAGTCACCCTGTTAGCATTGCCCTAATTCATGCCCTTGGAGCCCTTGCCAACAGCCAGATGGTCCCGCGTGTCCCCAGGCTGCCTGGTTTCTTGCCTGCTGCCCACAGGACAGGAGGGCCCAGGAGGGCCCAGGAGGGCAGAGCTCGTTCATCCTGGCCATTTCCGTCACTGGGAGCACCGCGCCTGGCCTGGGTGGGTGCCCGATGGGAATGTGTTGAGTGAAAGGTAAAATGCCCAGTCAGGCGGGAATGCAGACAGCAGCTGGGGTGGGAAACCGCGTGGCAGTAAAACACACGCCACACAACACAGACCTTCCACGGTGAGGTGTTTACTTATGGGAGAGAAGCACCGATGCTCACACAAAACCCCACAAGAGTGTTCGGAGCAGCTTTAGTCACAGTCACCCCAAACTGGAAGCAGCCCGAGTGTCCTTCCGCAGGTGAATCCATCCGCTCGTCCACAGCCACACCTCGGGGCCCTGCTCAGTGACCCAAGGAGCTGCTGGGACGTGCAGCCACAAGCATGAATCCCAAGGCCAGGAAGCCTTGCTGGAAAGTCCACACACAGTGTGATCCCACTCATGTGACATTCTAGAAAGTGTAAAACAACAGTGATGGAAAAGAGATGAGTGAATGCTGGGGCCGGGTGTGCGAGGGGTGCTTTCACAGGGGCATGAAGCATGGGGGTGCACCTGTTCTCTCTTTTGACTCAGGTAGGGGTTACACAACTGAATGTGTTTTTCAAAACGCACAGAGCTACATGTTTAAAGGGGTGATTTTTACTGTATGTGACAAACAACAATTTTAAAAACCAGTCACAGAGTCGCAGACTCTCAGAATCATGGAGTTGACCAGTCCTACCTGCTTGGT
Source organism: Homo sapiens (assembly GCF_000001405.40). Taxonomy (NCBI): domain Eukaryota; kingdom Metazoa; phylum Chordata; class Mammalia; order Primates; family Hominidae; genus Homo; species Homo sapiens. The sequence goes on along the minus strand of NW_019805490.1, from coordinate 294,089 downwards.
GAGAGGCCCTGACCACCCCGCCACTGCCTCCCTGAGAAAGACCACTTCCGCCGCAGTCTCCACCTTAGACTGAACGAGCTTTAGAACTGGCCCACAGAAGATGAGAGGAGTGGGGGAGGAGATTGGGGTGGGGCGGGAGACACGGTCCCGGAGGTTGTTACTTCCATTCACTTTGTTGCGTGCGTCAGTAGTTTGTTGTGGTGGGTATGGACACATGGGGTTCACTGTATTATACTCCGCGCACTTTTCGTATGTTTGAACTATTTCCTTAATAAAAATGATAAATGGCTGGGTGCCGTGACTCATTCCTGTAATCCCAGCACTTTGAGAGGCCAAGGCAGGAAGATCACTTGAGGACAGGAGTTCACAAGCAGCCTGGGGAACATAGTGAGACCATGTCTCTACCAATAAAGAAAAAAAAATAGGCAGTATGATGGTGCATGCCTGTGTAGTCTTAGCTACTCAGGAGGCTGAGGCAGGAGGATCATGAGAGCCTAGGAGTTCGAGGCTGCAGTGAGCCATGATCACACCACTGCACTCCAACCTAGGTGACAGAGTGAGACTGCCTAAAACAAAGCAAAACAAAACAAAACAAAAACCCAAAACACCCCCAAACCAGATAAGTAATACAATAATTAAAAACAACAATAAAGTGAATTCCACCATAGAACCCCACTGGCCTCTTCTGCAGCCCTGGGAAGCAGGTTACTTTCTGCCCATTGAGGAGAAGAGCAGACTGAGGCTTGGGGAGGCACCCAGCCTGCTGGTGTAGGGAGCAGCCAGCAGCAGAAGCCAGGAGGCTGGTGGGTGCTTCCTGCAGCCTGCCAGAGGTGACTCTTGGGGCCAGGTGTCTTTGGGAATGGCTGCATTTCATCCCCCAGGAAGTGTGCGTGTGTGCACGTGCATGCATAGTGTGTGTGTGCGGGTGTGTGGTGTTTCTGGGTGTCGTTTCTGTGTCTCCCGCAGCTCCAGGTCACATTCTCCCCATCACCCCCCCAGGCAAAGGGCCTCTGTTCCCTACCCACCAAGGCTCTGGTGCTGAACCACCCGCTGCAAGGGTTGCCCCCAGGCATTGGCTGCAGGGCAGAGAGAATGGCCATGGAGCATTGACCAATTTTAAAAAACAATTTTATTGAGCTATAACTTACATGCTATAAAGTTCCCCCACTTAAAGTGTACAATTCCAAACTTCTGTATGTTTACAGAGTTGTACAACCATCACTACAATCTAAGTTTAGAACACCCTGTCCCCTGAAAAGAAACTGTCTCCACTGGCAGTCACTCCCCACTTCCTGCTCCCCCAGGCCTTGGCAAATCTACTTTCTGCATCTATAGGTTTGCCTCTTCTGGACATTTCACATAAATGGAATCACACATTATGTGGCCTTTCACGATTGGTTTCTTTCACTTAGTACAATGCCTTCATGGTCCATCCATGCTGCAGTGCATAGCAGTACTTCATTCCTCTTATTTATTTATTTATTTATTTATTGAGACAGGGTCTTGCTCTGTCACCCAGGCTGGAGTGCAGTGGTGCAATCATAGCTCACTGGGGCCTCTGGCTCCTGGCCTCAGGCGATCCTTTCACCTCAGCCTCCCATAGTGCTAGGATTTCAGACATGAGCCACTGCACCTGGCCTTCATTCCTTTTTAATTTTTATTAGATTATTGCCAAATAGTATTCCATTGCATGGGTAGATAGATATTTTGTGTATCCATTCATCAGTTGATAAACAGGGTTGCTTCCATTTTTTGGCAGTAACTTTATGTTAAACTTTTAAAGAAACACCCAAGCTGTTTTCCCAAGTGACTGCCATGAAGCATTTAATGAGCACCTGCTGTGTGCCCGTTTCCCTCTGACTGCTACCCAGAGAAGGTGGTCCTAATATTAATTTCATTTCGCTGAGGCACAGACAGGGTGAGACCCTTCCTGCAGGTCTCACTGGATCCCAGATCTGTTTGTGCTGCTAAAAGCAAAGCTGCCATGGTTGGTGTGGGCCTGGGAAAGGTCCTCTTGGTCACATGACCTCTGGGAGGGCTAGTAGCCTGCAGGTGGGGGCAGCATGACCTCTTCATTACCCAGTGCTCCCAGCAGGTCAGGTGGGCACACAAGGGGGACCTGAAGGAAGGCTCTGGTGACTGTCTGGGACCAGCCTGGGCTGGCTGTCCCTGGGGTAGGCAGGGACATCTGGGCTTCTGGTCTGAGTGGCAACTCTCCCACCCTCCCGGGCACCTCCTTGTCAGGGGACGGGATGTTTCAAGCTCCCTCTGGTCCCTGGCCTGGATCTGGCCCAAGCAAGGGTTGAGGAAACTTTGGTCCAATGATTGGTCAAGGGGATCAATAAACTAATGGGCCAGGGCCAGCCACGGAGAGCAGCCGGGGGGCCTCAAGGCCCGAGGAGTGAGAACGAGTTTCTCAGGGTCTGGCCCCTGTGTTGAGGCGTGGCCCTGCACACTTCCCTGCCTTCCTCTCGGGACCTCAACCCCCAGTACAAGGGCCCATGTGGGAAACCATACCCCAGAAGGCCAGGACCTGTGGCATTTCTAGCTGCCCTCGAGCCTTTCTGGACAGAAACACTGCCCTCCATCCCTCTGACCCCGGGGAGCCATGATCCCCCTGACAGAGCAGTGGGGCTCTTCAGAGAATCCGAGGCTCCATTCACTCCTGAACGTATGCAGGAGCCGCCCCATGCCAGGCTACCCAAGGCCTGCGCCCAGCTTTCTGGAGGTGACAGTCCTGCCCTGTTGGCACTGCTAGAGTTCTAGGGAGCCAGGGTTGGGGCTGAGATGCCAGCCTCAGAGCACTGGCCCAGGCTCTGCAGTTGCCCCAGGGCCATAGGGACAGGCAGATCTGTAGGTCTGGAGGCTGAACTGGGACCCCCCAGAGGGTTCAGAGATGGCTCTGGCTGAGCGCCCAGCACCGTGCTGGGCAACTTGGTCTTCACGACTGCCCCAGAGCTGCTGTTTTTTTCCACAAACCACCTGTATGAGAGAATTCTTGTGCCATCTGAAATGGAGTTATCAGTCGGCCGGGGGAGTGCGGAGGGAGCTCTCTGTCCCTGGAGGAGTGAGCAGAGGCTGCACTAGAGACACATGGCAGCCACTGGGCCCAGCCCAGCTCCAGGGTAACCGGGGCTGAGACCCTAATGTGGTCCCCTGGTCCTGGGCTTCCTGGTGCCCACAGGTCAGCCAGGCCAGAGGTGGGCCGAGGCTCAGGGGGCCCCTCAGTCCTGTGGCGATGGTGAGATAGGCCCAGGCCACCAGGCTGCCCGGAGGAATGCGCCCCCCCACCCCGCTCATAAACCTGCTCTTCCTCCTCCCTCTGTGCACCGGGAGGTCGTCCAGAGGTCACCTTCGGGAAAAGTCGGCACAAGAGGCTGAATGGGCAGCTCCAGGTGTTCACAACTATGGGGCTGTGGCACCAGCAGCTGACCTGGGAGGGCCACAGGTGCAGGGGTGCAGGGACAGACCCAGAGTCAGGTCCCGGAGACTGTGCACAGCCCAGAGCCCAAATCCCGGTTCTTGGGACCCCCCTTGAAGGCCCCACTCTGAGCTTGCACAGGCAAGATCTGAGGAGACTGCAGACGGAGGTGCCGCTTCCTCCTGACCCCCCTGTTCACACCTGACCCCCTCGTTCACGCTGGGATACCAGGGCAAGTGCAGGGTCGCCCCAGCTGGAGAGGCAGAGCCTCTGCTGCTGTGGGCAGGTCCAGCTTGCTCAGAGGTTGTGCAGGCTCCAGGCCTCTGAGCCCAGACTGGTAACCCTGCCCTGCCAGGGCCTCAACAGAGTGTGGGCCTGGAGGGGTGGCTGGTGAGGGGCCTTTGGCACACCTTGCTGGGGACAAGGCCCCGGGGACAAGGTGGGTGGCTAGAAATGCCACAGGACAAAGCCTGCCACGCTGGCTCCTGGGGCCCAGGATGGGGTGGGCTCATGGTCCCTCCTGGCCCTGGCCAGCCCTATGATGCTCCCAGGCTGGGCAAGGCCTCTGTGAGGCCTGAGAGCCTCCTTGTCCCGAGAGGTGGTGGGTCCGGATGGCAGGTCCCGGACAGGTGCAAGGGCCGCCGCTTCTGGAACCTGCATATGTTTCCAAGCCTGAGGTACCCCCAGAGGAGGGGGCACAGTGGGGCCTGGGCTGGAGGGGAGCACCCTGCTAGACTCCAGTGTGTATTTCCCAGCTCAGGGAGCCCAGCCAGGGTGGCAGGAGCAGGGGGCCCTGGAGGGAGGGAAGAGAAGTATTGGGGCCCCCACTTCTCCCCTCCGGTACTGTCCTGTCATCTTTCACTGGGGCTCTGCATATCAGACTCTGCTTCGGGAACTGGGGAGTCCTTCCCAGGAAAAGGAGCTGATGAGGCCTGCAAGGAAAGAAGGACGTGGAGGGCTCGTCAAAGGTGGTAGAGGCCTGATGGGCCTGGCCTCTCTCAGTCCCATCCAACTGCAGGGATCCCAGGCGTGGAGGCCTGTGTCTGAGCAGGGCGCCCACACCTCTGTGCCAGCCAAGGAGGCAGGTGGTCCAGGCTGTGCCCTCTCCTGGGAGGCTGTGGGCTCAGGCCCTGAGGGCGCCCCCAGCCCACCTGCCAGGGTTGAGCTTTCCTCCCAGCAGGGACCGTTCTCACATGTGCAGTGAGGAAGGAAATTGCAAATTAATCTTTATTTTCATCTTGGAAGAAAACCTTAATTCTCTGCATTGAAATGATCCTCGTCATCCGAGGGAATCAATTATGGGCTTTAATTGCAGTCAGTTCTGACCAATCCAAGCAGGCGGAGCCACGCGCGTGTGTGACAGCCTCCCTCTCCTGCTCTGCGCGGGGCCTCTCTGACTCTCTGTCTGTTTTCTCTTTGTTTCTCCCCCTCTACTTCTTTTTCTCTCTGTCTCTCTTTGTGTCTGTCCCTTTCACTCTTTCTTCCCGTCTCCATGTCTCTGCGCCTCTCACTGTCTCTGTCTCTCCTGGCCTTTCTCTGTGTTTCTGTTGCTCTCCCTTACTCTCACTGTCTCTGGGTCTTGGCTGTCCCCCCTCCCGCTGCGGCCATCACAGGACTCAGGAGTGAACTCCTAGGCATGACAAACCCCATGGGGGTGTCTGAACCCCAGGCCTCCTCCTGCAATCTGTCTCTGGCCCCAGAGCTACGGCTTTTGAGGGTGGGATCCAGGGCAGCCACAGAGATGTGTCGGGGCCTCACCACACAGGGCTAGTCTTTCATTAACTGACTAGAGACCTGGTCTCCAGGAAACAAGGGCTGGGTGGCTGTGAGCAAGGAGGTGCCGGTGTGGCTCTTATTCCTGCACACCTCTGGGCTGCACAGAACCTTTCCCTCGCTCACCTCCAGTTTGTGAATAATGCACAGATACAGTCTCTGAACAAAATGAAAACATAAGGCTGAGTGCCCTTTTCCCACCACTGCCCTTCCTAACCCCCCTTGCTGGCAGCTCCTGGTGGTCAGTTTGAAGCACATCCTTGCACGCCTTTCTCCATGTAGTTAAATATCCATGCCTGCATTCACAGAACACACAGTATCACTTTGTGGAGTTTCTGTTCAATGTAAACAGCATCATTCTGCACGTATCCTTTTGCAACTTTTTTCACCTGTTTTCAGGATTTATCCACAGGACACTCAGACTTCCTTCCTTTACCTATTGTTGAGTATTTCACTCTATGGCCACACAGCACTGTTTCAGTGTCCACACCACTACTGATGAACATTGCCATTTTTTTTCTCCTGTTTCAGGCAGGACTGCCACCAGCAGCCGTGCCCCACTTCTTTGTGCACACATGTGAGTGAGTGCTTGTGCTCATGGGGCCCATGCATTTTTAATTTAATAGACGTGGCAGCTGGCCCTCCAGAGTTGTTGTGTGAAGTCCACTCCTAATAGCATCAAATTCCCACTGCCCTCACTCTTCACCAACACTTGATATTATCAATCTTTAAAAATTTTTACCAGTTTGACCAATGCAAAATGGCACTTCCTTGTTGCTTTAATTTGTATGGGGATGAAGAGCATTACTGACTGGGATGGAGTCAGGGAGGGACATGTGATGTCCCCTAGTCTTGAGGGGATGGCACAGAGGGGCCCAGAGAGCAGGGGCAGAGGCAGAGGTCCAGAGACAGGGTGAGGAATAGCAACTGATAAGTTGAGGGGTGACCAACCCCAACTCAGTGCCTGCATGTGCCTCATTCCAAATCCTGGTAGCAGTGCTAATCAGAGGTGCTAGGCATAGTCAGGGTGCTAGGCAGAGTCAGGGCACCCCGGCCACAGGGGTGCTGGGCAGTATCAGGGATGCTGAGCACAGTCAAGGGTGCTGGGCAAAGTTGGGGGGTGCTGGGCAGAGTTGGGGTGTGAGCAGAGTAGGGGGTGCTGGGCAGAGTGGGGGCAGGGAATGGCCATCACTGACAGGCTCCCTGTGGCTGTATGTGGACAGTCTGTGGGGCACGGGGGATGCTAAGGTGTGATCCCAGGGAGTAGCCTGGCCTGGGGTGGTGCAGCAGAATGGGGGAAGGTCAGATTGGGATGTGTTGGAAGAAGGCCTGGGCCTTGCTGGTGTGGGCATGGGGTGGTGGGGGCAGGAGAGGAGTCGGGCAGAGCCGCCTGCTGTTGGGAGCACAGAGGAGGCACAGGTGGGTGCGTGGAGTCCTGGGGAAACAGCCAGGCTGGAAAGGCAGATTTGAGCCTTGGCAGAGACACTGCATCTGGGCTGTAGATTTGGAGCAGGAGGTGAAAACTGCACTTACCGAGGGGCCGTGAGCTGGGTCATGAGCGGGTGCAGACAGGTGAGGAGGGGGTGCTGAGGGAGCAGGACTGGACGAGGGCATCAGCGTAGGCAGAGGGAGGCGCAGGCCCAGTCTGGTCTGGGGACTCCAGTGGTGGGCACGTGGTGGGTTTGGGAGGTGCCGGCCACATCCTAGAGTCCAGAATGCCGAGGTAAGGGCTTGGATTTCACCCTTTGGGGAGCGGAGGAGTGACCCAATCAGATGGGAAGGCCCCTGGGGCCATAGGGTGGGCTGGCAAGGCTGGGGAAGGTTGGGAAGGCCCCCGGGTCCTGGCTGGGGGCTGAGAATGGGGGTGCTGGCTCTGTTAGGTCAGCAGGGAGCACTGGGCACAGGACCTGGGGTGCAGCATGGCACCTCAGCACATGTGAACCGGAGTGCACATGCCCTGTCACTGTTGATGAAGGTCACCGTGGTCTGCAGGCCAGGACAGTGTGGCCAGTAACAGTTACGGCAATAATGAGACCAGCTCCATTTATGGGGACCCTGCATGGAACAACTCACTTAATTCCCACTGGCCCGAGTGCTCCTGTGTGTGGAGCGCCAGGCATGTGCTGGGTGCTCTGCCTGACACTGGGACACAGCAGTGAGCAAAAGGACAGAAACCCCTGTCCCTAGAGCCCCCTTCCCATGGGAACACTGGCAGTAAATGAGGTCGACAGGCAGAATGCTGAGAGTGGGAGAGCCCAGCTAGAAAGAAGGGTGAAACAGCGGGTGGGAATGTGGATTTTTACTGCGGGGCTGGGGGCAATGGGGCTGCTCAATGAAGAATGGGTGGGGAGCAAGCTGGGGGCAGCGGGAGCTGTGTGCAGAGGCCCTGAGGCGGGAGGGAGTACCTGGGACATCCAGGAGCAGGGGCTCCCTCTCCTGAGGCTGGAGACCTAGGAGGAGTGGGGAGATGGCAGAGGAGGTCAGGGAGGTCGTGCAGGGCCTGGGGGTCATGGTGAGGACTCTGGCAATTGCCCTGAGGAAGGTGCGGGCGAGAGGGTTTACAACAGAGAAGAGGGGCCCTGACACGTTTTAACAGGATTCTCCGGCTGCAGCCGGCAGAGCAGGAGACCAGGGTGAGGCAATTGTGATGGTCCAAGCAGGAGGTGATTGGGTCTGGCTGGGCTGGTGGCCATGGGGTGGGGGCTGACTGATTCGGGACAGGCTTTGAAGGTGAAGCAACAGGACCTGCTGCTGGTCAGGAACCCTGCTGGGACAGTGAGAGGCATGGCTGACCGCACCCACCACGATCGCTCTCTGAGTCACAAAGCAGGAACCCGCGGCACCAGGCTTCTGCAACAGAGGGAATGTGTGGCCTCCCATGACACAGGGGTGAGCTCCAGGCATAGCTGGATCCAGGGCTCAGATGGGGCCAGCAGGAACCCATCTCTTCATTTCTCCATTGCCCTTTCTCGGCATGGCCCTCACCCCTTTGTGCTGTGGACCTCATTCCCTTCGTGGGGACAGGATGGCTACAGTGGCTTCAAGTTCATGCTGTCCAGCTCTGCAACCCCGGCAAGAAGAGAGAGCCCCAATGTCTCCAGCAAAAGAACCCCATGACATGCTAGGCCCCTTCCACAAGGACACACCCACCTGTCCTGTGTGTCCCCTGCCACCCCACTCCCACTCTGTCACAGCCCCAACTTCCCATAAGCCTCTCTCCTCACCAGCAGTTCATTCTTTCAGGGACAAGCTGCTGCACCTGGAAGAAGGGGCGGGAGATGGGCATGGTGTGGGGGTGCTCCAGGCAGGGGCATGGCCGAGCAGAGACGGAGGGGGACAGGGCCTGGTGTGCGAGGGAACCCTGAGGAGACTGCGTGTGGAGCTGGGCGGGGCTGAGGTGGGATTGGAGTTGGAGCTGGGCAGGGCCGCTGTGGGGAGGTCCTGCAGGGTGGGCCAGGCCGGGGCCCTGCTGCACTGTGTCGGCAGCTGCCCAGATGCCTTGGGGAGGGCTGTTGTGCCCCCAGGGGCAGGGTGGGCCCTGCCCAGAACCAGCAGCCTCTGTGTTCCCACCCAAGATGTGGGTGCTTCTCCGGTGGGCCCCTCCCCCACCTTCCGGCCACCGGGAGATGCTTGTCTGTCTTATCATCGGGGCCTGGTGACTCTGCAACCGTCTCTCCTTATCGGCAGCCCAACCAGCTGTCCATGGTGGGAGGCAGGGCTGGGCCGCAGCCTGGTCAGTGTGTCCACACAGGCACCCAGACCCTGGTCCCCAACGCCTGCTCTGTGCCAGGACCTGGCAGGCTTGGGCTAGTCCTTCCCACAGGCATCAGCTGGCAGCAGCCACTTCCCCCCAAAGGTTCCCTGTGCTGGGGGACTGGGCAGAGGACCAACCCCTCCCCTGCCTCAGTTTCCCCTCTGTGAGGAACTCCAGGAAGCAGGGGTCCCAAAACCGCTCCTCTCCTTCCCACCCATCCATAAGAGGCCGGCCAGGAGACCTTCCTTGGAGCAGCACTGTCCTTCGGGTGGCACAGGACCCAGAACCTGCTTCTCTTCCTCCCACCCTGCCCATCAAGAGCCATCTGTGCGAGAGCCCCGAGGTTGAGGGAGAAGCGGGCTTGAGTGGAGCATGGGCCCCGGCGGCGAGGGCAGCATCACCAGCAAAGGCCTGGAGACAGAGCAGGGCAAGGTGGCAGGGAGACCTGGGGAGGCCTGGCCAGTGCGGGAGTGGATCCCCCCACGGTGAGCACTGGGGCAGTGAGGCGCTGCTGACTATTGGCTATCTTCCACCCTATCATCGCTCTGCATCTGAGGCGGGTTGCCTCATCTCATGCCACACCCATTACACAACTTCCACCCAGAAGCGCCCTGCTCACTTCCTTCGGAAGCCTGCCTGAGGCTCCACCCCACCACCCTCTTCCCTGGGCCTGGCACCCATGGCCCATGGGCATCTCAAGCAATGCCCACCTTCCCTGGCCCTGCATGTCCTCTTGTGCCCTGGCACCGCAGAGCCCTCCCTGGGCCCGTCTCTTCTCTAGCTCTATCCCTCCCCATGGCCTCAGGATCCCATAGCCTTTGCTGTGCCTGTATGCCAATGACCCATCTCTGCGTCCACCCAGACCCAAGACACAGCTGTCCAGGGAGAGGCTTTCCAAGCCAAATTCCCCAAGGGTATCTGAGTTTTGGACTCAGCAATTCTGCAGTGAAGCTTGCCAAGGTGTCTTGCCCACCCCATCCTCTGCAGGGTTCCCATCTCTTGTGCCCAGCAACTCTGGGCAGAGGCTGGCCAGGGACCCTGGATCCCCTAAGTCTGGCCTCCCCTCGATCATCCAGTCAGTGCCAAGGCCAGCTGATGTAGCTTTGGGATCATCTTCAAATCTGCCTCCTCCTCCTCTTTACTGACTCCAGCCATGGCCCCACTCGCACCCCATTCCCTCTTGCCCGAGCCTGGGCATGGCGTCTCCCTCCTGGCAAACTGTGTCATGCTCCTCCCTGTCGGCCTCCAGACATGTCTTCCCCAAACCAATCTGAGCAGGTCGCTGGTGATGCTGATGATGATGGCGGTGAAGTTAGTTACGCTATGAGGTGATGATGGCATTGACGTTAGTAGTGACGTTAAATGATGGAATGATGGTGAGCTTAGTGATGGTGGTGGTGCTGATGACAGTCTGGGGACAGTGTGGGTAACTGGCTTGGGAGAGTCTTTCTTGGTAATTAACCGGGAAGGGATGGGGAAGGGTCAGGAACTTGGCCTCTGTAGCCTGGTCTGAGCCCCAGCTCTGGAGTCCTTGGGGAATTTCCAGGGCCTCTGCCTGGGCCTCTGAGGAAGGCCTGGCTCCGCTCCCCCCTTGCCTTTCTCTACCCCCAGCTCAAGGTCCTCTGGGTCCCTGCGTCCTCAGGTACCCTAGAAGGAGCTGAAGAGCTGGGAGCAGGGAGGGCCCTGCAGAGAGTGGCTGCCATGGGGGCAGGCCCAGGGTGGAAGCTTGGGAGGGAGGGAGTGGGAGGAGAAAGCTCCAGAGAGCCCCGGGGTCCACTTGTAGGTAACCACACCCCACAGACCCTCCAGCCTGCCTCTACCTTGGTAGGTTGCCCGGGGGTCCCAGATAGACATCACTCTAGGGCTGGGGCCCCAAGCCTCAGGGCATGGACAGGGAAGAGGTGAACTAGACGTTGGCGGGAGGCAGGGTTGTCCGTCAAGGACCAGAGAGAGGCAGAGGAAGTGATGGCAGATGGCAGTGAAGACAGGCGGGTCGGAGCTGGAGGACCAAGCGGCTGACTGGAGACTGCCTTGGGCCCAGCGGCCCCTCGGCGGCCCTTTGCTGGGACACACTGTGCTGGCCACAGCTCCGTTGCCTCTGTGCCTCTTCAGGTGGCTCCACAGGACTGGCCCTGCCAACGGGGTCTCCTCCCACAGGTGATGTTGGGCTGTGCAAGCCTTGCAGGGGAGACGGATGCTGGGGCCCGCCAGGTGGTGGCTATGTGGGATGCTGGAGGCTCGGGGCCGAGTCTATGGAATGACCTTGGGGGGTGAGGCCTGGCACCGTGCCCCAGGGCCAGGTCAGCCTGGGCTCCCAGCCAGGCCTTGACCTAGAGGCCTCACCTGTGGCTGTGGGATGTGGCCGTTTCTCTCTGCTGCACTGTCTCCCTCATGGGGGCCAGTGATAACGTGGGGGGAGCACGTGGGGACTGAGCAACACCTCATTCAGGGCTCCAGGGGTGTGGCCATGTGACCTACAACCTGCTGGCCTGGGTGGGCCAGGGGTTCGGGGCCGGCCCGACAGCCTCCTTTGCAGAGGGGGCCGCAGGCCACACTGCCAGGTGGGAGGTAGTGATCTAGGGTCCATGCTGTCCCTCCCAGTGCCCTCTGAGGTCCCTGCACTGGGCTTGCCCCAGGGAGCACAAGGCTGGGATGCGGGCAGGGTCTCCGTCTCCCCCACTGGTGCCCCAGCACAGTGGCAGGGCCTGTACCCAGGAGGCCTCATAAATATTCGAGCACTCAACTTGGGGCCTCTTCCCAAACGTACCTCTCCTCTCAAGTTTCACCTCTCTGTTTTCAATCCCCGAGCCTTCCCAAACGTCCTCTTCCTCCCAGGCCTCAGCTCGGACTGTCCCCTCCCCTCGGCTGCCACATCCAATCACCAACCACTGGTCCCAGGTCCTCTCCAACCCATATGGCCTCTGCCCCCTGTTTGTGTTGGGGGTGGGGGAGCCCTGACCTCCAGGCCCTGCCATTGGCTCCTTCAGGAGGCCAGAGGGGTCTCTTGAAACCCCAACTGGACACCATGCCCCATCCCCCTGCCTGTGCCCTTGTGGGGCTCCAAGGCCTCCCACACCCAGCAGACAGCCTTCTAGGCCTCCCTGGCTGCCCGAGGTCCGGCCACATTGTTCATAGCGCCCCCATCACCTCCCCGAGCATCACCAGTGCTCAGCAAAGGGAATGGAGCCCCTGTAGAGCCTTGCGAGCCCCACTCCCAGCACCCACTGCTGCCTCCGCCCCAACTCCCAGCAGCCAAGCCTGGTGCCGGCTGAGCAGGCTAATTAATGGCTCAACCCCGTTATCAGTCAAATGCTAATTACTCTTTTTAATCTGGGCTGCCTGTGTGGAGGCTCCTGGAGGTGCAGCAGGGGCTGGGGGGTCTGGAGCTATGACCTCATCCCTCCTCAGCAAGCAGGCACACGGGCCCCAGCGAGCACTTCCTCGCCACAGCCTTCACTCTGCTGTTCCCTCTGGCAGGTGCCACCCTTCCTTGCCCTGGCAAACTCCTACTCTCCCTTCAAGACCTTGCCCATGCAGCCCCTTGGCAGGAGGCCTCCCCAGTCCCTGCCTCAGAGGACAGACAAGGCTGAACTAGGAGCTGGGAGGCTGTCAGCGGGGCTGGCCTTGGTCTCTGGAAGGGAATCTGGAGATGCTAACCCCCACATGGAGGCTGCTCGGCAGAGGAGGCCAGGGCCGGGACCAACTCCAGAGTGAGCTCGGACTGACAGGCTCCTGCACTCCCCAGACAGGGGTCTGGCCCTGGTATGCTTCCTGTAGAATAGAGTGATAAGCCTCCCTTGAATCCCACCCAGTCCTGGAGAAGAGGCCCCACTAACCTGCATGCCCTTTGCCCATGGGGCAAACTAGCACTGGATACACTGGAACTGAGGCACATTTTACACATGGGGACACTGAGACATGAGGTTAGGGAACTTGCCACCACCCTGTGTACACTGGACTCGATCCTCCTTCACCCCACTCCCACACCCAAAGAGATACACACACTGACAAACACCGCAACCCTCCCAAAACACACACGGAGCACATGCAGACACGTCTGAGACATCGCGGATCCATGTGCACAGATGCACACCCAGACGTCAGCACAGGCTTGGAGATGCCTGGTGCACCAAAGCCCGTGTGCGCACATGCACATGCATGGCCAGGGCAGGAGGCCTGGGAGCACGGAAGCTGCCCCTTCTCCTGCCCCAGGCCCCCAGGGCTTCCCGTTTACGAGACGTTATCTATTGAAAATATATTAACCCAGAAGCCTGTTTCCATCAGAGTCTCGATTCCAGGGACATTTCCAGATAAGCCTTATCTCTTCGTTTGTGCATTAGCCCTGCTGGTCGGGGGCCTGCCAATCACCGCTGCCCCTCCTGCCCCAGCCCATGGCAGGATGTCGGTCCATGACCTCACTCCATGTGGGCAGGCAGGTGAGGGGGCCCAGGGCACTGCTGCCCCATGCCCCACCCCACCCATCAGCCCACAGAGGACCCCAGAGGGCACCTCTTTTCCAAGGACACGCCTGAAGCACTGGTGGGCAAGGGACTCTGGAAGAACCTGGAGCCTGGACTCAAACTCCAGCTCTATCTGGGGCAGCTGCAGGCAGCCAAGCCCTGCCCTGCCCACACCCCTGGGAAACCGGCATGCTGCTGCCACATCACTGCTGTGGGTAGATGAGCAGATTCGGTGAGTTTACCTGTGTCGGTGGCTGCAGTGAGCTTGGCCCACTGGAACCCTCTCCTACATAAAACACGCGGGCCTGGGGTTGCCCAAGGCATCCTGGGGGACGGGGGAGCCAGGGAAGGGGACGTGCATGCCCACACCTTGGCCTCAGCCAGAAGCGGGTGCTGGCACCAGCTCCTGCCCACCGTCCCGGCTAGGCTGCACCTTCAAAGGCTGCGCGCCCTGGCCCGACCCCACTAATGGACGCTCGGGTTTCCACCGATGCCGGGCCTGATAGAGGCCTCTCCTGGGGCAGTCGGCTGGGCGTTTTCAGGCCACACAGAGCAGGTCCGCCTCATTACACACTCAGGGCGCTCAGAGGCTCCTGGGAGTCGCCCTGGGCTGCCCCTCCTCCCTTCTGTGCCTCTGTGCCTCAGTTCCTCCACCCGAGCCCCCTCCTTCCCGGGACTTTGAGGAGCACGGTCTTCAGACCAGTAGGGAGGTGAGAGGTGGGGTGGAGGTGGACGCCTGCACAGAGTTCCTGGAAAAACGGCTTATTTGGGGCTGGTGTCACTTCCTGAGGGGTTCTGGGCCTTTTGCCTCTCAGTGGGAGATGTGTGGGGCCCACCCTAGGGCCGCAGGTAATGTGGGGTCAGCAGTGTGCCTGGCAAGTCTCCCACCCCCAGGGCAGCCCTCTGGCATGGCTGCTTTTCTTCTTCCATTTTATACATGGGGACACTGAGGCATGAGGTTAGGGAACTTGCCCAAGCTCACACCGCAGGCAGGGAGAGGCCTGAATCTGTGCCCTGGTGGCGGCAGCCACATTCGCCCTGTGTGCTCATCTTTCCTCCACACCTGATCTGGCCCCAGAGCCAGCTCCCATGGCTCCCATGGAAGCTCCCATGGACAGCTTCCATGGAACCCCATGCTTGGCACAGTGGTTCCACTGGGTCACATCACCCCTCATTTAGAAAGGGACAGTGACACACCCAAGGTCACCCTGCCCATGCAGGCCAGGACCTGGGGCTGAGCTCAGAGCTTTCTGTCCCAATGTGCAGGGACTCTGAGGGGGCTGGGGAGGGAGCGGTCAGGGAGGGTGTGGCCTGGCTCCCAGCTCAGCCCCACACTGAGGAGGAGGGAGGTTTCCTCGCCTAAGAAGTGAGTCCTTGGAGCTGGGTTCGGACCCAGTGCTGGCCCTCACCAGCAGCTCCCAGATCTGTGCTGGGAGGTGACCAGCCTGGACAGCACTGGCAAGTGCTCAGAGGGGCCTCTCCTGCCCCCAGGGACTGACAGGCTGGGGGCTGTGAGCCCAGCTCGGTGCTGACTGAAGCCCTCCTGGAGGTCTGCTCCCTTCTTGGGCTGCCCTCCCCTGGGGGACCAGCAGGCTAGCAGGGAGCCTGGTGTGGGCTCAAAGCTGCTGCCAGTTTCCTGGGCGGAGTGGCCTCAGTGAAGTGGCACTGCCTTCCTGGTGAAACAGTCTGCAGGGCCAGGTAGGGTGAGGAGGCCGTGGGGCACAGCACACAGTGGGGTCGGGGCACAGCACACAGTGGGGTCAGGCCCCAGGGAGAGGGGCCACTGCAGTCCCAGGAAGTGTCTGCTCAGGCAGCGGCAGTAGAGGGGGAGTCGGCTCCTAGGCAGAGGGCTGTCCTGATTCACAGTGCAGACAAGCCGCCCTGGCACCCGCAGCCTGCAGCAGCCGCGGAGGCCACGCTCACCGGGGCCACACTCTCTCTCACGTTCCTCCAGGGCCAATCCCCTCAGGGGACTGAACTGGGAACCCCACTTCCCCATGGCTCTCAGCTGTTGCCCTTGACTGCTGCTCCAGCCCTGCTGCCTGGGTCTGGGCCAAGGTTGACGAAGGGTGGCTGGGCCAGTCGCCATCGCTGGTATCCTTGCAGCTCGGGGGCTTTGCTCTGCTGTTGGTGTATTTAATTAACTGCCTGTTCCCCACCCACCACGTGCACACGGGACACACACACACACACACACACACGGCTCTGGGGCTTAACAGGCCCAAGTCATTTGATCGAAACCTGCCCCTGTTAATATTTTTAATGCCATTTGCAAATTAAAGCATAATGCACCGATTACTGGGATAAAAGGGAGGCCTCTGCGTCTGTCTGGAGACCAAATAAAGGAACGTTTGAACATCTGTTCATCCTGCAAATGTCTCTAAAAGCTTTGATTTCCCCTCAGTCTGTTGACTCCACCATTCACCCCTTCCTGAGTATCCCACAGCCTGGGGCTACAAGGCAGGGTGGTCTGTGGGTGCAGGGGATGGCAGATGGCTCTGCAGGGTGCCCTCACCATGCTAGCCTCCACTTTCTGGGAAGTATGTGGTTCTCAAACTTGAGGGCAGGGGCTGAGGGACTCCTCGTGTTGGGGTGGAGGAACAAGCCTCCACCTGCTCTGCCTGATGCTCTGGCCAGGCACCCTGCTATTCCCCAACTTCCCTGTGGGTACCTTCCCTGGACCCAGCTGCCCAGAGAATCCCCATTCTCCCTGAAGGCCCAGAGCGCCCCAGGAGCCACCTAGTGGGGTTGAGAAGCGCAGACACTCTGCAGACTCCCACAGCCTACAGACTCTGAGTTTGGGTCCCTTCCCTGGCCCCGACCTGGGCAGGAACTCTTGGGATTTCTGAGATTCCCCTTGGAACACAGCTGGGGAGGGCGGCGGACCTAGTGAAGTCACAGAGAGAGAGACACCAGTAGAGTGGGCTGGGGCCACGGGACATTTATTTGTAGCCATCAAGTGCCTGCCCACCTGGGGGAGGGTTGAGACTGGCCTGCAGGTGGCCAACAGATGGGGCAGTGGAAGATACTGGCTACCAGCCCTCTGCCCATGGCCCTTTCCTAGTTGGGCTGGGGGCTGTCCTGGGTGGGAGTGTGCAGGGGCTGGAGGAGAGACCCTCCTGGCCCCAGCAACCCATCCCCCTCAGCTCCTCACCAGGGCTCAGCACCAAGCTTGGGGGTGGGGGCTGCTGCTGCAGGACTGCAGGGAGAGACTGGGAGAGGCTGAGGCGTGGCTGGTTGGGATTTGGCACAGCAGCCTGGACTGGGCTGGGCAAGGAGGCCCTGGGGGAGGTCACCGGACACTCAGGGAGACTGAACCATGCGCTTGTGGGTGTCGAAGACATAACGCTTGAAAGTCAGGCTGAGCACCACATGCTGTGAGGGCTCGCTCCGCTCGGCGCTCTCCTCCTGCCTGGTGGCCTCCCCACGGCCAGCCCGGGCCCGCTTCTTGAGGGCGGGTGTCAGGATCTTCTTGGACTCGGGGCTGAGGCCACCTGCAAGGCACAGAAGAGAGCCTGTCACTCTGCCGTACCCCAAGCACCCGTGGGCTCCCTGCCCGCGCACCTGCTGCCTAGACTCACCCCTCTTCTGCCTCCCTCCCTAGCCAATCAGCCCTGAGGCCTGTGGTCCATTCTGACATTTTGGTCCCTCCGGCACCCATCTGATAGGTGTACAGCAGGGCACTGTGCCTCTTGGGGCCTCAGCTCACCACCCCCGTGCTCAGGCCCTGGAGGGACTGCTGCTCTGTGCCGAGTGGTCCATTGCTTTCCAGTGCACTCATGCCAAGTCCACGTCTGGAAACTCGGCATCTGAGGCTCCCTGGGTGGGGTACTCCCTGATTGCCTCTGGAGACCCATTCTCCACTTCTCCACCCTCTTGTGTGCCTGGGAGGCTGACCCCTGCAGACAGCACGACCAGGTTTAGCAGTGGAAGCCCCAACAGGCCAGAGTGTGGGAAGAGAGGGCAGTCAGGGTGTGTATCCCTGGCTCCCTTTGGCAGGCAGGACCTGGGCTGCCTTCACCCCCACCTGCCCTCAGTGGGATATGCAGGCTGCATACCCAGCTGCCCCAGTAGCAGTCCCAGGAACCACCACCCGCTGGGGCTCCCTGCCCCACGCCATTCTCACAGTGCCCCCTCGGCTCAGTTTGCCACTGCCCTGAGAGCTTGCTCCCATCAGGACACCCCAGTGGGGCCATGGGGCTCACAGAGTCAGTGGCTCATCCCGGGATCCTCTGCCAGGGGTATACGCAGCCCCGCCCCCAGGCTTGGGTGGGTGCAGCCCCCACCGCTTTCCAGCTACCTCTATGAGTTGCTTTAACCAGCCCACGCCTCACTAAAGACCTTTTGTTCAACTCCCTCCAGCTGAACACCTGAGTGGAAATTTGTTTTCTGCTGATGCCCCGACACGCACCCACTCCAACACCTCCATCTTCACCACTCTCTGCCTTTGTGCACCGTCTCTGCAGCCCTGCTGATCATGGCCCATTCCTGGGCTCCTCATTGCACATACAAGCCTGTCACGTGTTGTTCCCTCTGCCTGGAACACCCTTCCCATTCTAGGCAATAGAAGTCCCACTCATCCTTAAACATGCTGCTGCAACTGCCCTTTCTCTGGAGCTTGTCTTTTTCATTTTTAAATTGACAAATGACAAACTGTGTATATTTATAGTGTAATATATATATATGTATGTATATATATGTATATATATGTGTATATATATATATTTGTGTGTGTGTTGTGTGTGTGTGTGTGACAGGGTCTCACTCTGTTGCCTAGGCTGGAGTGCAGTGGTGTAATCCTGGCTCACTACAACCTCTGCCTCCTGGGCTCAAGTGATCCTCCCACCTCAGCCTCCTGAGTAGTGGGGACCACAGGCTCGTGCCACCATGCCTAGCTGATTTTTTGCATTTTTTTGTGGAGATGGGGTTTTGCCATGTTGCCCAGTCTAACATGATGTTTTAATATATGTATACATTTTGGAATGATTAAATCAGACTAATTAACACATTCATCACCTCACATACTTATTTTGGTGATGAGAACATTTAAAATCTATTCTCTTAGCAAATTTCATTGAATATTACACATTGTTATTAATTACAGTCACCATTCTGCACAGCGGATCTCCTGAATCGATTTCTCTGGTCTAACTGAAACTGTGAACCCTTTGACCAAGATCTCCCCATTCCCACCCCAGCCTGCACCCCCAGGCTCCCACAACCACCCTTCTACCCTCTGCTTCTATGAGTTTGGGTTTTGAGATACCACATGTAAGTGAGATCATCAGCATTTGTCTTTCTGTGCTGTGGGGCTTGTATTCATGAGGAATCTCCTGGTGGCAGCATGGTGCAGCCTCCATGTGGGCCACTGGCCAGGGTGAGACCACTTAGCAGGCTCCTCTGCATCTGTGGGAGTGGGTGGGCCCAGGGCTCGGAGCAGTTCCACCCCTGGCAGAGCACCTCAGTGTAAGCACTCACTCTGTGAGCCTCACAGCCCCACTGGGGGGTCCTGGTGGGAGCAAGCTCATGGGGACACTGTGAGAGTGGCATGGGACAGGGAGCCCCAGTGGGTGGTGGCTCCTGAGACTGCTGCTAGGGGCAGCTGGGTATGAAGGCACTGAGGGCAGGTGGGGGTGAAGGCAGCCCATACCCTGCCTGCCAAGGAGGTGTCCCACCAGGATCCCCTCCCCATGTGCACAAAGGGCCTGTACAGGCTGGGAACCTAGAGGACCAGAGCAGGGAGGAAGCTGGGCAGAGGCACAGGCAGAGGGCCCAGCTTCCTATGTGCCGTTGGCACCTGTGCCACTGCACCTGCTGGCACCTGAAGAATTTTCCTCCCTTTTCCCAGTCCTGCCCAGTACTAGCTTCGTCCCTGAAAAGTCAAGGCAGCTATAAGGCTCGCACATCAAGCTTCAGTCCGGAGGGCCCTGGCCTGTCGTCTCAGACTGGGAGCGCTGGCTGGCGGGGCTGTGTGGGTTATTTCTGGCTCAGTTTCCTGAAGATGTTGGCCACCCCTTCTTTATACGGATGAGAAAATGAAGGTCTAAGAGGCCAGTGACTTACTGGAAGCCCCACAGTGAGTTCAGAAGAGCCAGGATTTGAGCTACAGCCCTTACCCAATGGCAAAGCCAGCTTCTGCTCTCCACTCAGAGTGATGGGTGGGGGATACCCCTTTCAGAGGGCTTCTGACAATGGTTCTCAAGGCTGTGAGAGCATCGTGCACTGGCCCTGCAGCTCTAGATGTTTAAAAAGGTGACAAGGGCTCATGCCTGGAATCCTAGCACTTTGGGAGGCCGAGGTGGGTGGATCATGAGGTCAGGAGATCAAGATCATCCTGGCTAACACGGTGAAACCCCGTCTCCATTAAAAATACAAAAAATTAGCCGGGCGTGGTGGCGGGCACCTATAGTCCCAGCTACTCGAGAGGCTGAAGTAGGAGAATGGCATGAACCAGGGAGGTGGAGCTTGCAGTGAGCCGAGATTGCGCTACTGCACTCCAGCCTGGGCAACAGAGCGAGACTCAGTCTTAAAAAAAAAAAAAAAAAGTGACAAGGGTGCTGGATAAAGAGGCCATCTGTAGAGTCAGCCAGGGACAGCCTGCCCCACTGCACAAAGGGTCCGGTCTCCCTCTGGCAGGCGGAAGTGAGATTACTGGCCATCTAAAGCCTGAGTCCCCTGGGAAGACTGAGGACATGCAGCTGATATGAACGGGGCTCCAGAAGCCAGGCCCTTGCACGCCTGCCTGAGGGACATGTGACACTATGGCCTTGGGGACCTGCATTAAGGAAGCGCTCCCTGTGAGCAGCATACCTTACTTGGAGCCTGAGCGGTGTCTGCTCTGCAGGTTCCATACCTAGGTGGTCTGCCCCCCGCTTGGGATGGGGCACAGAGTGTGGGCATGGGGAGGACCCTGGCCAGTCCCCTCAAGTGAGCGCCTGGCCTGTAGGTATCTGACTCCCTGAATCAGAGCCTGGCCTTCCTTCTGCAAACAGAGCAGGTAGCTGGCAGCAGACCCCGACAAATGGCATGGGCAGCCCGTCTCCCTCTGGTGCCAGGAGGTCTGGAGGCTGAGAAGGCGTGGGGCTCCCCGGCGTCTGTGCTGGGCTGGGGAGACAGGCGTGGCCCAATCGGCAGTCCATCTCACCCGCGATGGCTCTCGTTACACACAATGCATACCTCGCACTGCCCGGAGCAGGCAGAGCCGGAAAGTCTATCTGGCACTGGTGAAGATGTGGCCATTTAATTGCTCTCCTGAGATGGTCAGGCTCGTTTACCTCTGCTCTATTATGGACTGGCCGGGAAGCCACACCTGGAAAGCCTGACCAAAGGGAGACCTGGACATGGGGCAGCATGGATTTGTGGCAAATGTCACCAGGAGCTGCTTTGTTTTCCCAGTGGCCTTTTTTTTCCTTTCTTAGCCATGTGGCAAACATAGGGAAGTGAAGAGCAACCCAGGTTGTCACGTGGTAAGAGCTGCTACCCACCCAGCCAGACTCTGCGGGTCCCACTCTCTGCTTCTCGCAACCTGCCTCTGTGCCTTTTCACTTAAAAATATTCAGGGAACATGCCAGAACAGGAGATAAATAGTGGTGAATGCACAGACCAGGGCCCAGCTCCCATGCAGTTTACTCATCTAAGAAGGCACAGACAGTGAACAAGGCAGCCAGATCTCCAGACAGCAGAAGGGTGGCGAAGGAAACAGCACCGCAGTCACTGTGTGGGGACAGGGCTGCTTCAGCATGCTCCAAGGGAGGAGGAGGAGGAGGAGGAGGAATGCTGGACCCAAGGCCAGATGACGGGGACCAGCCATAGATATTGCTGTCACGGATCCACAGGCAAAGGGAATTTGAGTGACAATTCCTAGGGTATGCGAGAGGCGCTGAGGGCAGATGAAGGCGTGTGCCATGCGTGGTGCGGTACGAGGGCCTGGCTCCAGGGTGACCACAGCTCACCATGTCCACACGGTGCCCTGTGTGCCAGGCTCCCCATTCTGACTTGGGGTCAGAGTACGCGGGAAGGCGGTGACAAGGCCACGTGCTGAGTGCCGACTGCCCATCTGCCTGGTGTCTACCTCCTGCAGGCCCTGTGTCTCCAAGGCAGGCAGGACAGGGCCTGCTCTGCCACCCGCTCTGCTAGGACCTACGCTGTCAGGGAGGTGCAGTCCTGCCCCCATCTTCCTCCCTGCACTGGGGGCTGCTCTGGACCTCTGGCCTCTGCTTGCCCCTGGCTCACAGCCCCGCCCCTGTGTCAGCCTCCTCGCTGCCCTTCTGCACACCTGGCCTGTCTCTGCCTCAGGGCTGCTGTCATTGCCAATCCCTCTGCCTGGAGACCCACCTGGGAGGCACACCTGGCCTGTCTCTGCCTCGGGGCCCCTGTCTTTGCCAATCCCTCCGCCTGTGGACTTGGGAGCTCCGGCAGCTGCAGGTTCACTTTCTTCGAGTCACTGTACAACTGTCACCTCTTGGTGAGGCCTTTGTGACCCCCTTGTTTAGAACTACAACCCCCTCATGCTCCCCTGACCCCCTCTCACCCCACTATTTTTCCTATAGCTCTTATCACCTTCTAATGTCCTCTATGATGTCCTTGTTTTGGGTTTGTTGTCTGCCTCTGCTGAAATGACAAGCTCCACCCTAGCAGGGAGTTTTGTCTATTCACTGTTGTAACCCTAACACCTGGAGTGATTGCTGGTGAGTGGCGGATACTCAGAGAACACTCTCCAAATAAGCGTTGGAGGAGACCCTGCTGGGGCTGAGGGGCAAACTGCTCTGGTTTTCCAAGAACCTGAAGGGCAGCTGTTTAAGCACTGGCTGGTGACAACCTGGGAGGGACAAAGTCCTAGATGGTCACAGTGTGAACTAAGAAAGGCACTTCTAGGAATTCGGTCCAAACAAGTGGTCTGAGATACGGCAGAAGATTTCTACACAAAGATGTCCCCACAGCACGGAGGTACTGAATCCTCTCGTAACACCGTGTTGAGGAAACAGGCACAGAAGAGTTAGTACCTTGCCCAAGGTCACACGGCTATTTACAGGCAGAGCGGGAACGCCAGGCTATCTGATTCCCAAGCCCGTTTGCTTACCCACTAAGGGAGCGGCACGTTTTTGAGAACTACAAAGGGCCTCTAAGACCAAGGGAGGCCAGCAGACCCATCCAGCATCTATTTGCTGCAGCAAAATGTTCTGTGGGACTAAAAGTGATACCTGAGAAGAGTTTAAAGTTACACAAAGAAAGACCTATGTTATAATGCTGATTCAAAAAAAATGCAGCAATCAAAATTTTTGGAAGAATTCTGCTGCAGCCCTGGGATGAAGGGAAAAGAGACCGGAAGACTGTCCATTTGGCTGTCAGGGGTCGGGAGTGGGTTGCAAGCACTGTTCCTTCTTTCTTCTTTTATGTATTTCCCAAGGCTTCTACTGTGACCCTGGGTTACTCACAGGGGGATGTCTATTACAGGCCCCCCATCACTGTGGCCTCCGGCATCCAGCTGGGAGCCCAGAGAAGGCACGGTGCCTACCGGTGCAATCTGGCTGGAACCTGCTCAATCCATGGCACACAGGAGCCGGGGAGGGGAGGGAGGGCCAGAAAGCTCGCTGACATCTCTAGGCCCATGGTGCTGTCTCTGCCATGCTCTGAGTCTGCCCAGGAAGGACAGGGACAAGAGGTAAGGTAGGGGTGGTGATGCTCATGACTCCTCCATGGCTGCTGGAAGTTCAAGGTCCCCACACTGCTGCTCTGCTGCTTGCATCAAGGGCAACGACTGGGAGGTGTGGGCGCAGGAATCCACCGTCCTCCAGCCCTGCCTCGCTGCCTCCTCCCTCATCCCACCTGGCTATCCCAAGGATTGCTCTAGGGTCCGGGTCAGACATCTAGACCTGGCTCCACCAACAGAAGCGTCTATTCTCTTTCTGGCCTCTCTCTCAGCCTCACCCCTCCTCCCTCTCTGACGCCATCATGTACCATGCTTCAGCTATAAGAAGCCAAGCAGGGCCTTGGAATGTGTGGTTCCCTCTGCCTGCCATGCTCACACTCTGATGCTGCCCCTTGGGAAGGTGCCCCTCAGCTGCCCAGCCAAGTGAGATCCTCCTGGGTGCCCTGCCCAGCACCACTGTGGCTGTCATTGCCTTATATGCCTGCCTCCCCCAGTGGCCTGTGAGGGGGCACCTCTCCAGGATTGTGTGCAGGGCCTAGCACACGGGCTCAGGGAGGTTTGATGAAAACAAAGGGAATGAGTATGGATTCATCCTCACAAGCACTCACAGCAGGGGTGCAGGACAGCGGAGGGAAGAAAAATGCCCCAGCAGGGCAGGACCCCTGCCTCCAGGACCAGAAAACACCTGTCTGCCCTTGAGTGACCCAAGGGAGAAAGAAGTCCAGGCTCGGGTCTCAGGCTGACCTGGCCCCCTGGTCCCTCTCCCATGTGCTGGAGGGTGGCTCTCTACCTGGCAGGGTGGGCTAGGGTGTGTGTGTGCTACATGTACGTCTGTCATTCAGTAGGGCCTCTTTTTTCCCAAACCTCAGGATTCTCGGAGCCTATGGCCCTGCTCCACCCCCTGATGAACCCAAACCCCAGGATGCAGTGGGGGCGGGCGGCCATGACCCTGGGGGCAACACTGCTCCTCATGGCTTCCCGTGGAGACACTCTCCCAGGGCCAGGCTGGCCCTTTCTCACCAAGCGCCAGCTCCACACAAAGGCACAATGGGCTGCAGGCTGCCGGGTCCTGGCTTGGGCTGGGGTAATCAGGGAAGAATGCGGGAAGCACAACTGTTTCCCAAGCCCTAGCCATGGTGCCGCCCTGACATGGCCATCAAAGGCCGGCAAATTGCCTCCAATTGCTGGCGTTGCTTTCATGTTGGGGGCCAGACTGGAAGAGGGGTCTCCACGCTGGTGGGTGGCTTGCATGCCCCAGTGGGAACTGAACCCTTGCAAGCAGCTTGGGGTCACTGGCCCCTTTGTGGCCCTGTGGGGCTGGGGCCGCTCTAGTCACTCCAGCACTACCCACTGCTGTAAACAAGCAGTTTTGGAGAGGGTTGGAAGAGAGCCAGAGCCAGGGGCAGGGGATCTCTTTGGGGTCAGCATCCTGGTGATGACTGACAGCTGGGAGCCTAAATGGCAGGTGGGGCTGATATATGGGATGGCCAGGCTGGACAGCCACAGAGGGCCTTGGATTCAGCCAGGCTCCAGTCTGAACTGGATACTGGGCCCTAGGAACAGGAGGGGCTGCCTAGCAAGGCCACCCCCATCAGCAGGGGCCATGGGGCAGCTGGGGTGGAGCCCTGTCCCTCAACAGGGTGCTGGTGGGCTCCAATGTCAAGTTCCCCTCCACCCCAAGGTAGGAAGCTGCCCTGCACAGGCCACAGGTGGTCACGGAGGTGTGTGGGTGGCACAGTGCTCCAGTGAGACCTCTAAGTCAGGGCGTGGCTGGAGGCAGGCCTGGCCAAGAGGGAGCTGCCCCCAAGGCCAGGGGTGGGGAGACAGAAAGAAGGGGGAACCTGGCAAGGGCAGAAGTGTCCCTAATGTGGGGCCTGGCGGTCATGTCTGAAACGCATGGAGGCTATGGTTGACATCAACACCCCCATCTATCAGCGGCCAGCCAGGCTCATGGAGCTGCAATGACTTGCCCTGGCTTCCTGGCAGTTGTGGTGCAGCTGAGTCTGAATGCAGACCCCTCTGCCTGCTAGCAGGGCAGGGCAGCCCGGGCCCGGAGGACAGGCAGAGGCGATGAGGGTTTAGCTCTAACACAGACCCGGCTGGGGACAGAGAGGCCCAGGAGGACAGGCCTGGCAGGGCTGGGGAGAGCCAGGTGGGCAGAGAGAGCCAGTGTGAGCGCTCCCTGAGAGGGGACAGCCCTGACACCAGTCTCCTCTGTGAGCAGTGACAGCGACTCTGGAATCCTCCAGCCACCTCTTTGTCAGGCTGGGCTCTTCTGTTTTCCTGGGGAGCTAAAGCCTTTAACGTCGCTGGCTGGGGGGGGCCGGCTCCTTGGTTTTCTCTCCTTCCCTCCCAGCTATGGATCCCGTATGTAAACAAAGATGCAATTTGCTTTAAAAAGATAAGGTGATTAAGTTTTTATCAGACCTGTACTCTGCTGTCCCTGCAACAAAAGGAATTAGGGGGAAGCAGGCGGCGGAGCGGGCCCTTCGCAGGAGCCTCGCTCTTTCCGAGGCTCTCAAGCGCGCACTCGACGGGCTCATGCACCCCTTTGATTGGGCGGAAGCGTAGGCAACCAGCGCCCCGCACCCCCATTTTGATGTCTTAATGTTGCCTAATTCCTCCTTTAATTTACATTAAGCTTCTTAGCAGCAATGATGAATTCTTCAAAAACAAAAAAGGGCCCTTTGCAGAAATCTTTCCCGCACCATGTAAATTGAAATTATCATGCAGTCAAAGCTGTGGAGATTGGGGAGCGTGGGGAGGGAACACCAGTGCATTATGCGGATGGAAGGGTTTTTTTTTATTTTATTTATTTATTTATTTATTTATTTATTTTTTAAGGCAAAAAACAAATCCATTCTGAAATAGGCAGAAAATGACTTGGCCCTGAGTCTCAATTATACAGGGAGGGGCAGCCTCTGCGGAGGAAAGTTTGTTGTCCTAAATTCTCAGTCCCTCTGGGACTGGCTGGACCAGCTGCCTCCTGAAGGGGCTGCTGCAGGGATAGCCCCCATCCCTCATCAGCGGAGTCTCAGCCTACCCCTCTGGAATGGGATCCCCCACCCTGTGGAGTGGCTGTGAGGCCTCCGTGAGGTGCATTCCTAGTGCAGCCAGCCCTGCCCCAAAGGTTACCTTCCTTGCTGTGCAGGCCAGAAGCTCAGGCTGGGGCTCACACAGCTGCGAGTGGGGCGCCTGCCCAGCCTCTCGGGACAGCTCAGAAGGTGGTTTGCCACAGGCTCCTTGGAGGCTCCTGCTCTAGGTGTCCCTGCAGGCCCGGCAGGGGCAGGTCCCTGCCCCAGGGCCCGGACACGGGGCTCCTGCACATGAGTGGCCAGGACCCTCTCCCACTGGTCTGTCCTTAGTGCTGTTGCCAGAGATTCTTCTAGGACAAAACCCCAACATTCCTCTCAGTTCAGCTGCTCACTGAAGACCTCTTCAGTCCCTCACAACCACTCAGACAGGGTCCCAATTCCTCTAAGGAGTCCCTCAGAAGCTGCCCCTACAGCCCTGCACATCCTTACCACACATTCCTCTTCCATCTCAGCACTGCCCCAGCCTCGGGACTGGCGCTCCCTCGGCCTGGGGAACCCATGACACTTGTCTATCTTGCCCGCTTCTGTCTCCCTTGGCTCTCTCGGCACAAGGCTCTGTAGCATCTTGGCTTGGCCTTCTCTGACGCCTGCCCAGCCTTCCCCTAGGGCCAAGGCCCCCCACACTCTGCCCTGAGTACAGATCCAATGCCCCCAGAGATAGTCAGGGCCTGCACAGCCCAGCAATGCCAGGAAGGGGCAGTATTGGTGACCTCAGCCCGTGTGCACCCCACCTCATCTGCCAATGGGGTCAGAGCTCCCCCACCCACCTTCTGGGCTCCTCATCACCCTCCTCCAGGCTGACAGCCTCCACAGGGTCCTGTCAGTGCACAGAGGCTGGGGGGTGAGCAGGTCTGCCGACCACCTACCAGCTGGGCTGATGGCAGAGGTGGGAGAACTGGACTGCACAGACTTTCCTGTCATCCCTGCAGGCAGTGAGCCTGCCTGCCCAGAACTAGGAGGAGGAATCAGTAGGGAGGCCTGGGCCTGGCCCCTTCCCTTGGGGCTCATGCCCCCCATCCATGGGCCAGAGCAGCTGGGTGGATGCCCGACTCCTCCGTCCAGAGAGAATAAGACATGCACTTGATGAGTAGAGGCCAGCTGGGCCAGAGCTGAGCTGCTTCAGTGGCAGTTTCCGGAAGGTGAGCCTGTGCATCTGTGCTTCTGGGGACCCTTCTGGCTGGCCCTGGGCGGGGCTGAGGTTTGACAAGTGTCTGGATGGGAAGGACACTGGACTGCAGCCCTGGGCAAGCTAGGCTCTGCAGATTGGCAGCTGGGATGCGGCTTGGCCAGAGGTCCCCTCTGCTGCTACCATTGCCACCCTCATAGTGACTGCCTTTCTAGCAGCCTCCTCCAAATGCCTCCCACTCAGCCAGGGGCTGCAAAGACATCATTTTATTCCAGCCTCAGGACATCCTACAAGTCACTTTACAGGCAGGCCCAGTGGTTGCCTGGGGTCACAACAGCTGGGAAGCCAGGGAGCAGCGATTCCCATCCAGGCCCCAGCTTCACAAAGCTGTCCACCCTGCCACGGGCCTGAGAGTCTGGCTACAGGGAATACAGCAGCCTGGATGGCAGTGCCATGGGTGGGGGGCAGCAGGGGGCTGCAGCCATCTCCTGTGGAAGGAGGGAGGATGGCAAGAGACAAGGGTGTGGGATCAACTGGGGACTCCCCCAACCAGAATGATGTTTCTTCCCACCCAGCATCTCCCAGGCCCAGGGCAGTGGGGCTGAGCCAGGTGGGGCCTTGTCTCCAAACACTTCCAGGGCAGAGGCCCAGGGTGCCTCTGTGTTGTGGGTACCAGTCGGGGGACCATTGGCAACCAGGACTGTGGGCTGCGGGGCCTTGCCACTGTGGAGACTGGCACTGAAAGCAGCCCAGATGGCCAAGAGGGGGCCTGACACAGAAAAGACCATCTTGTGTAAGGGAGGTCTGGCCCAAAATGCCCAAAAATGGGCACCAGCCAGTTCTCAACAATCACAGAAAGAACCCCAGTAGCAATCACAGCTAATGTTTGCTGCACCTTTACAGGCTAGGCACCATTCCACATGCTCCACAGACAACAGCAAACCTCAGTTCACAATCATGCTATTCACACACACCAGGAAACTGAGGCACAGAGCACTCAGGAACTTGCCCAAGGTAACACAGCAAGAACGTGGTGGGCCTGAGCTCAAACCCTTCACAGCACCACAGCCTCATGCCCAGTAGGCCATCCACCCTCAGGAACCAGTCCCAGCTCTCAGCAGCTGTGTGTCCAACTCCTGCATGGATGGGGGCTTTGGGAGGGCGGAGACGATCCCATTTGACAGTGTGTCCCAGTGCCTGGCACAGGGCTTGGGGTAGGAAGGATCAGAAAAGTGCTTTCTGTGCCTCAACTCATGTGAGGAGGGTACATTATCCACTCCATCATTGAGAGGTAGAAATGGAGGCCCAGGGACACAAATTGATGTGCCCAAGGTCACACAGTCAGTGGCAGAGAAGAGATCACATGTCCTCGCCAGTAGCTGGAGAAGCCCAGCTTCCTCTCCAGGTAGCTGGAGCTAGAGGAAGGGGCTGTCTCTCTTCTCCACTAGCGCCGCCAGCTGCCACCCTGTGCCTGTACTGTTGGTAAGCCAGGCCTGGTCCATGACATACATACACACACACAAACCACACACAGATACACATGTGCCTCTAGAATGAGGGACCCCCTAGAGGGCAGGGCCATTCCTTCAGCAGGTTCTGTTTGGTTGGAATGGTGGCTGTCCAGGCCATCTCAGGTCCTGAAGGCAGGCCTTGACACCTGCAGGGCAGGCAGGGATGACAGTGGTGCTGTCAGAGCCTGAGCTCTGTGCTCATGGCTGGGGTTTGGACACCAGGCTTGGTGACACAGCAGCTTGACTGGCCTGCTCGGAGCTTTGGTTTTTTCCTCAGTTGGGGTGAGGGATGGTGGGAATAAGACACATGGCCCGGCTCTCTCCAGGAAGCGCTTGGTAAAGAGAGGCCACTGCCATTCTGATCATGGCTGTGGCTGAGGGTGCTGTATCATTGTGTCTCCGTCAGCTCGGGGCTAACTAAGCTACAACTGAGGCTCAGCCCTCTGCTGGGCCCCGTTCCTGGCTGCTGATTGGCCTGGGTGTGCTGGGCTGTGCACTGGACAGACACCGCCTCATTGCACGGCCACGATCCCCTGTGAGGGAGGCCTGGCAGGAGTCCCACTCTGCTGGGAGGAAGCTGGGCCTGACAAAGAACAGGGAAATGCAGAGCTAGTTTTCTCCTCTTTTTGTTCTCTCACAGGCATCTTGAGATAGAGGGAGACTTGGATGCAAACCACCCATGACAGCAGTGAAAAGCCCTGGGAAGAAAGGGAAGGAGCCACAGACAGTCACACCCGGGCATTCAGAGGAGGAGGAGGAAGGAAGCTGGGGTCAGGAAGACTGTGGTGGAAAAGGTGACATTTCCCTGGGCAGGTCTCAGTGAGGCAGCATGGCCTCAATGGAGCAGTGGGTCAGGCAGGAGTGGGCCACTGATGGCTGCCCTGCTGAGGCCCTGGCTGAGGGTCTGGGAGCTGACCCACTCCCCATGGCTCCCGTTCTGCCTTCTGGCCCGGAGGCCTCACACACATGCTGAAACCTCCTGTCTGCTTGTGACGCAGGGATAACAGGCGCCTGACCTCCTGATGCTGTGAGGATGCTGGGGACGTGTCTAATGAGGGGGACAGGCCTGCCCGGGGTCATAGATGCTCTAGGGACATAAGGCCCCATGCTGCCAGCAGCACAGGGAGGACACTCCCCTCGCTCATGGCCGTGGAGACCAACGCTGCATGCAGAAGTCCTGGCACACAGAGTGCTCGGTTAGTGGCCCTTTCCCTCTCTCCTTCCTTTGTGCCCAAACCCAATGGCTGGCCAAGGGGAAGGAAGGGCTTGCTTCAACCAAGGGTGCAGAGGCCGGGCCAGGATGCCCTTCTGACCACACAGCCATATGCTCTCAGGCTGTCCTCTGCTCCCCTGTGGGGCTAGGACTCACCCCAGCCTGCCCCTTCCAATGAAAGAAAAGGCTGTGGCCAGAGGCAAGGATGGGCCCCTCCTGCAGGCGGCCCTCCTCCTCAGACAGCCCCCCAAGGCTGGCCATTGGGGGAGCATGGTTCCTGGTGGCCTCCCGTGGAGCTCCATCCCCACCAAGGGAGCCGAATTTTAATACTCCAAACACTCACTCCCTAAATGTGTATACTCTTTAACAGCAGTTAATCTTCAATTAAAATACCTAGAGCAGAAACTAAGATAACTGGTTTAAAAGGTAGAGCTTATTGACAATAAAAGTCTTCTTCATATTGCTTTTCTTTAAAAAAAAAATCCACATATTAAAAATGTCATTTTTATGACTTGGTGGGGGAAAAAAACCGTCTAGAATAATGAAGGCGAACAAAGGCCCGGGGAGCAGTCATTTTCCAGAGCCCATATGTAGCACCCTGATTACTGTATCAGCCCTGTTCCCAGAGCAGAGCGAGAGGCCGTGGGCAGGCGGCGGTGCTGGCTGTCCTCTTGCTGACAGGGGAAGGGCAGGGGTGGCGTGGCATCTCTGGTCCCCACCCACACTCCTGATTTGAAAGCTGCAGACTCCAACAGTCTATCCCTCCCTGACCTGCAGGGGCTGAGGCCCAGGGTGAGCGTGGGTACAGGGGCTGGGGCCTGGCACCCTGTGTCTGTGCTGATGGCCATGTGCCCACACACTGTCCCTCGGAGGCAGATCCCAGAGGTGGCCTGTGGCTGCAAGGCCCAGGGGAGGCAGGTATGCCCATGGGCTGACCTCCGCACCCCCCGCCCCCGCCACCGCCCCACTGGAATGCCCACACGCTTTCTGATGCTGGCTGCACTCCTGCTGCACACGTGTCACCCACTGGCCGTGTGTCCACCTCAGCTCTCAGGCCTATGTGACCAAATGGGTCCCCAATGCCCAGGACAGGGCCAGGCACAAAGCAGGTGCCCATAAGTGGCCACATCCTGGTCCCTGGCCCTGCACCTACCTCACAGCCCTCAGTACCTCCCACTGTAACTGCCTCTTGGCTCACCAGCCATGGACTCGGGCTCTCTGCAGTAGCCCCCTGGCCCAGTACTGTCCAGCATTGCTGCTGAGGGGCTAGAGGGCCTTGTCTAGTGGCACTGTGCGTCTTTTCTTCCAAAACACAGTCTGTGCCTCTGCCCTGGGCAGGTTGCATCTCTTAGTGGCCACAGGCTCAGATCCTGCATTGTGGCTGGGTGGGGGCTGTTTTACACCTGGGATATGCTGCCCCCCGGTCTTGGAGTGCATAGGCCTCAGCTTGGAGCACCTCTGGCCAGGTGTCCCTCTACCCTCAGAAGCCTGGGCTCCAAGGGCTAGTAAGGATGGGTCTTGGGGACAGAGCCAACACCAGTGAAACAGAGCTGGTGTTCATGTTTCTGCAGCAGCGTGAACGCCAGGACTCCCATCTGGGACACACCAGCGTGTGTACCAAAAGGACAGCTGTCATCATGGCCTCTTTCCCAGGTCTGTCCCTGTAGCAGCCAGGCCAGTACCCTGGAAAGGTGCTCAGCTCTGCAGGTGCCTGGGGGGTGGTGCACTGAACTTCAGCCTCCTTGTCTGTGAAATGGGTCCTGCTGTTATGATGGGGAAGGGGGAAGCCCTCAGAGAGGGCCTGAGATAGGGAGGGCCCCACAGAGGGCTCTGGAAAGAAAGCTTCTTCTTTGTTTTTTAAACAAAGTATGTGGAAGCCTTAAAGGCCAGGTGCCTGGGCGCTGGGAAAAGCTGCCACCTCCTGCTCCTTCCCATGGACACATGGCTGCCACATGTGGGCCTCTGACAGCAAGGCTGGGCTCAGAGGAGGCCCCCTGTCTTCTGAAGACCCTGAAAACCAAGGGAAACCAGGGCCACAGGAGACAGCAAACACTGAAGGAGGTCTGGGGAGGGGGCTGTACCCACCACCCCCTTCCCTGCTCATGGTGCCCCACACCAGCCCGAGGGCACGTGGAGCCAGCAGACAGCGAGCCTAGGGCAGCACCCGAGCAGCCTGTGTGTGCCAGGCCCAGCCTCTGTCATCCCCCCACACTCTCTCAGGTGGGCACAAGTAGGCTCAGGGGTGAGGCGGGAGTGGTTGTGCACAGTGGTCTGGGCAGCATGCTGGGAAGGGAGCTTGGCGTGAGGGGCAGCCTCCTGTCACTTGTTTGGCTCTGTGTGGGGCCAGGGATGCTCTGGGTCAGGGCAGCAGCAATGGCACTGAGTGCCCATGACAGCTAGGCCCTAAGCGAGATGCCGCGTGCCTCGGCCCATGGAAGTAGATCCTGTCCAGAATACAGGTGGATGGCAGGTTCTGTCACGGGTGAGCTGAGGTACCCTGGGTCCCCTCGCCTATTACAAGGGGACAATGACCCTGCCTCCCTGGGCAGGCCCCGTCTGTGCAAGACTGCATGCCTGGTGGGCAGGGCCCACATGTGGAACCCTGCTCCCCGGTGAGGAACAACCAGCTGACATGGCATGAATGACTTGCGTCAGTTCCCACAGCCAGGACATAGGGGGCCTGGCTTTGAACCTAGGCGGCTGGCTCCAGAACCTGCATCTGCAATGTCTGCTGCCCTCACGGGGGGCTGGTGCGGGTCTCTTCTGCCTAACTCCCACTCTGGGTCCCGCATGCCCTGGCTCAGAGACAACAGAGGCTAGCACTGGGCATGAGGGCTGCCAGCAGGCTGTTAAGAGCTGCAGATCCCTACCCCAGAACACATAGCTCTGCCCTCAGCTGGCCACCTCACTCTTGCAAACTGGGTGAAGAGGAGCAAAGGATCACCATGCTCTCCGCAAAGACAGGACCCAGGGAAGCCACGGCTGGGGCACACTCAGGCACTCGCCCTTCTGGAAGCGCTTGCAGACTCCCTCCAATGGCCCCCACAGGGCATCCATGGTGCTGGGCGCCTCCCTCTGGCACAGCACAAGCAGAAGCTCACTCCTGCATTCGTTGCTTGTCTTTCTGCCCATGATTGCCCTCAGAGCACCCGCTGGGCACCAGGCACTGTCCCAGACTCTGAGGACTGCCTGAGTGGGCCAGGTGGGGCCGCTATGCTGGTGGAGTCCACAGTCCAGGGGGTGCAAGACCCACATATATGTGTAGAGAAATGTGCAAAGGAATGAGAGAGCACCTGATAGGAACGGGTGCCAGGAACCAAACTTTAAAAATGTGCTGAGAGAGAAGAGCCCATCGGTGAGGGTCAGGGAACTGGGAGCATTGGCTTGCTTCAAAGCGCTTGCTCTATCACTCACTCCTGCCATGCCTGGACTCCACCACACCCTGAGCAGGCCTGGAGGGCACCACCACGACAGTCGTGGCCATGTCCTCCCTGCCTTCCCCAGATGGGCTTCCCCACTTGGTCACCAGCCAGGGCCCAGAACCTCGAGGTTGGAAACACCTTTGGTGGTCAACTGGGAGGCCACCCCAACCCAGGTGTGGGGCTCTTCTGCCTCTGGGGAGACAGATGGGAGGCTGCTGTCCTGAAGAGCTCTCCATAGCTTGGGGCGGGAGACCATTTCGTTTCTTGCCTTTTGGAATTAATGAGCACAGCACCAGCCACTGCTTTAGAGGGCAAGGAACTGTGGTTTGGAGAATGCCATGGCTGACCCAGGCCAGGGAGTCTGTGCATTCATTTAATCAAGAATGCTAGCGAGCACCTACTCTATGCAGGCATGCACCGGGGGCGGGGCTGCAGAGGTGAGGGAATCACGCAGGCCCAGTGTGGGCGTTCTGGTGGGAGACAGGCGATGCCAACACATCCATGTGTCGTATGACAGGTGGTGCCAGCTGCTCGGGAGAGGGGAGTGTCAAGAGGGTGTTTTGCTCCTTTAGATAGTGATCAGCAAAGGGCCCAGGGTGGGATGACATCTGAACAGGGACTTGTGAGGGATGAGGACACTGGGAGGGAAGAACACCCAGCCTGAGGGCGCCAAGCAAAGGCCCCAAGGGCCAGCACTGGGGCCAGCGTGTGGGGAGAGCAGGAGATGGAGCCGGGGTGATCATGGGGTATGAGGGTGTGTTTGTGTGGGTGCCCGAGTGGTGCAGAAAGTGGGGTCTCCTGCTAGATCTGCAGAGGGGCTGGGTCTGGCTCCTGAGGGCAGGGGCCCTCTGGCTGCCTTGGGCCCTGGGCACAGACCACAGCATGGAGCAGGGAGAAGAGGTAGATTGTGGCCGCTGTGTCCTGTGTCGCTTCCAGCCCAGGCCTGCAGGGCCCACTCCAGCATGACTGTCTGTAGAGAACAGCAAGCAAGGGCCTCTCTCTTTCAGACACAGAAGCCCAAAGCAACTAACATTCTGGGTTAGGTTTTTTCATTTGGCGAAGGTGATTCACATCTGTCTCACCCCCTTCTGTGGTGGTCAAAGCTCTAACCCCCTCTACCTCCCAAAATACAGTGGCAAAGAGGCGAAAAGGTCCCTTCCCCACATGCACCCCTCCTGAGCCTGGCTGTGCTTGTTCCTGGGCCCATGCCCATCTCACAGCCAGCTCTCCCCAGCAAATGCCACCTCCTCTATATAGTACACATTAACAGAGCGGACAGGTGAGAGGATGAATGAGGAGAAGTGACTGCACAGATCACTCCACTGAGTGACCCCAAGTCCCACTTTTGTGTTAATCATGACTTTGAGTTGTCACAACAATGTAAATTATATCCAGGAGAAACAGTCCCAACTATGGGACTGTTCATGAGGCAAAGCACTTTCACAAGATGCAGATAAATGTGATGATACGAGAAAAATTTAGGGCCAGCGCCTTCTATTTTAAAATAGTTGTGTGGTGGTAGCATACCCATGACACTGGGCCTCCCTGCCTCCAGGACCCAAATCCAAATCCACAGCATCTTACGGGCGCTGCCAACTCAGCCACCCCTGCAACCGGACTCCCAGCTTCTGCTACCAACATGGAAAGAAGGTGGGACTGGATCCACGTGGGCTAGGCTTGACCGGCTAGGTGCTCTCTCAAGCTAGTTAGTTCACATCTGGGGCCTGCCCTGCCCATTCTGCTGGAGCAGCCTCAGTCCACACCACATCACTCTGCTGGCAGATGAGGCTCTCGGCGTTAAGCCAAGGCCTCCCTTTCCCAAGGTCAAGCATGCCATGCTCCCTGTTGGGGTGGGTCCATGAAACAACCACGTCCAGTGAAAACCAAAAACCCTCCCGATCTTCCTGTAACTGGACTTGTTTATAAACCAGGCTTCCTGCAGCAAGGCGGCCAGCCTCACCCAGCAGCGTGGGCTCAAGGATGGTCAGGGGTTGTTCCCAAGTGCCCAAGGTGGGCCTCTTCCAGGGGGATAGCCAGAAACCTGGGCTCTAGGCCTGGGTTTACCACCAACCACTTGTGACTTAGGAGGCCATGTGGGCCCTCTGGGTGGAGTCCTCATATGGCAACCAAGGCTGAACAGAAAATCTGTCTGGGATGGCTGAGACGGTGCCAGGCAGGACCACTCTGTGTGGGGAAATGTGGACATCGGATGACCTCCTGTGTCCTGTTATGCCCGCCCATCCCCAACCAAAATGCCTGCCAGAGTGGTGGGCGGCCTGGCTTGTCTTCCTCCTCTGCAGGGCTGTGATGTCCTCGGGTGAGTGTCAGCACCCTTGCTGCTCCAGATGTCTGCGCTCCCTCCTTAGCTGGGTTAAGATGCCTCGCTGCAGCACCTCTGCCTGCCTGCCTCCCTCCAGCCTCCATCCCCATGGCTCCGGCCACAGGACACCGCAGGCTGCCTCGGCCCAGGGCACACCGGCTCCCTTGCCTGGAACTCCTGCCCTACAGACTGCCCTTCAGGTGGTGGCCCCAGCTGACTACCTCTTGTGGCTCCTGGGTCCCAGCACCACATGAGGCACAGGGACAGTCCAGGCAGTTCCTCAGGCTCCTGACCCAGAAATCAAGAGTGGGTGTCAGGTGGACTGAAGAGGCCCTGAAGAACCAACAGCAGACCTGCAGCTTGGGGACCCTCTACCTCTAGTCAGGAAGGCAAGACAGACAGCCCTCCTCCATTTCACGTCTTCTGGACTGAGTTTCAAAAAACACCCCTGCAAGGGCTCAGGGGCTAGAGGCAGCAGTTGGCCTCTCTGCTAGACGCTCTGGCCGGCACCACTGAAAGCACACAGTCGACCAGGAGAAGGCCTCGAAGAGGCAAAGGGATGAGGGGTACAGGCAGACTACACCAGGGAATGGGCCTTACACAGCAGTGGCCTCACTCAGCAAACTCAGGAGGCTCGGGCCAGGCCAGTCCCTCACTGGAGAGCAGTGGGTGCTGCAGTGGAGACACAGCCCACCTGGGCAGACATGTCACAGGCAGCCGGGGGCTCAGACCCCACCTAAACGGCAGTTACAGAGCGTGGACCCTGGCCAAGCCCGCTGCTGGTGGCTGCGGACTCATGGCAGGCAGATTGTTCCCTGTTCCCCACCCTGGAGGAGCTCGAAGGCAGAGATGGACTGTAGATAAATTGAGGGGTCCGAGAAGGGGTGTCAGGAAGCACTGGAGGGGGACTTGGCATGCAGGCAGCTAGAGGAGGTAGTGCTGGAGGCGAGTTAGTGGAGGCGGGGGCAAGAGGCTGCCAACAGGGCTGGACCCCTTCTGTGGCTGTCCCCAAGGAAGGCGACCAAATTGGATATTAAAAAAAGGAAGACTCTAAGAGCGGGAGCAATGGAAAGAGGAACAGAGCTCAGAGAAAGGACTTTTTTTCTCAAGTCGTGGTTCTGCCACTGCCAGTTCAGAGTGAGGACCTGGTGGGTGTAGGCTCTGGACAGGGCAACCCCAGGGGCTGGCTGGGCCACTAGGCCTCCTTCTCCTGGCACCCTAATGGCTGCACCTTACTTGAGCTTCCAGGTCTCTGCTCGTGGCACCCTCATGCCTAAATAGCCATCCAGTGCCTGCCCGTGCCCATCTAGAAAAGGCTGGCTGAGACCTACTTCCTCCAGGAAGTGCTCCATGCTGCCTGGGGCAGGCACATCAGGTGGGGGCTGCCAGGGCTCCAAACATGCAAGCGGGGCTCCATACACTCGCAGGGTTTGAGTGGGCCTCCATATGCGCGCAGGACTCCATAGGTGCACATTCCTTTCCCCAGCCCCAGTGGAGCCTGTAGGGAGGGGTCTTGGTGGTGCCACAGGGGCCAGCCCAGCCTGGCCCTGCCATCCAATGCTAAGCACACGTGACAAAGATCCTTCTTCGTGCCAGTCCATAGCCTCCTCTCCCATTCTGGGCTGAGCTGAGGAGAGGCCAGCAGCCGACTTAATTCAGGCTGGTATCTGTTCTCCCTGGGGTAGATTTCTCGCACCCTCAGAAGGCCCACCCGAGCCCCACTTCACGCATCAAAACTCTTCGACGCCCCCCAGACTTCCCAGATCTTTCTTGGCATCACGACTTTTGCGAGCCTGGACTCATGCACCTTTGTGTCTTGCCACACAGCACCTTCATTTCTGAACTTTGAAGAAGGTGTATACTTATCTTTCCTAAATAGTCAGAACTATTGAGAACTGCCAGGACATGTGGATATTTTTATGAAAGCAAAACTCAAGCATATGCTGGGCAGATGGGTCTGACCAGAAGGGACAGAACACTGCCTCTGTCCTCAGGAGCCACCTCCTGAGCCAAAGCCCCCCAGTCCATGGCTCCCATACCCCTGTGACCCCTGCAGCCCCTGCGGCCAGGTGCAGTACCAGTGGAGGAGCACAGGGCCGAGGAGGGTGGCTGGTGTTGCCAGCCCTGAGGGAGCTGCCCACGCGCCACCAGGCAAGTTGTCCATCCTCCTCACCTGGGCCCTGTGGTAATTCACAGAGCCAGGCCTATGAGGGGTGAGCACCTGGCAGCCCTGCCTGGGAGGAGGCTGCAGAGGCCAGCATATGATGTGGTTTGGATGTCTGTCCCCTCAAAATATCATGTTGAAATGTGACCCCCAGTGTTGGAGGTGGGCCTCGGGGGAGGTGTTAGATCATGGGCACGGATCCCTCATGAGTGGCTTGGTGCCCTCACCACAGTGATGAGTGAGTTCTCGCTCTGTGAGTCCATGTGAGAGCCGGTTGTTTAAAGGAGCCTGGCACCTCCTCCTCACTCTCTTGCTCCTTCTCTTGTCATGTGATGCACCTGCTCCCCCTTTGCCTTCCACAATGATTGTAAGCTTCCTGAGGTCTCACCAGAAGCAGATACGGGTGCCATACTTCCTGTACAGCCTTTTTAAAATTTTATTTTAAATAAATTATCCAGTCTCAGGTGTTCCTTTATAGCAATGCAGACTCACACAGCAGCCATGGGGCCTGGCTGTGCCACCATGAAGGCCTGGCCTCACTACCCTCAGCTGTGGTGTCACCTGTCACTGCATCCCCCCCCCACTGCCTGTCTCAGCTGATACCATATCCCACAGGGCTGGGGGCCCTGGGGAACTGGAGGGGATGTGCTCAGCATGGACAGAACACCCTGCTTTTCAAGAGAAACTGGAAATCTGGATTTTTTACATGAAAATTCCTGATTTTTGAGAACGTTTTCAGGGCATAGGTAGCCTGCAGCCTGCTAGGGTATGGCCCCAACTTGTAGGTCATTCTTTCTCTCCCTGGGGTAGATTTCATGCACCCTTGGAAGGCCCACCTGAACCCTACTTCACCCATCAAAACTCTCAAATCTCCCCCAGGACTTCCCAAATCTTTCTCAGCATCACTAGTTCTGCCATACCCATTGCCACCACTTCGACTATTTACTAAAGATTTCTTTAGTCAACTCATCTAACTCAATTAGAGAACATTCTATGCTGCCATAAGTGGAAATCCAGTCTCCCTTGACATAAATAGAGTACCTGTTAAAATCAACATGTAACTGTGAACATTCTTTGGGGGCTTATTTGTGGACTACCTAGAGTCATCCTGCACACGCCCAGGGTGGATGTGAGCAGCCCACTTGGGGAACTGCTGCTCATGTTCCACCGTGGGATGTTCCCTCCCTTAGAACCAGGCCTCCTTGGACTGTTCTGGGCTGACCTGCCTATCAGTGTCGTGCCCCAGGCCTCAGCCTCCTGCCTCTTGTTCCTCTGCCCAGATTCAGGCTAGGGAGCTGAGGGCTGCG
Organism: Homo sapiens; assembly: GCF_000001405.40. Taxonomy (NCBI): domain Eukaryota; kingdom Metazoa; phylum Chordata; class Mammalia; order Primates; family Hominidae; genus Homo; species Homo sapiens. Next base: position 254,874 of record NW_019805490.1, on the reverse strand, counting down.
GGCAGAGGGCCAGCCTCATGAGCCAGATCGTGAGTCCGGGTGAGGCCCTTGCACTCTCCAAGCTTAGCCAGTGAGTGGTGGAATGGAACTCATAAGTCAATGAGGTAACTCATATAAAACAGTCAGCACGTGCTGGGCATGTAGTAAATGTTAGTGTCCACTGTTGTTCTCATCGGGACTGGTGCATGGCAAGCTCACTGAGCTGTGTGTGGGAGGACACCCTGCAAGCCACAGCCGCACTCACAATCTGCTGCCTGTGGGTCAAAGTTGACCCTTAGGTATGTTTGCTTTGGCCTCTTCATGTGCTTTAAAAATTGTGGACTAGTTGTCAACATTTTAAAATGTGGGCCTGCATTCCCAGGGCAGCAGGTGGCTTGAGGTGAGCACAGGCTGCCCCTTCAGACAGGATGTATGGTCCCTGTACACCACACTCCCCGCTCCCCACTGCAGTCCCCCAGTCGGGCTACTCTCCTGCGCTGCCTGCCTGGCCCCTGTGGCCAGCTCTGAAACCTACAGGGTTGGGTCTTATCGTGGGTCTGAGCTATAGCAGCTGCTGGGACTGCTCTGGAGAGCCTGGAGGTGTCCAGACTGCATGCTACACCTTGGGGTGGCCTGGGGACTTTCTCTGGAGGAGGAGGGAGCTGGGCTAGGACAAGGTGCCTGGCAGCTATGCCTCTGCCACTCCTTGTCCTGGGCCAGGAAGCCTGACATCTATGGGGTTTGGTAAAATCATAATGGTAGGATGGTCTGCCTGTATTGGTCTTCCCCACATTCAAACAAAACCCAGTATGGACTTCCAGGGAGATAGCAGGGGGCAACTGGGGGGTCTGGGACCTGTCCCACCACTGCTGCTTTTGTGCGGGCAACCTGGGGACAGCCCTGCACCACTTTGGCCCTCAGTAATTTCCTCTGTGGAAGGGGGATAGATAATACCACCTCTCTTGGCAGACAGTGAGGAGGAGTCAGTGAGGAAACCCCTGTGCACTAGCCCAGCAAATGCTTGGGAAACAGCGGCTGAATGAAGTTAAAGCTCTGTTCCTCTGATGTGGTCCCTCAACGAGTTCTTGACCTTGGACGTGTTCCCTCTCCAGCCTCAGTTGCATTCCCTAGGGGCTCAGGGGTACAGCCACCTCAGGCCTTGTACCCTCCACTCCATCCCCAGCAACTGGCGTGCTTGTGCATGCGTGCATGTGGGAATGCTGGGAGAGACGGGTGCCCGCCTACAGGGCTTTGGTAAGGCCCCCACAAGCTGGCAATGCCACCTGTGTATGCTGGGTCCTGAGCACTTCACCCCCACACTCACTCTGCTCTGGTCTGCTCATCTCCATCCTGGGACACCCCATTCTGGCAGCTGGACCCCACAAATCACCTCTGAACCAGTCCACTCACAACATGGCCCATGAGGTCTTCTGGAGGCTCCATCAGGCTGCTGCAGGGGAAACCCCGACCTCTTCCAGCATTTAGGTATCTGGTTCCCTTGTGTAGTCCTCCACAGCCCAGCCACTCTGGGCAGCAGTGGTACCTTCTCTCCTGGGCAGAGCCACGGACGCTTCTGCCTGGAACACCTCTCCCCAGGCTGTCTCTCCACCCTCCTCCAAGATGGAACTCAGTACTGCCTCCTCTAAGAAGGCCTCCTTAGCTAGGCTCTGTGCCTGGGCTTCCTGGGGCTCACCACTTTCACAAAGATCAAAAAGAACTATATTAGCTTGGGAGTAGAATCTAGCCTCCATGGCATTTTTGAAATATTTGAACTACTAACTCACCTTTTAAATCAGGACATTTGACATACAGTTCTGAACTTCTAGTTTGTCTTGAAAAGCTAGAAGACTTCTCTTTGGATTCCTACCCTGCCACAGTGGGCTGGCGTGGGCCTGTGCTGGGCCCTGGGCACACCAGCTACTCTCTGTCACCGCTCATGTGCTGCTGCTTTTACCTGAGACTGGCTCCCCTCATTTCTGTCACCTGCCTGCCCCTTGAAGGCATCTGTATCTGAGTCTGAGCCCCTCCTGTCCCAGCCCTATGGCCCCAGCACCTCTGACTCAGGGCCTGGCACGAGGCCAGGAAGGGGGTGGTGCCTGCCAAGTGCTGGCTGATGCCTTCCAGGCCAGGGCACAGCCACCTTGCTCTCCTCCTCCAGGAAACCCAGTGTAACACACAGCCAGGAGCTCAGGCTCTATACCCAGACCACCAAGATCCCGACCCTAGTCCAGGCGCAGATCAGCTGCGTGCCTTCACAAAAGACATGTGACCTCTCTGCGCCTTAGTCTCCTCATCTGAAACATGGGAACAGGTTTGGTGTAAGGCCCAAGTGAGTTCATATAACAGAAAGTGCTTAGAACAGCGGCTGGCACAAAGCAAGGTCTAAAGAATGTTTACTATTTTTATTCCTTACCCAAATCACCCCACCCCATTCACTGAGCATACCTTCCCCATATTCACGGAGCACTTATTGTGCCCTGGGCCCTGTTCCAGGGGTGGGGGTCCAGCATGGTGTGAGTTATTTCTGTAACGGGGACAGGCTTGTAACCAATAGATGAATACAGGAGAAAGTTTCCGATAGTGCTAGATGCTAGGAAGGCAGTACAGCAAAGAGACAGCGGGATGGTGCTGGGTTTGGGGGTGTTCTTTTGGAAAGGGTATTCAGAGGGGCCCGAGGAGGCAGTGTGGGAAGTGGGGCCTCAGAGGCAATGAGATCTGAGGAACTGGGGGCAGGGATCCACTCAGGTCTTCCAGGAGGCAGGGAGGGGCTGGGGGAATGGGGGCGCCTCCAGCCAAGGCAGCCTGCCATCTCAGGGAGGCAGCAGGTGACTGCCCAGCACAGACTCCTCTGCCCGCTCCCTTGTGTGGACAAATGAGCTGGGTTGAATTTCCCGCCAGGGTCAGGGGAGTTGGGGAACCTGGAGGGAGAAGAGTAGGGGTTGCTTTTTCTTCTCTCTCTCCCTCTTTTTTTTTCGGGCTCATCCTAGTATGGCTCTGAGACTACGGAGGGAAAAAGGGCAAGAGTTGAGAGTGGCAGGAATTTATGAGCTCAGAGTTCAGGCTGCCTTTGGCAGGGGTAGGGGAAGAGGGCTCCTTTTGCCAAAACAATATTTAATTTCTTTAAGGCAGCCACAAAGCCATGATTAAGCTTGGGGTCCTAAAACAAGCCCATAAAATCGAAAAATATTTATCTGGAAGGGTGGCAAGTCCAATAAAAGTTTTATGAATGTTTTACAACTGCCCTGTCAGGAAGCTGGCCTCTCACTCACCTCCCCCCTGTCAAAAACACACCACACACACAAAAGCGTGAGCACGCACACACATACATGGACACACATAGACGTAGGCGCACCTGCATGGAGCCGAGCCCACACAGCTCCTGCTGGTGCCGTGTCCGCTGGGCGCACACAGCCTGCTCTGAGACGAGGGCATAGGGTTGCCTCTCCCTGCACGCTCCCTGCTCTGCTGAATCCTGGCACAGCGTGTCTGCCCTGGGCTTGGTTGGCATCCAATTTCCCATGACACTTGCCTCAAGGCCCAGGAGTCTGAAGGAAGCATTTCTGATTTGAGGCCTTGGGTTTCTCTCCACAAGCAGCCCAGAGGGGCTTACAGAGAGGTCATGATGGGCAGTGCTTTCTTCTTCCTGACAACCCCAGGAGCTGGGCGTCATAGCCCCCATTCTAGAGAGCAGGAGACTCAGAGAGGAGAGGGCCTTGCCTGGGGCCACCTGGGAAGTGGCTTCACAGAACCACATTCGGGCCTATCTCTAGTGTCTCCTCCCGTCCCGAGGTAGTGGATGGCGTCCTCACGTGGCCCAGCGTACTTGTGCTCCACTGTTCTTCCCCCTGCTCCCTGCTGCCCCAGCCACAGGCCCTTCTGCTCTTTCCTTTTCCACCTCAGGGAAAGGAACATCTTTGTGCAGATCCCTCCCAGAATGCCCTTCCTGCTACCCTGTAGACTCTGAACCCCGGGCCAGGTCTCCTGGGTGCTGCTTCCTTAGAAGTGCCCTGCATTTCCTGCAGGCCCCACGAAGATGCCCCTTCCGTGTCAGACCTGCCCTCTTCCTCCACGGCACGCAGCTGCACAGAAGCTTATGCTCCTGGGCCTGACCAACTACCCCTTCTGTGGAAGCTCCAGGAAGCAGGCCCAAAGCTGTCTCTCTTGCCACTGAGTCCTAGCCTGAGCTGAGGGTTGGCACGCAGAGGTGATTGACGCATGAATGTACAGATCTGGGGCTCCAGAGCTCTGGCGCTGTTCAGGCCTAATGGAACTCATCCTGGCCTTGACCCAAAGCCTGTTCTTGCCTCATGAGACATCATCCCACTACATGGGGGAAGGCCCAGCCCCCAAAGCCAGTTTCCAAATCTTTGACCTGATCATTTATTTCTAGCAATCGGCAATCATCCCTTTCTAACAACAATAAAGATGACCACTCAGGGAGAGGGCCAAATATACACCAGCCGCCCAACCCATTCATCTCCACTTGCTTCCCATTTCCTCTTCACAGGCTGCAGAGCTGTGAACCAACTGCCTGGTGGCACTTAACCCATGGTCCATTCAAACCCAAGGGTGTCTGACTCCAAGTCATGGATAGGAGGTGGTCTCTAGCAGGAAATCACATGGAGCAAGCCAGGGGCCTGGCTTTCCAACTAAATGCCCAGGTTTCCCTTCACCCCATAGCAAGAGCCAATCAGAAATCCCAGCTCCACTCTGCTTAGGGGAGGCCCAAAGATTCCCTGTCAAGGCCTGATATTCTGGGTTGATCCTAGGCCTCCAAGAAACCAGGCTGAGCATGAACTTCTGGGGAGAAAGCAGCTCTGATTATCAGATGGCTGCATCCATCACCTGGCGGGAACGGTGAGTCAGATAACACAGTGCTGGTGGGGGAGAGGCCGGCACCATTGGGGCCCCCTCCACCCACAGGTGCACATGTCCCAGCACCAGGTGACCCTACTTGCCTAGAGAAACCCTCTTATACTGCTCTGCATTGTGGAGACGTGGACACAACCCACCCAACAGGTCGCAGGTGTACAAATTGTTTAATTCGGACTATGGGATAACATATAGCAGTCAAATGGAGTCAACCAGAACCGCTGACCAGAACAGCAAGTTCCACAAAGAAAACATCAGTGTTCTAATAACACCTGGGTCAGTGTGAAACCAAGTATGTAAAACGTAAAGCACGTACGAACCCTCCAGGCTGCTCAGGAGGCCACCCTATGCAGGAAAAGTGTGAAAGCTGCACATGTGTGTGAGGCCACCAGCCGAAGAGAGCATGGTGGAGGGCTTGAGCTGTACATTTCACTTCCCCCAAACAAGATAGGGGAAGGGTGTGAAGAGAGGTGAAGAGAGATTGAAGGATGTGACAAAAAGTTCACATCTGTCTGATCTTGCTGGTTACAGGGCTGTCTACTGTACTCTGTATGGTGAAAGTTTTTCACAGTTCAAAACAAATTTTATTTTTACTTTTAGAAAATCAAATAGTGATGAAAAGGGGATGGGATAACAGGGGAGGTAAGATATAAAAGCCTCAGGTGTGCTCCTGGGCAGTCTCTGTCTAAGCATGAGGCTCTCGGGGCCTCGGCTCTTGTCCAGTGGGTATCGGGGTGCCCACCTCAGGCAGTCATCACGAGAAATGGCACCAAGCACCTTGCACCCAAAGCACCTAGAGTCCAGCCAGAGCTCTGTGGTCAGGCCCTGCTGTAGACACCCACTAATGACATGAGACCAATAATCGCACCTTGCTCCCTATACCTTACATGCCAGCCTCAGAAGCCATAGGTCAGTCACCCAACACACAGGGGCCGAGGCCCTACTATGTGCCAACACAAGGTGGAGCATGTGTGGGCCCAGAGAGGCTGGCCACATGACTCATTCTTGGGAGTCCCTGGGCATTCATCCACCTCTGTGATGGAAAAGCATTGGGTGTGTGGGGACAGCTGACGGGACCCAACCTCATCTGGGGTGAGGGAGGGGCTCCTGGAGAAAGCTCTGTGACCCCACGAAGACACTCCTTCTTGGAAAGTCCTCAGTTTCCCTTTTGTTTCTGTACTTCCTTCTCAATCATTCCCAGATCACAGGGCCTCCGATTGCCGCAAGGAAAGATACCCCTAGACAGCCTCTTCCTAGGGGCCCCAGAGACATGACAGCCACAGTGAAGGCCCTGGCACCGCCCTGTGTGACATGGGACCATGCCCAGGGAGAGGCCAGCCAGCAGATGGTTTCTGTCCACTAGGCTGTGTTTATGTTAATTGCAGATATTTTTAACGTATTGTGTTACTCCATCCATCTTTGTGAACGGTCCGTCTTGTAAAATTCTTTTAATTATGTTATTTTTTCTTGCCTATCTTCATCATCTACAATTATTTATAATATCATTGTCTTTGTTTCAAACGCTGGGTATAAACACTGTTGTAACAGTTCTTCGATGGGGTTCATATAATTTTTACAATTGCTTTGAAATGCTTCAATGGCCAAAGCGGGAGGAGGCTGGCTATTCATTTGGGGAAAAAAGTACACCCCGAAGTGCTCTCTGCGCTTGGTAAAGGTGCTCCTCCGTCAGGACGGCTTCCAGGAGAGGCTGGCCCTGTCAGGGCATTCCTGCACTGGGTGGGGGTTGGCAGCAGCTAGCTGGCTGCTGGATTAGGTTTCAGAGCTGCCGTCCCTACAGACACTGGGGCAAGATCCACAAAGGGCAGTGGCGGGCTAAGACACCCAGGAGAAAGATGGATGGTTTGTTTTCATTTTTACAGGGATTTTCTGAAACCTCAACTTTCACCCCTCACCTCTCTTCAACTCTTTTCTCCCAACCAAGCTGTTTTCCAGAGTCTCCCTGGCCGACCAGTCAGCTGTGTGGGACAGAACCCAGTGGAATGCCCAGGATTGCCTGTGGAGAGTTTGCCCTCACCTCAGGGGTCACAAGTACATCCAGACTGCCCTGACAAAGCTGGCTTCGGGCCTCCCTGTGGGACGGGAGTGGGATGAGCTGTCTGGGAACAGCCAGCAACTTGGAGAAGTCAGCTGTCAGAGTCAGGCTGGCCTGCAGCTGGGGCCAGCAGCCAGCCTGGGGGTGTCAGGCACAGGAGAGAGGGCTGCCTGAGTCCTGTACTGGCTTTCCCACACTTGCCATGAACTCTCAGGGGCTCCTACGAGCAGCTCACCAGGCCCCCAGACCACTAGTACCACCACTGTCCACAAACACTCCTCCATCCTAGTTCCTCTGCCCAAAGACCCTCAGTGGCTCCCTGCTGCCTGTAGGTGGGCTTATCTCCCTCCTTGGTCAGTGTGCTAGGCCCTGGGGATGCAGTGGTGCACAGATCCAACATGATTCCTGTCCCAGGCGGGAGGTCACAGGCTGTCCTTGGATTGATCAAAGACTGACTCTTCTTTTAAGGCTCTGAGAAACCTCCCCTACTCTTCTGGGTGGTGGCTCCCTCCTGAAGGGCCTCAGATGGAGGAGGACTGTTGGAATGCCCACATATGACAGGCCCTGGGTCTGGGCTCTGGGTTCGTGACTCAGCATGGGGCCAGTCACAAAGGGCATCTGGATGAGAGATGCAGGTGCTGTGAAGGACAAAAGCCATCTTGGTAGAGGTGCCTCTGGATTGCACAGGGTTGGGGTGACGAGTATACACTATGGAGATCTGCAGGTCAGAATCCAAGAGGTACTCTAGTCCCCAGTGTAGGAGGCTGAAGTGGGAAATTTTGGCAGACAGTCATAAAGATGCCAGACTGTGAACTGCACGTTTTTCTCCACTTATCTTCTTCTTCTGAATCTCTTTAAAGAAACTTGGATATGGCAAAATGGTTGACTTTACTAGTTATCAAAGAAATGCAAATTAAAGACACTGAGATGTCATTTGCCATGTAGGAAAATAGCAAAGATAAATAACACAGGGGAGCCTGTGCTGGTGAGGGGTAGAGAACAGACACCTTCACCCACTGCTGATGGAAGTATAAAATGGCACTGTACTTTTGGGAAACACTTTGCCAGGAACTCTTAAGAACTTTTTAAATGTCTGTGATGTTTTCATTTTAAAAATTAGAACAATTCAGCTTCTGAGGCTCCATCTTAAGAAAATACCCTACATATTAAAACAGAGATTTATAGACAGAGATGCTTCCAGCAATGTTATTTACAAGAGATGGAACATCCACAGATGCTTAGGTAGCCCATTAAGGCCTTGGCAAGGTTGGTTACTGTTACGCTGCATTGAAAACAATGGCCACATGACTGAACACAGCTCTTGCTATTGCTGAGTGTTGCATGTGCTTTTACATTTTACTGGACATTTATATCTTGGAGCATCTCCACCTAGGGCACATTCGGTATCCATTTTACAGGCGAGGAAACTAAGACTCAGCGAGGCCTGCTTGGTTATCTAGGTTGTAGACCTGGTAAGTAATGGTGCTGGGATTCAGACCAAGCTCTGTCTGAGCCCGGAGCCCAGGCTCTTAATCACTACGTGGTTCAACTTCCCTTGGAGACCACAGAGTAAAACAGTAAAAGAAAAAAAAAAGTTTGTATAATAAATATTAATTGAAAAGAATCAGACACAAAATTGTATACACCATATCTCAATTACATAAAAAGAAGGCTTTGCAGAGAAAAGACGGAAGAAACTAAGTCAAAATATTAATAATGGGACTATGGGAGACTTCTTTTTATTTTCTTTAACATGCAAATCTCCTTGAATGACTATTACTATTATACTTCTAGGTTATTAAAAAAACAGTTTGTGAGGTTTTTTTCAAACCAGTTTGGATGGAAACAAAAGTCTGGGGCCAGGCCATGACCCCTGAGTGAGAGATTGTGCCGCTGCTGGGCACGAAGAAGCCATGGGGCCTTCTTCCCCCAGGTGACAGAGGGAAATTAGCCCACAGTGTGAGGGTTCCCCAAACCTTTGGGTGCAGAACAATCACCTATTCCTGACCTAGGTTCTGACATTAAATCTTTCCTCTTTCACAAGAATCATGAGACACTGCTGACTCTGCTGAGACTTCTGAGTCCCAGTTAGGCACTGGTGAATCCTGATATGCTCACTGCTTGGCCAGAAGGATCATCTTTCCACCACACAAGTCAGTGTGCCAAGGCTAATGAGGATGAATGATGTATTTGCAACTGGGATGGTCACTGTTACTGGGGAGAGGAACAGTTTTCAATGGCTGAAGGGACAGAGGTCCTTCAAATCCCACCATGAACATACCTGACAAAACACAGCTTACCTGGGGTCTGCCAGCTGATGGGTGGGACCCTGGAGACACTGGGAGACTCAGTCCAGCCCTCAGCCTAGAGAAGCTCACCTCTGGGGAAGAAACCCCAGCAGTCCAGAGGGCTCAGGAAGCGAAGCTGGCCCAGAATGCTGCGGGGCCCTGGGAAGGGCTGTGGCTGTGCAGGTTAGGGTGATGATGATGGTAAGGCCATGCCAGTGGTGAGGAAAGCCCAAGCACAGTGGGCATTCCTGCTTGCAGCAAACACCTGCTGTTTCCGCCTACTTCTAGTAACAGCCCCTGGTTTTCCTTGGGGATGCAGGGTTGCAAAAGGGTGCATCCTTGGTGCCAAGAGGAGCACATGACCCAGGCTGGCCAGAGAACTGTGCATGCCCCAGGCTCCTGTGCTGGTCTGGGGATGGTGTGGGGCTCTAGCACTTTGGTGGGGTTACTGGGAAAGAGGCACCCTACTCCACTGGACTTGCAGCTGGAAGACCATCTATGGAGAAGCCTGGCTGGGACAGCTGCCTGAAGGAGGGCAGGGCTGAGTCCTGGGATCAAGCACCACCTCTGAACTTTTTCAGGCACATGGGTCAATCTGAGGCTTCAAATACCCTATTTCTCAGCCCCATCTAGCTTAAATAAAGGGTGGTGTTCATATAAAGGGTGTGTGGTGGAGATCACAGGGGTTTGCCCACTCACTCACTCATCCAACAGTGAGCAGTGAGCATGTGCAGGCCACAGACTAACACAGCAAAGACCTTCCACTTGGGAGCACCTCCCAGCCCAGTCGTGGAATGAGTGTGGAGCCACCTGGGATTCAGAGCTCTCTGTCCAGGGAGTGGAGAAGCCGATGTGGCACTGGAAGAGATGCGCAAAGGAGGAGAACATTGAGGACCTGCTCCGTTTGAGAAGGACAGGGAGCCTTCCTAGAGGTGGCATCTGAGCTGAGGCCAGAGCACCCAGCGCAAGTGGCAGAATGAAGGAAAGCTGCTATGGGCTGCTGCAGGGCTAGGGCTGGAGGGTGGCCTGCGGTCCAGAGGGACAGAGGGAGGGGAGGCAGAGAAGGCTGGTGGGAGACCGACTGCGAAGCATGCCAAATGCCATACTAAGAGGGCACTGTCAAGGCAACTTCTGAGCATAGTGCCTGGTGTGGATTTGTGCCCATGGCGAGGGTGGGCAGGAGGTAAGGGGCTAGCAAGCAACAGCCACAAGAAGTGAAGTGCTCACCAGACAGACAGGTGCTGGAAGATGGCACATGAAGAGGCAGTGGCTTTACCAATCCCCAGACAGACACAAATCCTCACCACCAAAACTTAGCCTACACCTGATCCCCCAGGGACTGTCTGCAGCCCCTGTGAAGAGGAAGAGAAACACACTCGAACTCACAGGACAGTTCTAAGGGTCCAGGCACTTGGTACACATTTTCTTACTCCTCTATTACAATCCTGAAGGCAGGGACCACTCCTTTTTTTATATAGGACAAGGAAACTGCAGTTTAGAGTATTTCTTTAACCACCCCAAAGGCTGGGCCAAACCAAAATGGGAACTTCTGGAATTCATGTTGGGCCCTTAGCTCAGGGCCAGGTGGAACAGATGGACAAAAATGAGAACAGTCAGAGGCAGAGAACACAGGGCTAAGAGCATGAGCTCCAGTGCCAGATGGCCTGGGCTCAAGTCTCAGCTCTGGGGCTCAAGAGCTGTGTGACTTGGAGCACTTTCCTTTACCTCTCTGTGCTTCTGTTTCCTCATTTGCAAAATGGCAATTTCAATAATTATAATTCCTTCAGGTTTGTTGTGAAGAGTAAATTATATTATTATATATAATATGCTTAGAAAAGTATATGGCATACAGTGAGAAATATATTATTGTTTTTCATTTTTTTTAACAATTTCTAACTTTGATCACTGAATCATAAACATGGAGGAAAATCACGTCTCAGTGAAATTTCTGGCATTCTTTTATTCAGTGTGCCTTTATTGAGCCACAATTAGTGCCAGGAACTGGAATGGGGTCCCCAGTAGAAAGCCCCCTAGGTCTCCCCCACTCACCCACTGAGGCAAACTAAAGAAATCTGAGAGTGAGTAAGTGTGTCCTGACTGAATGGCCCACACTCAAAGGTTGATGGTGAGAAAAGCTCCAGGATGACTCTGAATGTTGGCCATAATAACGAAAAACAGTGGGAAAAATTGTAGGTACCTGACCAGTAGGAGATGGTGAGGTAAGCACGGTCCGCTTACACAAGTCTACAAGCACAGCCCTTGGAGGCGAGGGGAAAACATGAACAGCAGCCTCTGAGGAAGCCCCAAGGAAAGCAGCAGTATGACCTGGGGGTCTGGTGTGGTGTCACGTCCAAAAGAGCCACACAGTCGATGACAGCACTGGGCACCGATGGTGCATCTTCAGGTGCTGGACCCTGGGTGGGCACTTCATACTCATGGTTTCCAACTGCACCCTCCAGAGCTAATGATAGACATCAGCACTGCCCTTGCATGCTGCAGAGGGGAGTGCAGCTCAGGGAGGCAGCGGGGCTGGTCCAGGTCTAATGGCCAGTGAAGGAGGTGGGCCTTCAACTCTCACTCCCGACCATGAGCCCTTCCCAGCCTGGCCAAGTGACATGTGGAAAGTGCTGGAAGGAAATGGAACCAAAAGTCCCTTGGGATGCTACTGGGGTGAGGAGACTGTGGGTGACTTTTTCCCCAGATTTTTAAGCTTTCTCTCTAATGGGACTGTGAAATTTTATGGGTGAGAATTGGCTTAAGATATGCATGTGATACCTGGATCTTTTTGGTTAGCCCCCTCCAGAGCTGACCCACCCCAAGGACAGGAGACTGGATGAATAGAGCCCTGCTGGGAAGGGCTTGGTATAGGCACTAGCCTGTATCTGTGAGGAGGTTGTGTGTGGATAGCAGAGCTCCCTGGACATGCACGTGGTGATCCCAACCTTCGAGCACTAAATAAACACCAGGTCACAGGAGCCCCAGCTAGGGGTTGCTCACCAACCAAAGGCTCGCTGCTGCTGTAGGTCCCTGGCTAACTACCCGGCAGCAGTGAAACACTCTGGCCCAGGGCTAGATCCTGTGTGGGCCACAGAGGTTCCCTGGAGACAGGTTCCAGGAGTGGCCCTGGGTGCCTGAGCAATCCAATGGTTACCTGTAGCTCATCAAGTGCCATTCTAAACTCAGCTGACTCTGTGGCCAGGTGAGAGAGCCCAGGTGGAGGAGGCAGGCAAGAGCAAGGTGGGCCCAACATCCACACAATGGGTGCCAGGTTCTCTCACTCGTCCCTGCCTGCCTGGCTCCACATTGCACGGAACTCCACACTCCACTGGCTCCCAGTTCTCTTTCAGCATAAAGTGCTGGGGCTCTGCAGTCAGACAAAATGGGGTAAAATCCTGGCTCCTCCTCCCTTTCTCAGCTGTGCGACCTCGTGCAAGTCATTCCACTTCTCAGGGCCTCATCTTGACATTTGTACAGGGCAGATCAGTGAGACGCTCTTCAGGAAACACTCAGCCTTGGGACTGCTCTGTACATGTTTTCTATAGGTACAATTACAGGTGTTATTGTTATTACTCCCCTGCCTCCTCCTCAGACAGGAAGGAAGCCAGGAACAACTCAGAGGTTTCATGGAAGTGACATCTACAGCAGCAGTGGCTGGTGAGCACCAACCCTCGCTAGGCGCAGCTCTAAGCACTGCTGTGAATACCTTGTTTACGTATAGTCAGGGGCCCAGCACCCTTCACCCTAACCTGTTTGTCCCAGAGAGGGCTGCTGTGCTGTGGTCACTAAAGGCAGTGTGGTCTGTCAGACATTGGGTGAGTGACGACCTACTAATAGTGCCCACCTCAGGGGGTGCTGAAGGAACAAAAGAGTGGATTTCTACACTGTAGTGGATTTCAACAAAGCATGTCAGGTAGTCTGGCACACAGCAGGAGCTAAATGAACATCGGCAGTAACAGTGGTAGTAGTGGCAGAGCATGCTGGAGCACCGTCCTGCCCCAGGCCCTCTGTACCCCCAGCACCTAGCCAGGAAGGGGTTTTCCTCCCCTTGCTAGTGACTGTGATGACCAAGCGTCTCTGAACACATGGTAAGTGTTGTGGTGAATCCAAATCATGGGGGAATTTGGGGCAGGGAGTTTCCTGCTGCTGGCACATGTATTTAAAGGCTTCAGGGTTTTAGGCCCCTTGACCAGCTGCCATGGCAGTCCAGGGCATGGAGTATCAGACACAAGATCCACAGAACTGCCCAAGCCAAGATCATCCACGATAGAACATGGGCCGGCCTCTGATTTCTGGAACTTTCTCTCAGGTATCTAAGATTGCTGGTGGTTTGCTAAATCAAGACTTTCTGGAGAGACCCTCCAGAGACAGCCAATCGCAAGTTCCACTTTCCACTGCCTAAAATGTTAATTGTTTTATCAGTTCACTCTGCTGACTTTATTTAGGTAGGATAACTGCATATGGAAAAATACAAATTTTCCCTAAAACTACAAACTGGCAAATCTGGAAAGTTTTAGAGAGTCCTAAGCAAAGAGAAATAGTTCCCAAAGAAAAGTTGCATTCACTGTGTAAGGGCCAGTAAAGATCCTGCACTCCTGGTCCGCACCAGGCTGGACAGAGCCTCCCTCCTCTCAAGGCCACTGGGCCCAGAGCTCAGGGCCCCCCACCACCAAGCACCCAGAGACCTCAGGATGGATGAGGCACTGCCGCCGGGCCCCGGCCCCTGCAGGACCACTCTGTCCTCTCTTTCCCCATGGCCCTGTAGGGCCCCTACCATGGGGCTGGGACTCTGGGGGCATGCCTAGGCCCTCCTTGCTGGCCAGAGGCTGCCCACGAGGCCTGGGGTAGAATCTATTCTGGACATCACCCTCCTCATTCTGCACCCCAACAGGTTCTGGGGTGCATCCTGCCCCTCTGCCCTCCTCCCCATGTGCCCACTGTCCAGCCTCAGGCCTTGGCTTGCCCCCTCCAACCAGCTGCCAGACAGAGCTTTCTGACTGTGTTCCTCCCTGCACACCAACCACCAGTTCCTTCTGCCACTTGCTTAGACCAGTGGTTCTCAACTGGGGGATATTTTGGTCCCCAGGGGACACTTGGGAACATCTAGAGAAGTTTTTCATTGCTGCAACTTGGGTGAGGCTGTACCTAGTAAGAAGAAGCCAGGGATACCCACAAACACCCTGCAGGGCACAAGGCAGCCCCACAGTAGAGGATGGTCCAGCCCCAGTGTCAGCAGTGTCGATGGGAACCCTGTCTAGACAAAGGCCAGATACAAGCATGGAGGCCAAGGCCTTTCGGGAGTAAGCTCCTCCTCCCCTCCTCCCCATCCATCCAAGGATGAGCCTCAGGGCTGGATTTGAGGTGAACAGCAAGGAGGCTCCCCAGGGCCTCAATTGGATTCCATGAAAGACTTCGGGTGAAAAAACAAAGAATTCCATTGCTTTTAAAAAAAAAACTGCTCCAAAACCATCATTTTATATATATCAAAGGAGTTAATAACATATACAACACTTAGAACAATGTCCTACTCATTTTAACAAGCAATGAATATTAGTTTCTATTCCATATTCCCAGAATATGCCACTCTTTCCATCCTCTGTGCCCTAGCACACTCTGTTCCTTCTGTCCTGAACACCCTTCCTCCCTTTTCTCCCTGGGGAAATCTCCTCACCTTCAAGACAAGCTCAAGCCTCACTGCATCGGTAAAACTTCCCACCTTCACTCTGGAAGGGAGCAGTCACTCCATGCTCTTTCTCCAAAGCCCTGTAGGGCCCCTACTATAGTGCTTGCTCCTTTCTGTAACATCTCCACCCAAACGGTGCCCCCTGGGATGGGCCTAGAGCCAGTCCTCTGTGCTCAGGTCTGATGCTGGTCACAGGGAGAGGGGCAATGGCTGAAACAGAGCTGGGCTGGGGAGAGAGGGTGGGTGGTCGGGGAGAGGGAGAAAGAGAAGGCTTTGGGGGAAGTAGCAGCTCCTCTCCTCCCTCCACAGGCCCTGGCTTAGCCCCATGGGGATATGGGAGAGGGGTAGGATATCCCTAGATCTGGCTCCAGAGAGTCAGCTCTGCCTCACTGCTGCCAGACCGGGGCCTTTACTGTAACTTCCCAAGGGACCTGCTGGTGCCCCTCCTCCCAGGCCACAGAGGCATCCTGCATGGGGCACAGCTGCTGAGCTATGATACCGGTGGTGAGTGTGGGCCGCTGCACTCCCTCCACACAGCTATCTCTGGGCCTGGGCTCTGTCTTCATCACCTCATTGAACCTCCTAACAACCACCTTCACTAGTGGTCAAACCTAGCATTGCCTATGATGGGCAGACATCCGGATAGGACACACTAAGGCCCCGAAATCACCTCTGTAGAATTCCTTCCAAAAATGCACAGCCTGAACCCAGTCATGAAGAAATATCAGACAGACCCAAAGAGTGCACTGGGAAACAACCAACCTGGGCTCTTCAAAAACATCAGTGTTGTAAAACTATTGGTGGCAGCACTGAGCGCAGGTGCCACCTTTCACTGACTCCTCAAGCATGGAAAACTTCCTAAGACACTATTGCGACAGTTGGGGAATCTGAAAATGGACTGTATCCTAGACAATGTGGCATCAATGTCACATTTCTCCAGTGGTAACTGCGTTGTGGTTCTGCAGGAGAATGTCCTTGTTCCTCGGGGACATGTGCTGAGGGTGCAGGCACAGCAGCAGCACCAGGAGGAACCCTCAGTCGGCTCGGCGCACAAACAAAGCAGACAAGACAACACGGAGCAATTGTTGAAGCCAAGGGAGCAACACTGCTCAATAAGCTTTCCACTCTTCAGTATGTTTGAAATTATTTAAAAAGCTAGGAGGGAAAGTCCTCAAGATAACCCACCTTACTGATGAGGAAACTGGGATTTTCAGAAAGGGTAGCATTCTAGCCAGGATTCCAACACAGGTCTGGCTGCCTCCGAAGCTCTTGTTCTTTGAAGGTACCCTGCTACCCACATCCCAGTGTGGGCTGAAAATGCCAAGTGTGCACAATACCAGCCCTGCCAATGTCTCTCAGTAAAAGTTAATTTGGTCCTGGCAGGGGCTACTTTCCAGGCAGCTGGCTGGTGGTGCTAATGAAATCCCAAGGACAGGTTATTGGGGTTGCCCCAGAATCTGCTCCAAACAGAGCAGCTGGATGGTTGGAGAGAGCACATTTTAAAAGAGAAGAAAGCCAGTTTCATTTCAAACCCCAGAGGAACACACAGCCTCACAGCCCATTGTCTGAGGGCCTGTTATTTATGGGAACATAACAATATCCACAACCTCAGGGCTCATCGTGTCCTGTCCCTTTGGCACCAGGATGTGTTTTCACTTTTGCTCTATGCTGAGTTTCCAGAAGCCTCCCAGCTAAGTGGAACCATGGGTGATGTCCACTTCCATTGGGAACTTCAGGGTCTGGTGGGCCAGTCATCTAGCTCCTCTGAGCCTCACAGTGCCTTTGGGAGAAACAGGGCGATGGCCTCCTCTTGAAGGCTGCAGCAGGAGGAAGAGACGGCACATTAAGGACCTGGTGCCAACACAGAGACCACACATTGTGGCCCAACTGAGAATGGGAAGATTTCATGTAAAAATACAGATATCCAGGCTTTCTTGAAAAATTGGAAGTGGTAATGCCACCGTGGCTGTGCTACAGCCCAGCAATACGGGCATGGAGCTCAGGGGGCCCAGCCCCTTGGGTTTTCAGGCCTGGACTCCGGCACGTGTCAGGCTCATGCGGTGCAGGCAGATGAGGGAAGGGGCTGGCAGCCCACTCCCAACGCCTGCAACATGCTGGGCATCCTTGCACACTGGTTTACTCCTCACAGTCCTTCAAGACAGGATTGTTACCCCCATTTTATCAGATGAAAACCGAGGGCTCCAAAGGCAGTGAGCTGACCCAGGCCCTTCAGAAGGATTAGCAACAGTGAGAAAGCTTCCGGGAAGTGGCCCTGACCAGCAAGGCTCAGCTGAGCTACCACATCCAGGGAGTGATTTTAACATGCGCAGTTGTCATTGTTGTTTATTGTTTTTTAAAACTCCTCTTTCTTAAAACACAGAAAACTTCATTTCTTGTGTGTGTTGTGGACTGTACTTCTTTTTTTGTTTTTTTTTTTTTGTTTTTTTTGGAGATGGAGTCTCGCTCTGTCACCCAGGCTGGAGTGCAGTGGCGCAATCTCCTGGCTCACTGTAACCTCCATCTCCCAGGTTCAAGCAATTCTCCTGCCTCAGCCTCCCGAGTAGCTGGGACTACAGGTGTGTAACCACTATGCCCAGCTAATTTTTAAATTTTTATTAGAGATGGGGTTTTGCCACATTGGCCAGTCTGGTCTCCAACTCCTGACCTCAGGTGATCCGCTTGCCTCAGCCTCCCCAGGCATAGGGATTACAGGTGTGAGCCACTGCACTCAGCCTGTGGACTGTACTTCTGTGCCAAATGCAACCACCATCTGCTGTGACTGGCTGTAGCTGGAGACAGGACACACTCCAGCTGACCTTGTGCAAGGGGCTACACCCAGGATCTAGGCTGTGGCAGCACCATCCTGGCCCAGCCCAAGGGCATCAGGCCATGTGACTGGCCCCATGGAATTCCTGAGGCACGGCTCTCCCAGTGGGTGGTGGGAGGAAGAACCATTAGGCAAGTGATCGCAGGAGGCAGCTTTTCAGCAGAGCCCTAGCCTGAGCTGGAGTCAGCACGCGTCACCAGTGCAGAACTGCTTGGCATTCCAGATGAAATGGGTGACAGGAAAAGGGAGTCTTATTGTAGAGCTGGTTTCTTTGGAGGGCTGATGGAGCCAGTGATATGGCCAGGCAGGCAGTGGGGCCACAGCACCAACTGTGGTGCTTCACTCATCTCTGGGTCTGGTTTCAAGGCTGTCTCTCTCCCTGTAAGGTGGGAAGGGGACATAAGTCCATAATCGGCAGCCTAAGTAGGGGTGCAGCAATGTTGCAGTCTCACGGCATCCCTGAGGTAGGCCTTGTGGAAACAGGATGTGGCTCTTGCTTACAGGCACAGGAGTCCACACAGCAGGTGGCTGGTTCGATGCGGAGGTGATACTCAGGGCCAGCAGGAATAGCCTGAGCAGCACCACTGTGGCACCCTCACCTCCAGGGGCACTGAGACTCCAATTTGTCCTCAGACCCCAGTGCAATGCCACTTCCGAAGGAAGCCTTCCCAAGCCCAGACTCGGTTGGGGTCCTACTGTAAGATCTCATGGCATTGTGCACCTTCTGTGCACAGCATGCATGTGGCTGCCAATACACAAATGCTCAGGAGAAAGTCTGCCAGTGCCAGCATCCTAACTGTTACAGGCTGAACTGTGTCCCTTCAAATTCATATACTGGAATCCTAACCCCCAGACTTTAGAATGGGACTGTATTTGGAGGCAGGGCCTTTAAAGGTGTAATTAAGATGAAATGAGGTCTTTAGGTTGAGTTCTAAACCAAACTGACTAATGTCCTTCAAAATAGAGGTTGGGACACAGACACGCACAGAGGGACAGCCATGTGAGGACACAGGGAGAAGGCAGCCGTCTGCAAGCCAAGAGAGAGGCTGCAGGAGAAACCCACCCTGCAGACACCTTGATCTTGGACTTCCAGGCTCCAGAACTGACAGGAAATGAATGCCTATTGTTTAAGCCACCGCGTCTGTGGTATTCTGTTATGATAGCCCGAGTTGACTAGTACACCAACCCAACAGCCCCATGAGCTCAGGGGTCATGTGGGCTGTGGCTCACTGTGGTCTTTCTAGAACCCAACACAAGGATGACACATAACAGGGGCTCAAAAGCACACTGTTGAACAGAGGGGTGATTAGCTGTGAACTCCCGGGGTGCAGGGACTGTGTCTTGTTTGAGCCATGTGCCCAGAACCCAACACTATGTCTGATACCAGAAAAATACTTTCCACACACAAGAGTCAGTGCTTGGTAAAGAAGAGCTAGCTAAAGTCAGAGTGACTGTGTGAGGCCAGAGCCCTCCTGTCTCTGACCTTGAAAATCAGGACCCCAGCTCCTGCTCCTCCTCCTCCTCCTCTGTGCCCTCAGGCTGACTGCCAGGGCACTGGGGTTGGTCTGATTTCCTCCTCTGCAGAACTGGGGTGATGACAGCCTGGTTTCCCTGGGCTGCTGGCAGGATTGAGTGGTCAGACTACACAAGGGCGTGCTGCCTGGCACAGGGCATGGGCAGCAGCTGATTGTACTGCTGACATTGTCTCAGCCTCAGGCCCTGCCTGCTACCCTCCGGATGGCTGTAGGCCCTCATGCTACAAGTCACCCAGGCCAATTCCATTCCTTCTGGTCACCAGCCCATATGGACCAATGCCCCTGGCCATTTCTTAGAACCATAGTTTCTATTCTTAGAGTTACTTGCCTGGGACCTCACCAACACACTGGTCCCCCAAAACCACTGAAGGGGTGTGTCCCCAACTCCTGCAGGCCTGGCCCAGTCCATACTAAATGACCCATATTTCTAGCAAATAGAGCTTCTGGGACTTAGGCCCTGACAAATCTGCCACCTTGTGAACCTGGGTCTGAGAGCCCCTGACAATCTGTTGCCTGGTCAACAGAGAGGTGCATCAGCTTCTGGGCTGAGCTGAAGCACTTGCTGCTCTGCCCTGTACTGGTCCCGGGAGAGACATTGGCCATCCAACGGCTGAGGCAAAGCGGGGCATCTGGGGGATGCCTCTATGATTTGGCTTCTGTTTTCAATCAGGAGGGAAAGGTATAATCCTTGTTTTTGACCATGCAAAGTGCTTTCCAGGGTCAATAAATTGGAGAGGTCCTTGTGGCACAGCCAATCCCTGCTTGAAAGGTGGCTGGTTAATCTCCTGTGAAGCAGCCTGGCATGAATGCAGCACCGGGGCTCCTACAGGCATCGTTTCCCAGTGCTCTGTGGTAGGGACAGGGCATGGGTGGGAGGATAAAGTGAGGCCCTCAGTGGACATGTGAGCTACCCCACCAAGAGGAAGGGCTGGCAGGTGAGGGGTGGGTGCACACAGCACACAATTCCAGCCACCACTTAGGGAGCCCCTGCCGTAAGTGGATACTATAGGCAGTCCTCTCCAGGGATTCTATGATTAAATTTTCAGCCTTCCTGGAAATCAGAATGACTAGCTCTGGGTTAGCACTGAAGAAGCTGAAGCACAGACTGGAAAGTGGCTGGTCCCAATCAGAAGGGAGCCTGGGATGCCCCAGGAGACCCTCCAGGTAACTAGCCCAGCGGCCCCTGCAACCTTGGCCTCGTCTGACCCGTCCCTCTCCTAAACCAGAGAGTGGTTCACAGAGGAGTTGTCCCACTGGGTGTTGGCCCAGGGCTCTCCATCCACTCAGGGAGCCCCCTCCCCACCCAGGCCTTGTTTCACCTCTGACCCCCTCCAGCACCTAGACAGGTCTGTACACGGAGGGCCCAATAAATTGTGATGAGGGACAGAGGAGGATGGGATGGGATACCATGCTGAGCCCTGAGACACCTGATTCAGCACAGGGGCCACGGGCTACCAGCTGGAACCCCAGAGTCCTGGGAGAAGGCTGCAGGGCTAAGGGAGCAGAGCCAGCTGGCAGGGCTGGCACTGCCCTCAGCAGCAGGTATGCTGTGCCCACTTACTCCTGCTGGCCCCTCTGCTCGATCTCCCTGGGGCAGACAGAGAACTCTGGCCCATTCACTTACTAGCAGTGTAGATGTGAGCAAAGGGCCTGTTTCCTCACCTGTGGGTTGGGGCCACGCTGCCATGCAGGCTGTGGAGGGCTAGACTAAATGGCAGCTCCGGGACAGGGTTTGGGAGGTGCTCTTGGCCTTCCCAGCCCCTGCTTCCTGCCAGTGCATCCCCACAGCAGTGCTGCAGGGCCTGGGGGTCAGGTGCACTCCACAGAGGAGTGGCTTGAGCACTGGCAGAGTCAGCAGTAGATGAATGAGGCTGGAAGAGGCCCTGGAGGGGCAGTCTGAGAATTCACATGCCCACTGTGTAGGCGAAGGAACTGGAGCTCAGGGCAGGTATGAGGGCCAGGTTCCCGACTCCCCATCCCATGGTCTTTCCACTGTCCTGGCCTTTTCCTGACCCTGGCCATGAGGCTGGACTGACCACTGGCCACAGGGTTCTAGCGAACATCACACATCTGATTCTAGCTCTCTATGCAGCCTTCTGCTCCCCGCTCGCCCTTCTGCTCAGAAGGCTACTCCTCCAGGAAGCTTGCTCTGGCCCTCCTCTCAGGATGGCCACTTTCCCCCATTCCCAGCCACACGTCCCAGTGGCCACTTGCCATGCTGACTGTGAATGGCTGCTCATGTCTCTGCCTGTCCCACAGGGAAAGCACCTTGGGACAGGACTCTGAGAAGGATCTCAGTATCCCCCGCCCGAGCCCTAAGCCTCAACTAAGTTTGCCGAGCTAAATGGACTGGCAAACCCTGGATTGATTAATTTATTTACATTTTTGTAGGGATGGGGTCTCGCTTTGCTGCCCAGGCTGGTCTTAAACTCCTGGCTTCAAGCAATTCTCTTGCCTCGGCCTCCCAGAGTGCTGAGATTACAGGGGTGAGCCACTGTGCCTGGCCCCCTTGTTTTAAAGATCAGGAAACTCGAGCCCTCCCCCAAGCTCTGTTCCTAGGCAGCAGCTTCTGAGGGAGTCTGATGAGGTTGGTGTCTGCCCGCATTGCTGAGGTTCTGGGGAAGCCTGTAGCACACAAAGCACCAGGCTGTTTGGCCTCCACTGTGAGGCTGCAGAAAACAGAGCTGAGAGTGGCCCTCGTGGGCCTGGGTACATTCATTTGTTCATTCCAGTCCAGTCTATTCCACCAAACTCCTTCATTTATTCATTCATGCAAGCAACACTTCCTATTCCATGTAAATCCATCCCCTTCTGCATGGCACACTGATGGGCATAATTCAGAGTCACAGCCCCTGCAGCCCTGGGGGTGGGCACAGGGGCAGCATTGGGTGCAGGATGGCCCAGGAGCCCTCCTCAGGACCCTCTTCAGAGGTGAGCAGAAGTGGCTTTCCTGACTCCCTCTTCCCAGGGGCCATAGGGTAGTCATTTCAGGCCCTCTGTCCAAGGGCCCACTGAGCTGAATGACCAACCCTTCCCTTCTCCCGCATACCCTGAGGAAGGGAGATACACTTCAGTGCCTCACCCCCAGCCCTGCCTATAAGGCATCATGGTGTGGGGAGTCTCGAGCAGAGTGGTTGAGAGTGAGGTGCTCTGGGTTCGAATCTCAGGTGTGGATGTTTGCTACCTTTGCCCAAGTGTCTGCTTTGTTCTGGCTTTCTTGCGCTGAGTGCCCACCTCTGTGGCACACCTCCCTGGGCACAGACTATCCTAGCCCTGGCATGCAGCAGAGCGGTTTGAAATGGTCTGCTTGTGCAGTGAAACGAGGTGCTTGTTGCAATGGGAACACCAGCAACTGCACTGCCCATCCTGCCAGCCCCAGTCTCCTCAGCTGTACAGCGGGCAGCCCAACTGCTATACATCATAGCTCACATTTTGGGGGCTGTTTCTCCTCCTCCTGAGTGCTGGCTCTCCCTGATAATCAGTAAATAGAAGCTCCTTCTGGGGTCTTAACTGTAAGTATGGTTCTACAAATTTTTTTTCTTTTTCTCATCTGGAGTACATTAATTTGTGATTAGTAATAATCAAAAGGTTATTAAAGATCACCAAAAGTAAGATCTCTATTTTAGGGTTTGAATGAGAATTCTGGCTACTCACAAGACCAAGTGCCTGAGATATGAGTACCCTTTTGAGCTCCCGGCACGTGAGCAGCACCCGCTGCTAGGATGAGGCCGCGGCTGTGGCCTTGAGTGGGCTATGTTCTCAATCACGGCTCTCTGGCTAGTATGAGGTAAGCACTTGCAGCTCTGTTCCATGGTCAGTTGTTACCTGGTGAGAATCAGTGACACATGGGCACGCGAGTGGTAATAGGGGCCTGGGGCTTTCCAGTAACAAGGCTTTAAGCTCCGCGTGCCCCTCAATGCTAAAGCAGACACACACATGAACTGTCCCAAATCAGCTGGTTCAGGAGCACCCTGTGGGAGAGGGGCCACCTATCATGAATTTGGGCCATTCAAAAAGCTTGCCACATCTTGGCAGGTACACAAAACAACAGCCCTGGGAGATTTTAGATTTACAGAGCATTGCTTCAGGAGATAAGATCACGGGCACATGTGTGCCCTTTTCTGTCCTAGAGTAAATGCCCAGTGACTCAGAGCTGTCATTAGGAACAAGTCTATTCAGCTTCTCACATGATTCTTCTCCAGTTGGGAGTCATCAAGGTGTTCTTTTCTCCCTGCAAAGTGGGAACAGGAGGGGCTGCGGAAGCTGTTGTCCCACCCGCCATCCAGCCTGCCTCTGTGAGTGAGTGCTGATGCCTGGCACACTGAGGCAGAGGGGAGGGTGGCAGCGGTGGGACAGACGGCTTGCCAAGATGAGCTTTGGGAGCGCAGCCTCCCAGGTGCAGTGCTTCTCCAAGCACCACATGGGCCTCCCAGCTCCAGATTCTTTGAAGACATGACTGCTCTCTAGGGGCATCAACAGAGCTGATGGAGAGGGGTGAGGTGACACAGACAGACCGTGGGCAAAGCCCTCAGGCTCTCTGCTACCCGGCTCCCACCTGTGAGATGGAGATAACAAGACTCACTCCACCCTACAACCCTTGGGAATTACAAGTGATGCTATGACTTGGACAGGAACCTCCTCCATGTCCAGCTCCTTCCTCCAACTACTCTCTCACCACCAGCAGAATTCCCCAGTAGGTTCCTACTGGCAGCTTGTCAGGCCTCCTATCCTCCCATGAAGTACAATTCTGCAAATGGCAAGGTCTTTGAAGGGAGATGTTTTGTAAATACGGGGCTTTCCAACCTTGAGATCCCCCAAGACTCTCTGGGAAGGCTCCTTGGATATCAGGAAGGATGGGGCCGTCCCCCAGCCCTCTGATTTCCCACAGCACATTCTGGGAGTCAACAGCCCTAGCATCAGGACCCTTGTCTCTGAGGCAAGTGTCTGTGGCTCCTTAAAACATACTGTTTGCATATTACGGTTCAGCTTCACCTCGTGAACCTGAGGGCCAAGTGTCCTTTCTAAAATTCAAACAGGAGTTACGAGTTGCTAGGGCTCAAACCAGGCCAAAGGCATGCTTTGTTTAGCACAGACAGTTGTAGTTTTTAATCAGGAGATATTACATAAAAATAAAATTAGATAAAATGAGACCCCAGGCCTACGTTCCCATATAGTGAAGAGTTGGCAGGACCCACACAGCAGCTCTCCAGGTCACCATAGTCCCCACCACTCCCTATCACCTGCCACCTGGCCTCTTCAACACCTGCTTGGCCTTCCTGGCATCTGACCTTGCAACCCAAGGTGAAAGGCTGATGGGAGGAAACCCAGGGGACTCTTCATTCTGCCTTTCCCAGCCCGGATGCCCTGTAGAGCCGGCAGCGAGGCCCATGAAGTGCATCTGAACCCAGCCCTGTCCACGAGCTGCAGGCTGGGAGCCTTACCTCTCATGGCACCAAAACCCAGGCTTCCCCACCCTGCATGTCCAGGCTGCAGCTAGCAATGCACTCTCTCTCCCTTCACCTGGCACTGGATGGCTCAGGCTTCCTGAAGATTCTTTCACAATTAAGGCACTTCAAAAAGGTTAAAAGGGAGGAATCAGCAGGGAGTGGGGGTGGGAGGGATGGAAGGTGGTGGGTGGGATGGAGGAATCTGACCAGTGATATTTAATAAAAAGCTTAAAAGCCACAAACAGGAAGCAGGCAGACTAAAAAGTCAACATTGACCAGACGAAGGAATGTGAACTCTAGTGGACTGAGGCAGTGTCCCTATACCCCTCCTCCCTCCACTCCCACCCCAGCACCCCGAGAGGCTCCCTCCACTCCTACCCCAGCACCCTGAGAGGCTCCCTCCACTCCCGCCCCAGCACCCCGAGAGGCTCCCTTCACTCCCACCCCAGCAGCCCAACCAAGACTCCTCTTGGTTCTTGCCTGCCCTGGGAATACCCCAGCTCTGAGTTTGCCTTGGGCTACAGGAAGGGAGCTCAGGGGAGGTCAGCGTGATCCTAGCAGTTCCCAAAGGAGAAGACCATAAGCTCTTCCCTCTGCCTGGTCCAGCAGGGCCCCAGAGCTGTTTAGGGGAAGGATCAGTGCTCCTCAGTATGGCCCCCGACCCAGCTGGAAGAATCCCGGGATCCTTCCCTCCCAGAAAGCTCACAATAGCCCAGGCAGGCATAGGCACGAGGCCCTTGGGGACTGAGGTCTGGACGCTGGCCTGTCTGGCTCATGCCCCCTGCATGCTCCCTGGAGTCCAGAGAGGGGCCCTGTGGGCTCCAGTCTCTGAGGACAACCCACAGCCAAACTGAAGCGATGCACAAAGACTCCTGTTTGGCTGAGGTGAGGACTCAGAGCCACTATGGAGAAGTGGGGAGGACAGGACAGAATTTTAGAGCTTCACCGCTGGAGGCCTCCCATGGCTGGGTGCCTCTGCCTCCCTTGCCCCAGCCCCACCTTGACAGAGGCCTTAGGGGCTGCTAACAGGGAACAAAGTGCCCTGGAGAAGCAATGCCTCTGTGACCATTGCCCTTGCTCATGAGAAGGCAGATGCTATCTCTGGGCAGTGGAAGGACTTTGAAAGGAAGGGGTTCCCTGGCAAGGCTGTCAGGAGAGGGAAGGGTGCTCATGCCACCTGTGAGCACGGAGGCAGCTGGGGTCTCTGTTTTCCAGCTGGAGCCAGGGCACCACCTTCTCTTTAGGAGATTTGACACAAGAAGCCATAAACCAACCTTGGTTGTTCCCCTGATCCAAACCTCCCCACAGCTTTCCATCCTCACAGGATCAACCTCGAGTCCTGGAGTTATGTAGAGGACAGTAACATGTCAATATAAAATCAGGAGTGGGTAAAGGTGTTCCCTGTAAAATCTTCAACTTTGCTGTATGTTTGAAAATTTTTGTAATTTTTACTGTATTATGAAATACAACAGAATTGTACTGGATTGGTTGTATCTGGTACAATTGTACAGGAGATAAAGGACAGTGGGGAGCTGGGGGTGGTGGCACACAACTGAGTCCCAGCTATTCAGGAGGCTGAAGCAGGAGGATGGTTTGAGCCTGGGAGGTCAAGGCTTTAGTGAGCCTTGATTGCATCACCACATTCTATTCCACAGACAGGGTAAGACCCTTTCTCTAAAAAAAAGATAGTGGCTCATGACCCATTCATACGAACACAGGCTTTAGTCCTTCCCACGGTCCCCAGCGCACAGTATGAACCCTGGCCTATGTCCTGCACACCTCTCTGCTCAGCACACTTTTGCCAAACAACTGACCTGCAAATGCACTTGAAGCTCACTGTCACCTCAGGACCTTAACATTCACTTCCCCCTCGCTGTGGCATGCTCTCCCTGACTACCCATGTGGCTCCTTCCCTCCCTCTGTCCTTCCCTGATCACCCTATCCAAAGCAGCATGCTCAGCAATTCCATCTCGTCCCTGCTTTATCTTTCTACGTGGTGCCTACTCCCATCTGACAGGGATTTCTTTAGTATGTTTATTGTTTGTACCTTCCTACAACTGTAAGCTCCATATCCCCAGCACCAAGCACAATGCTTGCAACACAGAAGAACATGATGCAGTGTAGGCTGAATAAATGCACAAGTGATTGAAGGATGAGTTCACTGACAAAATCCAAGGGCTCTCCAGCAGCAAACACACACCCTCTGACCCAGCCCACGGAGAGGCCCCAGCACAAACTCAGCAGGTGGTGCTGAGCCTGGGGGTCTGTGCTGGGCAAAGGAGGGTGACAACTCACATCCCTGGAAACCTTACCACGTGCCAGGACAGTATGCCAGGCCCCCAGCGGTCTCCCTCACCTGCTCTTCTCCAAACTGCCTGTAGGCTCAATCTTATTCCCGCCTCCACAGAGAAACCAAGGTGCGGGCCCAAGGCCCCCTCAGATGGTAAATGGTGCAGTGGGAACTCAGACTCCAATCTTGACCCTGCTCAGACCAGATCTTCACTCCACATCCAGGCTCTTCCCAGAACCCATACTGGCTTCCCAGCCAGAGGCCATGCTGCCAGGCAGGCCAAGTCACCCCGTGTCTCGGCAAAGGCAGGATTAGGAACCTAAGCCAAGGAGCGCCACCTTGGCATCACCTCTGCCATCTCTCTGTGCCCTGCACGGTGTCCCTAAACCGGGAGGAAGTGGCTGCACTTACCTGGGATGTGGATCTTGAACTTGCCGCTCTGGCCGAAGGCACTGTCGATGATGCCCAGTTCCCCAGTGGACAAGTGCACCTTGAGCCCCACGAAGAGCTGGATGTTGGTTTCCTTTTTGAACAGGGAGCGGCCGATCACACTGTAGTCATCCATCGCCTGTCCCCACACACCCAGCCACAGAGAGAGGGCATTAGTGGTGCACACTGAAAGAGCTGTGACTGTGTGCCTAGCCCCAGCTCTCCCGGGCCCTAGGCATGGCTGGCTGCTGCCCGCTCTAGGAACCCTGTGGGTAGCCTGGTGATGAGCCCACCTAACAGATAACAAAATGCATGGGAGCAGGGCAGAAACCTGAGACTGGCAACTGCCACTATAACAACGGGCCCTTCAAAACAGGCATGCTGTGAGCACTTTCCACAGATAGCACCTCAGTCCCCACAGCAGCTCTGTGGCGCCACTTTACAGATGAGGAAATGGAGGCACGGCAGAGTTCTGTCATCTATCCAAGGTCACAGAGCACAGGGGATAGAAGTAGCTTTGAATTCAAGCCCCTGTTGCAGGCCCCCCCCACCCCTGGGGGGCCACAATGACCCAGCCTGTCCCCAGGGCACCTGCCCAGAGCACTCTCCTTGAAGCTGTCACAGTCACCCGGGCCGCTCCTGAGCCTGCATCCAAGGCCTTCTAGAACTGGCCTCCTCACTCTGGTTTCCCCTCCCACAGGAGCCCGAGAGCCTGGCCTTTGTCTCCCACCCGCTGCACACACCCCTATGTACAGTGGCCCAAGGCTTTACTCTTGCTCACTCTAGCTGTGCCTGGAAGCCTGTCTTGGCCTGGCCCACTTTTCCTCCACAGCCCTACCTCCCTACCTCCATGACACCCTCCCTCAGTCCAGGCAGAATTGCTCGTTTCCCTGGCCCCTGTTGGCCATGGCCAGGTCTTTGCAGAGCTCATACCTCCTGCTGGCCATGTTGGCCGCTGCTGTCTCTTTGTGGGTGCCCAGGCTGAGAGGAGGGACACACATGTCTGTGAAAAAGTCAGCTTGGTGCAGCCCTGATTTCACCATGAGCTATGTTCATCCTGAACCTTCTCCCTAGAGGCTTGATCAGCGACTGGAAGTGTCACTCCCTCCCTTCTGAGTCTCTGGCAGCTCCAGCCCAGGTACTGCTTTTGGGATGGCAGCATGGCCAGGTGGCCTTGCCTGCCCCACCCAGCTCCTCACCCCACCCCTGCTCTGTAGATCCTGCCTCCAGTAGCAAACTTGGGCCCCATGATAAGAAGTGCCCACCAGTCTGGCAGCTGTTATGGAAATGAGCAATGCACACACCATCTGGACCATCAATTTCACTTCTAGGAATGCATCCCGCTGATGTGCTTGCTGGAGAAGATGTCAGGAGAAGATGGGAGCTCCACCCAAGGTCACTCACTGCAGCAGCAAAAGCTGACAATGACTTAGAAGTCCAGCCTGAGTTCAAGAAGTGGAGCACAGCCTCTAGAGATGATGATGTGACCACAGAGGAGAGTAGGCAGTGTGTATGGACAGATACAAAAACCAGAGTATTGTGTTTCACGTTAAAAAGAAGAGTGAGAGGCAAAGGGCATGTTGCAGGCTGTGTATGGATGGGGGCAGGGCAGAGGTGGATACACAGAAGGAATCAGGAGAAACTGATGCCTCCAGGAAAGGGAGCAGGGTGCCTGGGGACTTTTCACCATACACCTTTTCTATCTTTGGCTACTGAAATACATGAATGCATCACCTGTTTACAAATAAGTTAATAGAATTTAAAAATGTAAAAACAAACCAAGAAGTGCATTTCTTCTACACACACACCAGGCGGACCTCCCATCCTCTCCTGACATCTTCTCCAAAGACAGAACATTTTCCTTTGATGGCTTCTGGTCCAGCAAGGGTGACAATTGCAGCCCTCTGTCCCCACCCAGGCAGCTTTAATCAGTTCTCATGCATTGTGGTCACCCCAGAGAGCTACTACTCGGGCCTCTGCATAGCTAGGCCCTGGGGTTACATCTGACTGAGAAATAAGACCTGTCCTCCAGCATTGCAGTGGCCAAGAAACAAAAAAGGCACAGTCCCTGGACTAAGAGCTTACAACTTTCTCAGAGAAACAGCTTGTAAGAGGCCCCACCAGGACCAAAGGGATAATATACGCAGGTATCCTTAGCAGAGCAGAAAGTTCTCAACAAGCTGATATTAATATTCTTGTTTTATTCCTATAAGAGCCTACCATGAAACGGGCCTGTAGCTGTGAACAATCACATGTACTACAGGAAAATAACAGAATTCTCCCTCCATCTCACAGCCCACAGCCTTTGCACTTCTCAGCGACAGATCCTATGAGCTCCCCATCTCTATGCAGCCCCTGGTGCCCAGCAGGGCCTGGCCCTGAGCAGGCTCAAATCAAGGCCTGGTGCCTACAGCGTTCCCTGTGGCCCATGGCTCCCTCTTCCTGTACTCCAGCCCCTACTCCTCTCCAATCTTCATCCTGCCCTGTCTCTCTTCAGAGCACAGATTGCCACCTGACGTTATGCCTTTGACCTTATCTGTTTACTTGTTTATTGCTTCCAACCAGGCACAAGCTCCAGGCAGAAACATGTTCCTCTCCTCCATAGCTACATTCCCTGCACATAAAACAGGCGCTTACTATCTATTCCTTGAATGTGTGAGTAAATGTTGCAAGAATACATGGTTGTAGTTGTTGGTACATTTGCAAGGCTCACTCATGCCTGTAGGCTTTTTTTTTTTTTTTTTTTACAGCTTCATTCAGCTATAACTGATACACAATAACATGAACATATTAAAAGTAAATAATTGGATAAGTCTAAATATGTGTATACATATACATGCCTGTGAAACCATCACCATGATAAAGCTAATGAACATATCTATCACCCCCAGGGTCCTCATGCCCCTCTGTTATGCCTCCCTCCCCGCCTGTGTGGTGCTCCTGTAATGCTAGTCCCAGCTTGTGCACCGGGGACTCTACCCCCACCCAAGGCCCACCTTGGACATTTCCTCCTTCAGACAGCTTCCCCGACATTGCAGGCACCTCCTCTCCCCTTGGCCCCCAGGACTGAGGCCAAGATCCCTCTGTTCTGAGAGCCTGGCCACTATGTCTTATCCCTGACAGCTGACCTATCTGTCTCCCTCCTCGGACTGGGAGTTCTGCGAGGAAAGGGTTCTGTGCACCTCCTGTGGCCCTGACCCACTACAGGCCTGGTGAACAGGCGCTCACTGAGTGTGAGGAGGCCAACTGCACTAGTCCCACACATGGCATCAAGGGGAAGACGCCGGGAGGTAGAAATACATTACTCAAGTGGATATGTCCTTGGGAGACACGATTCATCTGAGAGTGAGCCAACAGCCCAGCCCGGGCTAGTTTCCTCCTATCTACCTGGGAGAACACACTGACAGATCAATTCACGTCCCCAGTGCTGGTTCCCTCATGCTAAACACAGCAGGCCCATCGCTCAGCCTCCCAGTGGGCCTGGAGGCCTGGCTCCAGGGTAATCAGAGCCTGGGATAGCAGGCATGCTACCTATTAGCCTTTCAGAACACGTTTACTGCATCTTCTCCCCTGCCCCCTCCTTTCTTTTGGTTATAAAATATTAACTTTAAAAAGCTAAATGCCACAAAGACAGCAGAGGATCTATCTTTCTCCAAGCCAGGGTCTTGCAATGAGGGCAGACTAATTTTATTAACTTCAGGGGAACTTCAAAAAGCTCCAGGGCTTTCATGCCAGACAGAGATGACCCCAAAGTTAGTTTAAGTGCTACATAAACAAAGGACTAGAGCCAGGGGAAGCTGAGGGCTCCCAGAGTTCCTTGTTTATGTTCTCATCTGACCTAGTGGGCCAGCACACAGGCTGGTTGGCCCCTGGAATCCTGCTGGTGTGTGGTGCAGCTCGGTTCACTGACCTACATTCCCACAAAATTGTTTTAAGCATCCGGGATAAGGTGAGGAGTGAGTGGGCTTTTTTTGACCTTCTGAGGAGGGCCTCTGGGGCTGGAGTGGCAGTTTAGAAAGGATTTCAAGTTCAAAGGGAGTGTCTCTGTCACTCCTGCTCTCTTGTTTTATGGCTTGGCCAGAAGACATGATAGTGCTGAGTGGGTGAAGCATACTCTCCTGCGAACTTCTGTGTCCGCAGTTCCATTTGTGGGGGAGGCACCGTGAGGGCAGGAGCTGGACGTCTGCACACGTTCAGGAACCCCGTGTGGTCTCGAGAGTGCTGGCGTCTTCTGCCTGCTGGTGGCCCCACACTGTCATTTCACAGCAGCTGGGTGGATCTTTGCATTTGTGTCAGTCCCACAGAGGACACTGGCACTCTGGGCATGGCTGCCCCAGGGGAGGGGAGGCTGGAGCAGCAGAGAGAAGTCAGCAGGTAAATCCCATCTCCCTCCAACTCTCCCAATCCTTCGCACTCTGCTCTCTCACCCCTTTCCCAGCAGCAGGTGAGCGGCAGTGTCCTCAGCCATGTCATGGGTGAGGTGTCCCCATATCATTATTTAATCTTTAGGAAAGCCCTGTCGGGAACAGGGGGCTCAGTAAAATGAAATGATTTGCTCAAAGTCACGCAGCTAGTGAGTGTGGCAATGCCCCATTCCAACTCAGACTGTCTGGATCCAGAGGCTGGTGCTTTTCCTGCTGCAGGAAGGGCTGGGCCCTGTCTGCCGGGAGGTGCCGAAGCAGCAAATGAGCCCAGACGACTTTCTCCATCCTTTGGGCTCACCAGAGCCATGTCATGACTGACTGGACACAAATGGGCCTAGAAGTCCGGCCCAGGGGCACTGGGCAGCCCCATCCCTGCTAGTCCCAGTTGTGGGAAACCCCAAGTCATTGCAGAAGACAATCCCCAAGTTCAGGGACCCCAGCCCCCACCAGGTTATTTGGAAGGGAGGAGGAGAGGAGGGAAAGAGGGCAGATCCTGGCCCTCAAGATGCAGCACTTATAGTGGGGCCCAAACACTTCACCATCACAGGAAGGTGTTCCAGCCCAGTCAGCCCCTGCCACACTGAGAAGGACTGCACTGCTGTTGGAGGGAGGCTAAACTTTCCCCACCTATGGTTATAGGGGCCAAGAGGAAAACTACCCTTCCCATGAATTCCAAATACTCAATTTCCAGTAAAGTCTTTACTTGGTGTCATCATAAGTTCTTAGAAACTGTTACTTTAAACAAAATAATGTACAGTAGGCCCTTAAATAATGTTGCTTCATTTAAAGTTATTTGAATATATATCAAAGTTATTTTGTTATAACATGAATGAAAAAAATAGATTGGTTTTGTTATACGTTCTTTCCCTTAAACTCATGGTTTCCAAGAAGCTAGTGACAATGTTAAGTGAGGATTTACTGTACAGGTCTCCATAACTGGAAAAAAATGGGCACACTGGAGACAATAGAATAAGAGAAAAGGCACAGCACTGTTTACATCACAGGTTAGAACCTGGACTCTAGAGCCAGACTACCTGCATTCGAATCCCAAGTCTGGGTGCCTAGGCACTCTGGCCAGAGGCCTAACCTCTGTGGGTGCAGGCATCTCTCCATCTATAATATGGGGAAACAGAGTTGCTGGAGGTTTAAATGGGTGCTGGGGAGCACTTGTAAACAGTTGTTGTTGGTCTGGCCTCTGCCTGCCCCCTCCCTGGGCAGACCAGTCTCCCTCCCTTAGGACTCCCTCAGACACACCACACAGGACTACAGGGGCAGCAGATGCAGGGCCTGTGCACCCCTGCGACTCAATGGCCGCCACCTGCAGATCTGAGAAGACATCGCTGACTAATGGAAGGCCCCCTCTAAGAGACTGCCGGCCTCAGAACCAGACAGAGGGTTGCGCTGGGAATTGGCTACAGAGAAGCCTGTGTGCCTGTCTCTCAGCACAGCAGTGGCTTGTCTACGCCAGCCTCACCAGCTGGATGCGGGGAGGGGAGGAAGGCAGTCCTGGAAGGCAGGAGCTGGTCTGAGCACATTTTTGCATCTCCAAAACCTACACCTCCGGAAATTACTGCTGTGTGTACTGGGGGCAAGGACTCAGTGATTGTCAGCTGCATGAAACCTCATTTAATCAGAAGGAAGTCTGGCTAGAAAGAGGGAGACAGCTCCTACATTCCTACAGGATGCTGTGAGGCCTACATCTCTGGAGAACTTCAGGAAGACCAGGGGTCATGATCTGTCCTGAGTGTCAGGAGGTGAGGATGGGGGAACATGGCTTTGCTCTGTCCTGTCCATCACTAGAAGGTGTGTGCATGCATGTGTGATGGTTGGGTTCTTCACCAAATTATAGATTCTTCCAGCTAAAGGAAAGAGACCTCAGAGATCAGACACAAGCACATCCAATGAGGAAAGACCTTCAGAGAACAGTTGGAGGGTTTTCATTTTGAAATCAATCATTGTGACGTCAAACCAAAGGCAACGCATGTGGGATCTGCTCAATAGGCCTTGCTTCTAGGGAACAGTCCTGAATCCAGGCCAGCACAGTTACAACAATGGCGCTAAGTGGGGATTCTCACTGTTTGCATGAATAATTTGCTCTATTTATTAGCCTTCAGTCACTGGAGGGACTGAGCTCCTGAGGAGCAGTCACTGTGCACATGGAAGTCCAGGCGCTTGCTTACACGCCAGGTGGGTCCCCATTGTCCCTGGCCTTTGAGCAAGGACTTGGCTGCCGGTGCATATAATTATGTCATTACACGTGTGTGTGTCCCTCTTTCAGGGCTTGGCTCCCATGATGAGGCTTGGGAATTGCCCAAGCTGTGAAGTGACCATTCTAATTCAAATTGTAGAAGTGATACGAAGGAAGGCAGGCAAACGTGCCATGAAATGGAGCCCTGTGCCGATTCCAGGTCTGTGGTGAGGAGAACCACGTGCGCAGGACAGGAAGGGCTTGGGAGGCCTGACTTCTGACTCTGCCTCTTACAGCTCTATGACCTTGAGCGAGGGACTTCTCTGAAACTCAGTTTCCTCCTTGAAAAAGGTTGTTGTTAGGATCAGGGGTGTTGATGTTGATGATAACACCTAAGACTTGACAGAGAATGGATGACCCAGAGGAAAGAATCTCAATTAGTGGATGTCAAATTGTGGGAGAAGCAGAAGAATAAGACAGCATTTGGTGCAGGAGATCTCAGATGCACAGAAATCACAAGATCCAGTTATCTAATCTGCCCAAGAGAAGCCAGAAGAACAGAACATGTACTCAACACCAACCACATGCTTGGAGCTGCCCACAGCTCTCTGCTTCTCTCCCTCTTACCCACCCCACCAGCAAAGTCTTCTCGGAGGACAGAAGCCAGCAGTCCTTGGATCCAATGAGGAATGGGAAGAACTCAGAGGCTGCCTGATCATGGATGAGTCCCTTAAAAATGCGGTGTTAACTCTTCTAGGCCACTTGAAAGCCACCAGGATTGACAAATTCTGGAAGGGGACCTAGGATGATGGTGTTGTTCCAGTATCATCAGAAAACTTTCCCCACGGACAGTGTCTCCTCCTCAATGCAGGCCATGGTCTGGTGTGGTGGGAAGAGCAGAGGCCCTGAAGTAGCCCAGGTCTCATCAACGCCTGACCAGCTCTTAAAGAAGAAACAGGTTCTGGGGGAGAGTGACTTGCCCACGGCCACATCGAGCTTGTGCCCAGCTCAGTCCATCAGTTTCCAGAACTGGCTCTTTCCAGCACATCAAGCTGTCCTGACCCTGTGTCTCTATATGGGCAAAAAAGCAATTTTCAAAGGAAGGTGAACAAGCACTCCAGCAGCCAAGCAAGACACTTAGCTATCACAGCCTGATACTGGAAGTCAGAAGAAACGCTGAGGATTTGGGCTGGGACCAGAATACCAGGGCAGCCATTTGATCATCTCCCTGGGGAAAGAGCTTCTCAACCTCTGTTTCAGGGGAACCTCTGTTTTCTCAAGTAGCCTGGGAGCCAATGTGGCCTTCAACCCTCTGGCAGGGACCCAGGGGAGCGAGGGCCAGCAGAACAGGCTCAGTGGCCAGCTAGACCACAGCATGGCTTCCTGCAAGGGCGAGGGGCCCTGCAGCTGACCCGCTAGGGCCCACCAAGCCTGCCAGACCATCCCTGCTGAGAATGATGGGGCCCAAGCTGTGCCAGAGGCAGGTCATGAGCCAGCCTGCACCCCAGGCCAGCACGCTCCCTGGTGCCCTGGGCACATTTAACAAGCCGTCAGCAGTGGAGTGGGGCAGAGCCAGGAGCCAGGAGGCAGCGCCGCTTCAGACTTCAAAGCTGGCGAGTGCTCCTGATGGCGTCTGCATGTTTACACTTGGTTGGGCCAATGCTGCCAGCTCCTGTGGCCCAGCCCTAAGGCCTTCCCTGACCGGCGCCAGTGGGTGCCAGACCCAGGATGGCTGGCACACCTGGCCTTATCCCACCACTGTGGAAGGGGGATGGTGTCTGCTATCACCCTAGCTGGGAACCCAGGCATCTGCATTTCCAGAGGAAAGTCCAAATAAATAGTACTGATGATACCCACTGTTTACCCAGGGCCCATTCTGTGCCAGGTGGAGTACTCAGCATGTTACATATAGCACATATACCTGCCATGTCCTGGGACCCAACTGCCAGCCAGCTAACATGCTAAGGTTGGGTATTGTCTTTGTCCTGCAGGTGGTGTGGACCTAAAAGAGATTTCTGAGTAAGAGCTGGCAGGACCCCCTTTGTTTTGCAGAAAATTACTGGGGTGGAGCTATGCATGCTGCCAGGGGCAAAGAGGGCTATGGTGAGACCCATGAGAAGGTGGTGGCTTGGGGAGGTGAGGAGGGCATCCTGGGGCGTGGTAACAGTGAGAAGTCTGCTGTGGAAGCCAGCAGGTATTGCAGAGCACTCACTGTCCTAAGCACCAGACCCTCACCTCCTCCTTCATGTTCACACAGTCCTGAAAAGTCATGATTTGTTACTAGTGGAGAAGCCTGGCTCCATAGGGTGAGTGGCTCCCAGACCATTGAGCTCTGCGGCTCCAGACGACCAGGTGCCCAGAGCCTCAGGGCGAGACTGGGATACAGAAGGGTAGGTGAGAGAGGCTGAGCCTCCCCTCTCTAGGCTGCCTGGGCCGGCCCTGCTCCAAGGATTTCTCTAGCACAGGTGACCTAGAACACCCCCCATAGCCCCCAACCTGCATTACTCCCCCCTGCAGGGTGAAGGGCCTAGCTTCGATGGCTGGCCCTGCCTGCCTCTTTAAGCTCCCTGTCCCTGCCCTCCCAGATGCCCAGGGCCAGGCATTATTTGGCCTCTATGCTTTACAGAAGCAGTCCCTGGACCTGGAATGCCCCTCCTCCACCTTCCTGTTTCCCCACATGGCCCCTAGTGTCTGTGCAGTGAACCTTCCAGTCTTACAAGATACACTTAAAAGGTCACCATTTTGTGCTTTTCCCTCACCAGCCTACTTCCTCCCACCTTGGCAGAGTTCCTTGTTTCCTCTCCTAGCCCTCTGCATATTCCTCTGATGCAGGCATGAGTCTCTGTCCTCCACTAGAAAGACCCAGTTTTCTATGAGGCTTTGGATCACTAAAGGAGGAGCAGCTGGTCTGAATCTGCATGTGGCTGAGATGCAAGTAACCTCCTGGGGACAGGACCCAGTGGTTCCAGCCTCGGCTTTTACACATCCTTCACCCCACATCATTTTTGCCAGATCTTTGCATACCCGACCTACTATTTACCTAATATATTTCTTTACATCTGCCTGGAAAGGAGACTTTATATAGTATCCTAAAGAAAAGAGTCACTAACCATAAACAGAGGAAGCTAATAGTAAAAGTACATACCATGCAAAAAAACCCCCAAAGAATAATCCTAGTTACATACTATTGCTACTAGAAGGCTCTGGAATCTTGGTCTTGTTTTCCATTTGTTAAAAAGCAGGTTAGAATGTAATAGAGGACTGTTAAAGACATCTTTGAACAAATCTAAAGCTTTCTCTGCAAAGTAATCAAAAGATTGAAAGAACACTGAAAAAGAGAAAAATTTTATTACTAAGATTCAACATTCTATGATAGTATGAGAAACAGCCTTAATCAAATGAGGAGCAATTTACTAGAATATGTGAAAGAATGAACACACACACACACACGCACACACACACACACGCACACGCACACACACACACACACGCATGCACACTTTGTATCTCTCCATATCTGCCTATATCTATATATAACTGCTTTGTTTCTCATTTTAGTGGTTCATGATTTTACTTTCTAAAATCTATTAGGGTTTTTTCTCTGTGGCCACAAATACAACTACAATCTAAGTTCCATGTGGGCAGAGATTTTGTCTTTTTCATTCACTGTTACCTCCCTAGCCCTTAAGACAACACACAGTAGATGTTCTACAAATATTTGTTTAATGTCAACTGCTGAATATTTAGTTTTGTAAATGTTCCAAGCCATAGGAAAAAAAATGTATACTCTATTCAAGGAGTGTAAGAGTTTACATTTATCTAAAAATCAAGCTTATTGAATATATTCTGCCTCGTTGTCCTTATGTCTAGTAGGCCTGATTTTAAAATATGGACTCTGAAGTGCCACCCTATCATTATAATTCCATCTTTTATCAAGCTGTCCCTAGGTTTCTACTGTTTTATTTTTATGTTTGGTATGTACAAGTTTATAACCGAGCCTTTTATCGTTACATGATGTCCTTCTTTACCTTTGTCAGTATTTAACCCAATCTCTCAGCGTTAGCATTTAAATAGAATTTGGCCATTCACATTTAGTGTAATGACTGATACTTAATGTTGTTCCTTCTGTTATTATTATTATTTATTAACATTGTTCTTTTTTCCTTATTTTTGTTGGTTTAATCAAATTCATTCCAGTTTCTCCTCTGAGAATGTGAAAGTGCTATTACATTTTCACTGCATTCATATAGTTTCTTTCCCTTTCTCTGTACTCAAAATCTTGCACATATTTCTATATTTTTACTTTGAAACAGGATACCAACTATTTCCCTTATCACCATATGCTCTAGTAGTCTTTCCTAAACCCTCTCCCCAGAAAGATTAGCCATTTAGAACACTTTCACTTCTTTTCTTCTCCCACTCAGGTGAGACCTCTGGATGTCTCTACCAATCCAAGCTCCCTCTTCTTCTTTTTTTTTTTTCTTCATTAACCCTTTATTACAAGTCACACTCTTATAGAAGTACACGTGGACTTATGTGAAAAAATCAAATGTATCCAAGAATAAAAAACACAGCACATAAAGTAGTATATGCATCCCAGTGTTAGCACAGAGACAGTGGGCACCCAAGAAAAAGCCCAATTCCTAAGGACTGCTGAGAGGGTTTAATGCTTTCAGCTGCAGATAATTATTAGCATTTTCCTCGCAGGGTGCTCATTCTATTTCAAGAGCCCTATTAACCATTTATATTAGGGGTTGGAAAACTATAGCCAAAGGGTCAAATTCTTCCTGATACGTTTCTGTATGGCCTGTGACCTAAGAAGGGTTTTTATATTTTCTAATGAGTTGGAGAATATCAAAAGAATATTATTTTGTTACATGTGAAAACTATATAAAATTTAAATTTCAATGTTCACAACAAAAGGTTTTATGGGAACACAGTCATGCCCATTTGTTTACATATTGTCTATGGCTGCCTTTGTGTCACAGTGGCAGAGTTGAGTAGCTGAGTCTGAGACCTGATGAGGTGCTCAGTAAACTACAGATGGTGGTAACATAGTTACAACTTGCAGTACCTCACCCAGTGACACATTTTATTTATTTATTTATTTTATTACTGGTGCATACCCATCACATGAAAACAAGAAAAGTGGACTTCAAATGTCACACTTTTAAGGCGCAGTGGGTATGGATTATTATTTTATCACATTACATGGCAAAGTACTGTGTTTGTTATTAGTTGTGTTAACAGAATATGAGATACACTGACATCACGATATTCCCATCTCACAGAAAAACAATGTCAAAAAAGAGAAAACTTAAAACAGTATATTTCATCATAGCAGACACGCAAAACAATAAAAAATAAGAATAAGGCTGCAACCAAAGTAGGTTTCCGGGTGGCTCATTTGTTAGCCAAGCAAGGAAAGCCATTTACCAATGGTAAGTTAATTAAATTGTGTTTGATCGAAGCAGCTGAAAGAAGAATCCAGAGAAAATAAGCTTGTTTAAGATTATTAGATTTGGAGCAAGAGCAGTTGTTTAGGTTTGGCCCATGGGCCATAGTTTGCTCTATGTAATACTAATGAGTTAAGCCACAACTGGTAGGGTACCTGACCAGCTTCCAGTGTGAGCCAGTGATGCAGACGCACAGGAAATAAAAACACAGTCTGCAGAGGCTTGGAAATTAGCATCTTCTGTGTTTCAATAACTGTCCTCAGCATCACATATTTACATCACGCTGTTATTTTCTTTCTAGACCTTATTATAACCTGAAAATGTCTAATTTACTGTTCACTACTAGCCTCCCCTAGGAAGACAAGAACTTTGTCTATCTTGTTGTATGCACAGTGCCTGGCACAAACGTAGGAGCACAGTAAACATCCGAATATATGAATGAAGGATGCCTTTATAGGAAATGGGATCAGAAGGCCTATATGCCTTAAGCCCCCCTGGCGGAAAGTGCTCACTTAACACATAGGTATAGTGCCAGGGTCTCCCTTTGTGATGAACTGAGATAGCTCAGAGACCCAAGCCCAGGTTCTCAGAAGGCTAACTGTGCTTGCAAAGTAGATGTGCTGGCCTTGCCCCGAATCACAGAGCAAAGGCTGGGTGCTGGCTCACCAAGGTGGTGGAGATTCTGCCCAAGAGACTG
Organism: Homo sapiens; assembly: GCF_000001405.40. Taxonomy (NCBI): domain Eukaryota; kingdom Metazoa; phylum Chordata; class Mammalia; order Primates; family Hominidae; genus Homo; species Homo sapiens. The sequence goes on along the minus strand of NW_019805490.1, from coordinate 214,709 downwards.
GATTTCACCTTTTCAAGATTCTCTGATCTTCCAGAAACTTCTTTGAATAGACATGTCCAGAAAGCTGACTAGTAACTGTGATGTGCCCAGGAATTTTTAGAGTCAGCCAAGCACGGTGGGGAAAGAAGAGCATAGGGCACTTCTCTGGCCCCTGCGCTGGATAACCACACCCATGAGCCTACCAGACTCTCAGCCCCTCCCTCTTCAACCAAAACTGTGTGGCTCCTGATAGGGACCAGGGGGATTGGCTCCTGTGCTTCAAAGAGAAATAATGGAGTCCCAGGGAAAAGAGTGGACCCACGCTCCAGGCATTATTATTTTGACTCTAAGAGCTTAAACATTAATAATGATAAAACAATAACGATGCAGTAGGAGACAAGCACTGATCTCAGAACCTTATGTGCAATCCCCCATCTCACCTTCATCTAACCCTGGTGCAGCACTGTGAAAATTCCCACTTAACATGGAAGTCTCATGGTCTGCTCAACTTTTCACACTAGCAGGTGGTAAGGCTGGGAGTAAATAAAGCCCAGGCTTGCACATTGGACCAGTCTGTCGGATGGCTGAGCCCCTGGTCAAGCAAGATGACCTGAAAATCTCTGGGTGATCTGGGGCCTACTCAAAGCAAACAGGGCTGCCCCTTTGGAACAAACTCAGCCAATCACTCAGGAGCTGCAACAGGAACACTACCTTCTTGCTTCACCTGATGAGAGTCGGCTCTTACATATGAAGCCACAAGCTATGGTGGCTCTTTCAAAACAACCTGATGAGGTCAAGACCATCCTTCGAAGGAATGAACAATTGAGATTAAATGGCTGCCCAAGGCGTACAGCTGTTTTGGGTACAGCAAGGGCTTGAGCCTACTCTGTATGATCTCCAAGTTCCACCTTACCAGGAAGGAAAGTCTCCCACCAAGGAGATTCGAGCTTTTCAAGAGAACGCAGACTCTTTTGACACACTGGGCAAGAATCTGTCTGACAAAGTGGAAATTTCATGACTCAAAAGAGACCAGCTAGTCCTGAGTTCAAACTCCAGCTTTACTACCCTGTGACCTTGGGCAGGTCACTTCACATTTCTTGGGCTGGTTTCCAGTCTGGCTGCCTTTGGGGAGGGGACCTGGGTTCGTAGGAAGAAAACTTCCTTACACTGAATAATTATTGTCTTGTTTGAAATTTTTTACCATGTGCATATATTACTTTTCCTAAATATTTGCACATAATTTGATTGATTTAATTGGGGAAAAATGTACATAGGAAAAATAATGACCTCTTCCTCAGGGTTATTAAACGGTTTCAAAATAAAGTATGTAGCTAGTAAAGGCGCATAGTATATGCTTAATCAGTAGAGTGGTGACAGAGTGGAGGGAGGCAGGAGGCAGGCTCATTCCTGCCCTGGGGCCCAGAGGAGAGCATGTGGCACAGAAGCCCCAGCCTACAGCCAGCCCCTAGCATTAAGGCAGGTGCCCATTCAGCTAGAGCCTCAGGGGGTTGCGAGTTGGGGGAGCTGCTCCTAGCCTGGGCACCCATGCCCTTTCCTCCCTTGTGGAGCCTCAGGAAGGCCTTCTTCCTCGACCAAAGCCCTGGGCTCATAGGATCTCACCTCTGCACACATCCACAGTCACCCTGTGAGGCTGTCCCTGGTTGGAGGAAGCCTGTCTCTGCTCAGGGTTGTCTATATGGGATTTGGACTCAGCTTCTGTGGACTGCCTACAGTTCTTGTGCTTCCACTTCCAGCCTCCCTGGACTGAGCAGGAAAATGCTGGTGGCCCCAGGTTGGTGGAAGGACATAGGCCAGGCATGTCTCCTGGCCCCTCCCTCAGCCCTTCGGAGGCATGAGTCATTGAGGCCATATGTTTACTTGCTCCTCACAGACCCTCCCTCCCAGTTCTCAAAGGAAGTGACTGCTGCACCGCTGTTGACAGGCCTGAGTGGGAGCAATTAGACCCAGGAGCCACACCAATTGGGATATTACTCTCTCATAGATATTTTACTATAGAATAATTATACTCCAAACACTGCTAATAAATCAGGCTAGACAAACGAGTGACACACACTTTATCACCTTCATCTTCAATCAGCATCTTGGGGCTGGCCTAAGGCTGATGGAGCCCTGAGCAGGCCCCAGCGGCCCCCCCGGAGCTAAGGGTCCAAGCTCTGGGTCTGAGGAAGGGAGAGGAAGGGGTTGCTCCTCAGTCCCCCACTTGAGGGCAGGTCTAGGTACAGGGGCAGGAAAAGAAGAGGGCCAGGGTGGAGCACCCAGGAAGAACCTAAGACAAGGAGAAAGGGAGGGGAAGGGGCTGCAGTGACAGAGAATTCCAGACGAGAAAACCAGTGGATTTTCTCCCAGAGGAGAAAACCTGTGGACGGAGACCTGGAGCGGAGGGTGGGCGATGGAAGCCCACCACATGTGACACCGTGGATGGGCCAGATGTTGTGCTGGCACCTGCACTAAACCCAGGGGACCTCATCAGGCTCCTGTGAGGAACTGAGGCCCTTGTTGAAAGCCTCAGGGCAGACCCCTCCTGCTAGGAGCCTGAGCCCCCGACAGTGGGGTTGCCAGCACTCCGTGCTCTTTAAGCCAGTCAAAGCCCAGTCATGTCCCAGTACAGCTGCTGCTGATCCGCTTGGACCCACAGCCAGGGAGCTAGCCTTCTAGAAGAGACGGCAAGGTTTGGCTGTCCATCCATCCTGCCTTCAAGGCCCGATGGGCATGGATTCCCACTCAGCACTGTGTGGACAGCTGCTGGGGATGGATGCCCCATGGGAGGAGGTGATTCCACTACTTTGGGGGAGACCACCGTGTTCTGTCCACCCTAGTGGCAGGCCCATCCCACCCAGCACTGGGCCCAGGTGCTGATGCACCACAGGACCAGCCGAGGGAGGCCCAGGGCCCAGTCAGAGTCTCCTGGGACAGAGCAGGCACCACCCTGAAAGCACAAGGCCAAGGGCCGCCCAGCAAGGCACAGCCAGGGCCTCATCCTACTTCAACTAGACTGGCTCACCTACATGCCTAAGGCCTGCATCTAGCGATGGTGAACTTCAGGCACCCTAGGTAGCCAGGGGCTGGACCTCCCACTGTGTCAGCTTCCTGTACCTTCCTTCCTCTTGCTCTCTGGCACCCTTAGCCCCTTCCCCTCAGTCCACAGGTGAGGAAAGACCTGGCCACCATTAGCCCCTTCCCCTCAGTCCACAGGTGAGGAAAGACCTGGCCTGGCACCACTGATGGGCAGTGTTTCCCTCTGGACATAAGCAGCTTGCAGGGGCACATGGGCAGATCCCAGCTGGATGGAGGTACAGTGCCCACCAAGGTCAAGAGAGTGGGGCCTGATCAGGGCAGCAGGCCAGGGAAGCCAGTGCTAACCGCTGCCATCTGACACTGGCTGTGGGGGAGCCCAGACCTGCTCAGACCCATGGGTGCCACATCTACCATGTAAATAAGTGGGGGTGGGATAGCTGGGTGGGATTGGGTACAGTGGGGGTCCCCCTGCCCAGGTGCTGGCCCTGGCTCTGTGACTGACCAGCTGAGAGAACTGTGGCCACCTGACCATTCTGGGCATCAGATGCCTTGTACAGAAACTACAGAGGTTGGCACCAGAAGGTCTCTGAGGGCCTTTCTGGCTCTCATCACAGATGTCAGGCCATGGATCCCAGCTGCCCGAGCAAGAAGGGAAGGGGTGTGGGGCCAGGCAAGGGCATGCTCACCCGCTCCACAAGGCCATGCTTGTGCTTCAGCTTGTACACCTTCAGCCTGGGCAGGAAGCTGTCGGCGTAGTTCCTGTCCTCTAGCCCGTGGAGCAGGATGCCATGGAAGGCTAGCCGGCACGTGTTGGTGTGAATGTCCGCATCTAGCCTGGAGCCAATCACCAGGCACAGCCGAGGGCAGGTGACGGGCTTCTCAAACTCCACCAGGGCCCACTGCTGCCGAGGACAATGGCCCTCTGTGGCCTGGCCGGCCTTCTTGTCGGCCTCATCATTGTCTGTCACTGCTGGTGTCAAATCCTTGGACAGGTACTGCTCCTGGAAAAGGTATTCTTGAGAGAAGTTGAAAGAGTCCAGTATAGGCTCCTGGTCAAAGTTATCTGGAGCAGGACTGAAGAACATCAACCGGCCCATGACTGTTTCATGGCCCACTGTAATGTGGAACTTGGCCTTGGTTTGCAGGGGCCCCCGGAAATACGGTATCTTTTCCACAGAGATGAGGGCCGCATGGACAGTGTGCAGGGACTCGGGGGCACACACCAACCCGCGCTCCAGCAGCTTAGGGTCAAACTGGGTGACGCAGATGCCCAGCCGGTCTCCTTGCATGGCTGAAGTGATGGGCATGTGGAACATCTGCATGGACTTCACCTTCTTCACCACCTGATGGGGAGTAAGCAAGAGAGCACATGAAACCAACAAGCCTCGGGGCTGTGGGGAGGAGAGGGGAGCTGCAGCTAGAGAATCCTGTGCTTACCACCACCTGCAGGCACCGTGAGGACCAGCCAAGGGGGGTCTGGGGCCCAGGCACACTCTTCTGGACCAGAGCAGGTACCACACTGAAAGCACAAGGCCGAGGGCCGCCAGCAAAGCAGGGCCAGGGCCCCACTCTCCAAGTCTCACTGTTCTTCTGGGGGAAAGGCAGGGGTCATAGCAGCCAAATCCCTGACTACCTTAGTTCCCTTCACCCCTGCTCCAATCCAGGCTCCAGTCCCTCCAAGTTCCTCCCTTCCATCAATCATGCTAGCATTTTCCAGCCCTCTGTCCAGGTTTGCCTGCCTCCTCCCCCAAGAATGGCCTCCCCAGCTGCTCAGCTGGCCAAGCTGTGCCCATTTGCCCTCTAAAGCCCGGGACAAACACCACTGCTCTGGAAAGCCTGTCCCAACTCCCAGTGGCAGAACTTGACCCTGACTCCTTAGTGGTAACCCAGCCCCTCTGAATCCCACAGCCTGCTGCATGGTCACTGTCTATTGTGTATCTGCTGCCTGCTGGCTTGTGGGTAGCCTAGGGCAGGATCTCTCTTCATTCATTCAACACATATTCCCAGAGTGCCTATTGTGTGCCAGGCACTGTTCTAGGGGAAGAAATACAGTGACCTCTGTTTCCAAAGAGCTTAATATCTTGAAACAACAGCAACAACAAAATTACCTATATAGGAAAAATTATATATATTAATTCAATTCATATCAATATAAAATTAATATATAAATTACATGCATGCAAATATATATTAATATAATTATATAATATTAATCTACATTAATATTATATGACTATATTAGACAACATATGCTATAAAGAAAACAAGGCCAGGTGATGTGATAGAGAAGGCCTGGGTGGGGTAAAGGTCTCGAAGAAGTGAATTTGAGCTAAGACCTTAGCATAAGAAGCAGACAGCTGTGTGAAGACCCACAGAAAGACAGCTCTAAATGGGGCAACTGATAAGTGCAAGCCCTAAGAGGGCAGTAGCTTGGTGAGTCTGGGAATACACCGAGGCAGGAGGGCTACAGCAAGGGTGGGGAGGGAGACAGCAGGGAGGGAGGCTGATATGGTTTGGCTGTGTCCCCATCCAAATCTCATCTTGAATTGTAGCTTCCTTAATTCCCATGTGTTGTGGGAGGGACCTGGTGGGAGATAATTGAATTGTAGGGGTGCTTTCCCCCATACTGGTAGTGAATGAGTCTCACTAGATCTGATTGTTTTATAAGGGGAAACCCCTTTAACTTGGCTCTCATTCTCTCTCTTGCCTGGTGCCATGTAAGACGTGCCTTTCGCCTTCCACCATGATTGTGAAGCCTCCTCAGCCACGCAGAACTGTGAGTCCATTAAACCTCTTTTTTTTAAAAAATAAATTACCCAGTCTTGGGTATGTCTTTATCAGCAGCGTGAAAACGGACTAACACAGAGGTCAAGGCTCGGGCCCCACAGTAGAGTGCAAGGCCCGGAAGTCACTGGAGGAGTTTAGGCAAAGGAGTAACCTGATCTTATCTCTGTTTCTAAAATATCACTGACTACTATACTGGGCAGATTTCTGCATTCACAGTTTGTAAATCAGGAACAGACATAGAAAAGTCTCCAATAAAAGTTCCTGAAATGAACAAACATTCCTACCTATGATCCACTGTCTCTGAGATGAGAGGAAACTGTTCATGGATTTGAAGCAGAGAAATATGTAACATATTTCAGAAGACCTGCCATCAAAAATAGTTAAACTAAAGAGAATTTTGACACTTAGGTTGCAAGCATCCCTGTCTACCGAGTCAGGGTGTACGAACACTCATTTTCTCCCTGGATAAAGGGAGAGTGTGTTGCTAATGGCCCATGAGCCCAGGACCTTTCCTGGAGAGCCATAATACTCAAGTGTTTGTTTAAAGATCATTAACTACCTAACCAGAGGTCAGGGGGCAGAGAAAGTGAGACGCACAGTGTCAAAAGCCACAGCCAAGATCAATCACAAAGAAACAGAAAACATCTCTGAAATGGTCTGAAAAGGCAATAGGAGAATGAGATTTTTGGGAACATTACTCAGAGTCACTGGAGAATATCACCTTACACTAAGCGTCGTCTGCCCAGTGAGGTGGGGCCCAGGTCACAACTCTTCCCTCCCAGGCGCCTGCAGCAGCCTGTGCGGCTTTCTAAAATGTTTCTCTGATAAAGCAATTGTTTGTCACCACCTCCTTTGTGGGCTCCCATCGTCTACCTCATGGCTTTCAAAGCTTGTCATGGTCCTGCCACGAGCAGGAAGATCCTCTGGTCAGCTGGAATTCTATGGGGACTCCCTGTGATGGGTGGCGGTCTCCTGGTACCCCCTCCACCGCCCCACAAGGCAATCTGCTGAAAAGCCTCACTCACAGGGCTGAGCCCCCACTCCTTAGCTCAGCCACCAGGAAGCCTCCACCATGCAGCCCAACTCCACAGCCTTTTCGGCCCCACATTCTCCCCAACCCTGAAAACGTAGCCAAGGGACTCTTGAATGAATCCTTGTAAATGCTGTGCTTCTGAATGTCTCTGTGCTTTGCCCCTGAGGCTGCTCCCTGGGATTTCTTCCACTGGCAAATTCCCATTCGTCCCTAACCCCTGCTCCCATGGACCTCCTAGAAGGGCTTCTCTGATAACTCCAGACACAGCTGACCATCGGAACCTGACTCACTGTTTGGTTACCACTACTTTACAGGTCAGCCCCAGCCTCTGTGTGCCGACAGATTTAAATTATATACGAAACACCCATGAGTTCATTGCCCTTTCCGCCCCTGAACTACATTATCGATAACTCATACCTACCTGTGTGGTCCTCCCCACTCAGCATTCCCACCTGCCCCAGCGGGAGGGTGCCGCTGCCTTGAATTTGGCGCACAGCATTCCCTTTCTTTTTATACACACGTGTGTATGATTGTGTAAAGGCTCACTACATATGTAGTACACATTCCTAATCAGTAATTTGCTTTGTTGTATAAGTTTCTGAACTGTATGAATAAGGCATTGTGCCAGTTATGATACTAAAAACCTGTGCACATAGTGCATGCACCTGCAGCTCATTTGCTGCCGATGCCATCTGCTGCACCTTGTGTATTTAGCACAACCTGGACTCCTATCGATGTGCACTGGGGGTGTTTCCAGTTCTTTGCTGGAAAATGCTGCAATGAATTTCTTCTGTCACAAGGATCCTGCATGGGCACATGTGCAAGGGCTTCTCAAGGACACAGTTCCTGGAGTTGAACTGCTGGATTGCAGGGTGAATGGCTGTTCAACTTTGCTAGGTAGATAAATCAACTTCTATCAATAAGGCCCAAGACACCCCATTGATACACGTCTGCTCCAACATTTGGCACTGCTAGATTTCTTAATTTTGGCCTATCAAATGTGCATCTCTTCCCTTCTAAATCCCGAGACAAGGACTGTGCTCTCCCTATGCTGCGTCCTCAGTGCCCAGCACAGGAGCTGCTGAGAAACCTGGTTGTGACAGGTCCAGATAAACGCCCAGCCGCTCTGAAGAGAGTGACTGCATCAGATTCTGGAAAAGAAATGCCCCTTGTGGCAAAATCATACCTGGCAAAGCACCGAGCTGAGATTCCAGACGTGCCGGGGCTTGAGCGAGATCCTTGTGTTTATGAGCCTTCCTGTGAGAGAGGGCGGCCAGGGGCCTCATGCTGCCCTGATGCCCCTTCCCCCTCCTCCTCCCCATCAAGCCGAACGTCAAGCAGGCTTTATTCAAAGCATGTTCTCTTTTCAACAGGGCTTGTGTTCTCAGGACTGAAATCATAAAGAATGCCTTACCAGGGCACCATGAAGAGCACAAAGATAAATAACTGTGCAAATCAAGATTTTAAGGGCCTAGACAGGAAATTGTGCAGCAGATAAAGATGGGGACAGGGCAGCATGGCACTCCCATGGGTTCTCACAGGCGCATGCAGACAGCATTGCCACACGGGGTGGTCAGTGAGCCCACGCTCACTGAGGGACGCTTCGGAACAGAAGACCCATTTAGAACACCAGAGATAAAGAAAAGTAGATAATTTTACCAACCTAAGAATGAGAAAAACAGGCTTTCCTTTTAGTCATTTATCTTCTAGCCAACTTTGAGGGCCTCTCTCCATCTACTGAATAACTCACTCCTCAAACATTCGCTAATGTCCACGGGGCGCAGCTGAGGTGGCGCACGCACATTCTCTCAACACGTGGGTAGCAACCTTCTCTCAGGACCAGGCCCAGGCTCTGGAATGCCAGCAGGACGAGCAAAACAGATAGTTTTAGACAGTTGGGTTCTATAAAGTCTGCTGTCTTCTAGAGAAGAAAGATGTTAATTAGATCACCACTGAATACATGAGGAATTATGAAACTGTGGGAGGTACTGTGAGAAAAAAGGATGAGGCTGTATGAGAGCGAACAACTGGGAGACCTAATTCATTGTGGGTAGTCAGGGAGGACTTCCCTGAGGAGGTGGCATTGGAGCCAAGACCAGATCGGTAACAAACCACCCACAGGGATTCCAGGCAGAGGGAAGAGCAGAGCAGGCCTAAGGCCCTGGGCAGGGGAAGAACCAGGCCCCCAGTGGAACTGCGGGTGGCAGGGCTGGCTGAGGTGCGGTGGTCCAGGGAGGCAGCAGGTTGGAGACATGGGCCAGCCACCATTGCCATGGGACAAAGCACCAGGAAGCCACCAGTGATGGGGCACAGGGGATGGCAGAGGAATGACACTGCCAGTTTGCGGTTTTAAAAGATGCAAACTGGCTATACAGTTTGGGGAATAGATTCAGGGGAGGTAGAGAAGTAAGAAAGGAAACATGGAAATTAGCAAGGAAGATACTCAGAGTTCAAGACATATTTTGGTGGTGACAGACTAGATGTGGGGACAAGGAGAGACTGGTGTGTAAAGAACAGCTGGTGTGTAAAGAACAGCTGATGTGTAAAGAACAGCTCCCAGGTTTCTAGTTTGAGGATCTGCCTCATGCTAGGTGGGAGCAGGGAGGAGCCAGCTTCAGGGGAGGGGAGCTGGGAGTTCTGCAAGTAGGAGCTGTCTCTGAGGCTGCCAGAGAGACACAGACGTCTGAGTTCCAGGGGAGGTGGAGACTGGAGCTGGGAGCATACAGACTTACACCCAACTGCCTCTTTGAATGGCTGACAGGCATCCCAGCTTACTACGCCCAGAACCTAAAGTCTCCTTCAGCCTTCTGCTTCTCCAGGGCAACGCTCTGATGTCAGGGGAAAAGCTGGGGCTTCCACCCACCTGGACTCTCCTTGTCCTCTTGTAGCTGTAACCAGCCATCAGGAGACAGGGTCGGCTCTACCTTCCAAGTAGGTCCAGTGCCTGACCCCTTCCTGTCCCTGCACTGCCTGCCCTGGTCCCAGCCTCACCTGGCTTGGATTGTTGCCCCCTCCCCCGCAGCCTGTTCTTCCAAGAGCCTGTTCTTCCCCACAGCCTGTTCTTCCTGTTCTTGGGAAAACACAGATGATGTGACCCTGGGGTTTGCCTCCAGGCTCTCCACTGGCCTCCCATCTCACTCTGTAAAAGCTGAAGTCCTTTCCAGGACTCACAATGCCACACAGCCCCCGTGATGTCTCTGACTTTATTTGCTGTGACCCCGACCCACTGTTCACATCCCTTCAGTCATGTGGGCCTTGCTTCCCATTCCCTGAATGTGCCAGGCATGCTCCCACCTCATGGCCTCTGCACCTGCAGTTCCTCTCTTCCTCACTTCCTTCCCATACCTGCTTGGATGCCACTGTATCAGAGCCCCTCCTCAGTCACCCCACCCAGCAAGAGACAGGCATTGGCCTATCCCTGTCACTCTCTAGCACCTTGCCCACTTGGTTTTTCATCATAGAGCTTCCCAACGCTTGGCATCCCTTTGTTCACTGGCTGTCACTCCCGCACTGGAATGGAACCTCCATGAGGACCAGGCTTTGCTTTGTTTTTTTCCATTTCTATCTGCAGTGCCCAGCGCCATGCCTGGAATGTGGGAGGCCTCAATGCAAGTGGGAAGAGTAACTGAAAGGAGCCAAGCCACATGGGCCCTCTTTTGGGGAGCTCCTCCTGGGCCCAAGCTCCACATTCACAGCTGCAGGAACAGGGTGGTCCTGGGGCTGGCCAGGCCCTCAGAGGATCCACAAAACCCCAAGGGTAAAGAGTCTACCAAATGGGAGGATAGGGCTGGGGCCTGCTGCCCAGGGGCCCCCAGTGTCCCAGGCGGGGTACGCAGTGAGAAGGGCAGCAGAGAAGGCTGGGAGGTGGAATGGGGAGAGGTGCTGCTGCCCTATACCACCATGGTGGCCTCTGGGAGGTCCGTCCCCTGAGCCTAGCTCCCCAGAGGGCATGGGTGATTGCAGAGGCTCTCCCTCACATCCTTCCCATCCCTCCAGCACCAAGCACTTCTGGGGAAGGAGGGAGGGAGGAACACATCAAACAAGCAAACACTTTTTAAAACTCAAGTTCGTGCTTGCTAAGCAGTTTGGTCCTTTCTGATTAACAAAGAAGCTTTGCCATCCTCTGGGTCAGTTATTCTTCATAAAAAACCCCACAGGCAGGTCAATATTTTGACATTCAATTTTATGGATGAAGAAACAGAGGTTTTTGATGTCTCCAAGGTCACAAAACAAATAGGCTGAGACTTGGGACGATAAACGCTGGGACTGCAAGGCAGGCCTGATGTTCCACGGCCTCAGCTCTGACAGTCGAGCAGAACCACACCCTGCCCTGCCAGACTCGGGGCTCAGCCAGTCAGGGTGCTGGCAGCAGGCAGCAGGCAGCTGTGGCTCCTGAGTGATTGAACATGTAGAGCCCACACAGCCTGAGCCCAAAAAGATGGCTCCTGGGGCAGAAGCAGAGAGGGAAGACTCAAGACAGGGGACTCCTCGCCACCAGTGTGACTCTCACATCAATGCCAATGGGCAAGTAAGATGAGCCCCCTTTCTCGGGTGAGAAAGCAAAGCCCAGGACAGTCAGGCCTGCCTCGAGACTCAGATGTGGCAGAGGCAGGTTCAGTCTAGGCTGTCTCACCTGGAAGCTCATGCCAGCAGCTACCCTGGGGAAGGTCAGCAGCAGCCCTCTCCCTGCTGGACTTGCCCATGGAGTTTTCAGAGCTAACTCTCAGCTGCATCCCTCCCTCCCAACCTCCCATGTTTCCTGTTTTTGAGTAGCACAATATGCCCAGTTTGCTGATCAAGTGGATGAGAGAACAAATGAACACCCCCTTCTGACTGCTCCCAGGCCCGATGAGCTCGATACTCCTTCTGGCTTTTCGACTGTCTTTCAACTTAGCTTTCTGGTGTTTTGAGGATTCTGCATGGTAGTGTGCCCAGCATGATCTGGTTTCCCTTTACCATGCACTTTCTGAGGCTACTGAAAACATCCAGCAGGAACAGTTTGAGGTGGAGTCATCCTGTGCTCATCTCTGTTCTCCACAGCATCTTGCATGAAATAGTAGGCACTCAACTGAAGTGCACACGAGCTGCATTATGTTACCACAGGGCCGATATGGAAGATGGAGAAAGAGTTGGATACCTATGATGGGGAAAATCTTTACACACCTGATTCCATTCACTTCTAATGATAGTGGCTAATGATGATCTCACTTTACAGACAAGGAAATTGAAGCCCCCAGAGGTTAAGACATTTATTCAAAGCATGCAATCTGCCTGTCATTAAAGCACATATTCTCTTACTACATCACACCAGAAAAACACACTCCACCACAGAAGTCCAAGATGAAACACAATTCAGCACAGCGATATCACTAACATGGGCACTCCTTCTGTCAGGTAAGAAATGGACAGCCCACACCATCACAACAAACTTTAAAGGAACAGCAGTGTTGGGGGGTCCCTCCAGCATTTTACAGAATCAACAGATGCTTGAGTGAAGCAGGTAACAGACTTGTGCTTAGCAGCCTTTCTAATGTGCAGAGATTTTGTAATAATGTACCAGCTATAATAAGATTGGACCTCTATTATCCATTTTGTTCCACTAATGAGCCTGGAAGCTCCTGGTTGTGCCAAGGGCTAGGGTTGGGACCTTGCAACTTCATCATTACTTAATAAAATGTAAATCGGAGAGGAAAAGAAACACACAAGGTTTGACACTAATAAGCTTACAGCAGGATCAGTTACTTCAATTCAAAGAGGTTCAGGCTGGAGGGGAAAAATGAAATAAGCTTTTAAAGATCAGTCTAGGTTTGGCTCCATCAGACCTAACCAATTTTGTTTAATAAGGTTCAATTTGGCTGCTCTTATTTCTCCCTCTTCTTCGACCTAGGCTGGGTACAGATAAGACATTTTCCCCCGCCTAATGCATTTAATCACATCTCACACACAACAAGTCAAACCTAGGGCTGTGCATGAGGACAGAGCAGTATGGGCCCTGGAGACTGCCAGCGCTGCCCCTGCAGGTTGAGATCCCAGCTCCCCAGCACCACCTCTGGGGCTGCGAGAGGGAACCTCAGGTCACCTGTTCAAGACCAGCCTGGCCAACATGGTGAAACCCCAACTCTACAAAAGTATAAAAATTAGCCGGGCATTATGGCGGGTGCCTGTAATCCCAGCTACTTGGGATGCTGGGGTGGGAGAATCACTTGAACCCAGGAGGTGGAGGTTGCAGTGACCCGATATTGCGCCATTGCACTCCCGCCTGGGTGACAGAGCGAGACTCCGTCTCAAAAATAAAAAATACTCAATGGAGCACTTTGGATTTTGGATTTCTGGATTTCAGATGCTTAACCTGTTAAGTATATCATGCTAATATTCCAAAATCCAAAACAATCTGAAATCGAAACACTTCTGGTCCCAAGCATTTCGGATAAGGGACATTCAACTTGTATAGACTTATTAGTGTAAACAGTGGCACCATGTTTGTAGTTAATTTACTACTTGCCTCCCTCCTGCAGCAATATATTGGTGACATCTATTCATATTTGTGTGTGTGTATATACATATATATACTACCATACACATGTGTGTGTATATAACATGTGTATATATACACACATATATGCAGCTGTCAAAAAACATACAATAACATATATATGGTATTCTTTTTTGACAGCTGTATAGTATTTCTTTATATGTCATTTATCCATACCCTTAATGGACATGTGAGTTGCTATTTATACTACTAGAATGATTTCACGGTGGCCATTTCTTTATACATCAAATTGTATATATACATAGGGTTTTTCTAGCATAGATATCTGGATGAGAAACTGTGGTGTTGTGGGACACAGTTTCAGTTTTACTAGATCTTGTAGATTTTTCTCTAAAGTGGGTGGTTACGCTTCCACCAGCAGTACAAGAAATAACCTCTTCCCCACACCCTCCCCAGCACCTGAGGCTGCAGGCCTTTAAATTTTTGCAGTCTAATAGATAAGGTGTGCTGACCCATTGCTATCTTAGTGTGCAGTTTCCAATTACCAGGAAAAAGTCTCTCCTAGAAGGGGTCTCTGGAGTCTCCCCAACATCTACTGTCCCACCCACAACTCCTAGGGGTGGCAAAGTGCATGTACCTCAGCCACTATGTGAGCCAGGTGCTCAGTGACACACACAACTCTTTAGGAAGGGGAGATGCATGGAGGAGAAGGGGAGAAAGGAAGGGGGATGCATTGAGGAAGGAGAGGGAAGAGGGGAGATGCATTGAGGAAGTGGGGAAGAGGGGAGATGCACTGAGGAAGGGGAGGGAAGAGGGGAGATGCCTTTAGGAAGGGAGGAAGAGGGGAGATGCATTTAGGAAGGGGGGAAGATGAGAGATGCATTGGGGAAGGGGTGGAAGAGGGGAGATGCACTGAGGAAGGGGGGAAGAGGGGAGATGCATTGAGGAAGGGGGGAAGAAGGGAGATGCATTGAGGAAGGGGGAAGAGGGGAGATGTACTGAGGAAGGGGGGAAGAGGGGAGATGCACTGAGGAAGGGGAGAAGAGGGGAGATGTACTGAGGAAGGGGGAAGAGGGGAGATGCACTGAGGAAGAGGGGAGATGCACTGAGGAAGGGGGGAAGAGGGGAGATGCACTGAGAAGGGGGGAAGAGGGGAGATGCATTGAGGAAGGGGGAAGAGGGGAGATGCATTGAGGAAGGGGGAAGAGGGGAGATGCACTGAGGAAGGGGGGAAGAGGGGAGATGCACTGAGGAATGGGGAAGAGGGGAGATGCACTGAGGAAGGGGGGAAGAGGGGAGATGCACTGAGGAAGGGGGAAGAGGGGAGATGCACTGAGGAAGGGGGGAAGAGGGGAGATGCACTGAGGAAGGGGGAAGAGGGGAGATGCACTGAGGAATGGGGAAGAGGGGAGATGCACTGAGGAAGGGGGGAAGAGGGGAGATGCACTGAGGAATGGGGAAGAGGGGAGATGCACTGAGGAAGGGGGAAGAGGGGAGATGCACTGAGGAAGCGGGGAAGAGGGGAGATGCACTGATGCCCCCTGCCCCCTTGTGCCCAGGCTGGGCTCGGATTCCCAAGCGTCAGTAAGGCCCTTGCACACAGCGTGGCTAGTGTTACCTGGAGCCCCACAGGAACACTGCTGCCCTGCCCAGCTCTCCTCACCCCTGTGGCGCCCTGTACCCAGCTGAATCCCACTCACTGAGACCTCAGGGGTCCCCCGACCAGCTCACAAAACCTGTTCTGAGTCTCCAGGCAGACCAGGACGCTCCTTAAGCCCCGTAACCTGTTAGCATCTGTCCAGTGTGTGCCTGTGCGCTCTGTTGTTTCCTGGATCGGGCAGACAGCCCCAGGTAGACAGGCTGGGTTTATTTTGCTCACCACCGATCCTCAGCACAGTGCCTGCCACATGGGGCACACTCTGAGAGGAAGGGAATGATCTGGCTTTCTACCATGTGGCCCAGCAAAGGCCCCTGACCATCTGTGGCGACCTTACAAACAAACCCTCGTGATTAACCTCCCAGTCACTGCAACAATGGAAAACCATAAAAGTGACAAGGGGCCTACCAGGGAGCTTCACCAGGGAGCTTTACGCTCCTCCTCCCAGCCACCCCAAGTATTTGCCATCCCATAAAACTTTAAATGAATTACAGCAATGCTGGATTCTTCTGTTTTCTATACAACTGGGACTTTGTTTTTAATGACATCCCTGGGCTTTTTAGGGGGTAAGGAATCCTTGGGAGGTAAGCCAAGGGATCCAGCTCTGTTTTCAGGGCTGAGCCAGAAAAGCCATCACCGCCATGGAGCAGTGAACAGTACCTCACCTGTGGGCCCTGGGCCTGAGCAAAGAGCCCAGGTGGGTCTGGGTCTTAAAGGAATGGATCCAAGGTGGACAGAAAGATCCCCACAGTTCCAAGGCTACCCTGTCCTTCAGCCAGGTTTATGAAAGCCCAGCACTGGCCATGTCCCTCCTATGTGTGGCTCCCACAGCTCCCGCCCCTCAGGGCAGGCTGCTGGATGGGCACACAGGCCTGTGGCCATCTGGCTGGCTCCTGAGCACTCCTCAGCACTGCCCTCAGCACCCTAAGCTTGGGCCAAGTCCAACTCATGGCCTAGAGGCCCGATGGTGCCTCCCAGCCCTGTGCCTGGGCAGAGCTGGCTTCCTGACTGCCAGGCCCCTCCTCGTCCTTCCAGCCTTACTCCAGCTAGAGCAGGTCATGCTGCCTGCCCACCTTGGCCCCCACAGCCCCCGCCACTTGACCCCCACTTTATCTCCGATACTTGCTATGTAGCCATGCCTTTAGCTCCTGCCTCCTGTCCAGACTGAGAGCATCAGCGGGGGTGGGGGGGGGTGGGGCTGGGTGGCACTAATCTCCGTCCCTGGCACAGAGGAGCATGCTCAGGAACGTCCGTCACACTCAACTGATGATCCCCTGCACCCCAGTGCAGCTGTGCAGGGGCAACATCACTTGGACTCACATCCTGCAGGAGCACTGGCCTGTGGCTGCTGGCACCAGAGCATCAGCAAGGCTAGACAAGGGTATGACCAGCAAGCCAAGGGCAGAGACAGGGGCCCCAGGGAAGCTGCCCAGCAGCTGAGCCTGGGCCTCGCTCTCCCTCCGTGGGTGCTGGAGGGGGAGTGGTTGAAGGCATTTGGGTCCATGACAGTAATGATAAGAAGAAATAGGGAAGAAGAAAAGAGAATCATCACTGTGACAGTGAGCAAGGAGGGTGAGAGGCGGGGTGCCAAGGATCACACTGGGACTCAGTCATCCAATTGAGCTGCCACTGCGAGCCTCCTGAGACACAGGGTATCCTATTCCAAACCCAAATCCCAGGGACTGAGGTGGCTGCAAAAGGGGGCTGCTAGGTCTGGGATGTATTTTCAAATTCAAAATTCAACCTGCCACTATTTCTTGAGGTGGATCAAAGAAAAAGGAATGCCACCTACATTGTTAATCCCTGTAAAACGGCGAGGCACTCTCACCTGGCACGGTGCTGTGGGGCCTCAGTGGACACTGGATACAAGGCTCGGAGCCCCAGGAGGCCAGCCCCACCCCCTGAGGGGCAGTTCCCTATGTGCCACCAATATGGCATAAAAGCCCTTGTAATCCAAGGGATGTAAAGCAGTGGTGACCCTAAGAACTGACTTTCTCTCTAGGTTTATTCTTTTGCTCATAATTTCTGTTTATTACAACTTTAGCCTTACAGACAAGAAACTACAAGAGCTTTATGACATTCCATTGTTATCCTTACAACTTGCTGGAAGGGCAGGCATGCAATGGGCTTACGGCCCACTCCTTGGTCCTGGGGTGCACCAGGGCATCTAATTTGCACCCCACACCTCATCCCATGGCCTGGACCTTGCCTACCTGCATTCTGACATCTGGACGGCGCATGTGGCTTGAGGCATGGGCTCCTTTTACTCCACAAGATGGCTGTTAGACTGTGATTCTGTTTAGAGCCAGAATCACCCCTGCACTCACCTCCCACCCCACTTAGGCCTGGCCCACTTCTGTGGGTGCCCACTGTCAGCAGTGAGCATGCTGGACTTGGGGCCAGATTCACTGAGGTTGGAGCTGTGGCTCCAGCTCTGAGCTGTGGGCAAGTTCTGTAACTTCTAGACTTCAGTGTCCTCACCAATAGACTAAGGGTACCAGGTCCTAGCCACAGGGATTCTGTGAAAATTGAAGGAGGCAGCATGTGCCTAGGGTCTCCCTGAGCCCTTGTAAGTACCAAGTCCTCAGTGAACTGTGGTGGCCCCCAGCCCTTGTTCACGGTTCAAGCCTCAGCCTTTGGCTCCTTCCTCATGGGCGCCCTTCCCATAGCCCACGAGCCAACAAATCCCAGAGTTCGCCTGCCTCACACCCACAGTCTCTTTCTGGTCACTGGGCCTCACTTCTTGCTCAGACACCCATAGCAGCCGCCCCCTCCTCCATGTACTGCCAGGCCACTTCCCTAGTACAGAGCCTGGGTCAGGCTAGGTCCTCAATGAAACCTGCCAGGGCTCCGGGTGCCCTGGTGCTCACCCCTGGCCTTCCTCCTGCATCTGTGCAGTGCTCTCCAGAGCTCTGGGCTGGTCTCCCAGCACACTCCCTGCCTCTGCCCTACTGTTTATCCATGTGGAATGCCTTCCTGCACATCTTTCCCAGCACTCATTCTTCATGGCCCATCTCCCTTATTCCTTCCACTGGCTTTAATTCAACACGCTCATGTAGCACCTACTCCATGGCAGGCCATGTGCTGGCCTTGGGATGTGGGGGAAGCCATGGCCCTTGTCCTCCGAACTCCAGACTCACTGGGGAGACAGATGTATAAAGTATATTTAGAATATGATGTGTATTCATATTTCATTAGAATATGAAAGTATTATGAGGGAGGCAGCAGAGAGGAGGACATCTGAATTGGGTCTGGAATGACAATGACATACAAATGAGATCGGGAGAGAGGGGGACAACCTTGGGGGGGGGGGGATGGGAAAAGTGCAGGGAGGTGCCAGGGCAGGTCTGAGGCAGAGTTCTTGATACCTCCCAGGAGAGCGCTGTGCAGGTGTACACAAGAAGATGGTCAGTGCAGCACAGGGAATAATCACAAAGACAGGGCAGCAGTCTGAAAGTCCATCAGTGGGGACATGGCGATGTGTGACATGAGGTGTCCACACTGATGAGCACACGTGGGGGCAGGCAGTGTGGTAGCTCTGTGTGTAGTGATGAGGCAAGGTCTCTGAGAATCCATGTGGGGCATGGCCAGAAAAGTGCAAACACTGCTCAGAATATGATGCCACACATTCACACATTTACACAACAGTGCTGTGCATTTCTGTGAGCACAGCGCATAGAACAAGGGTTTGGAAGGTTAAACCCAAAAGAATTAACAGGATCTCCTCTAGATGAGAGGCCAGGATGGGATGTGATGCAACAGGCCTCCTTTTCCCTTAACTGAAAGGTTTCAGTTTTGCTACAGGAAATTCATGAATTGATTGTGTGATTAAAACTTAACTATTTAAGAATAAAAAGACAGATTTTCTAGTCAATTAAATGTAATAGAATCCAGTTCCAATCAGTTTACTCAATACAGACTGACAGTCTACTCTGAGGCAGACTCTGGGGGAGGCCAGCCCTGGGCTGAGAGGAGGAAATGGAGGGGTCAGGTGCTGGGAGGAAGAGAAGCACTTCTGAGCCTCCTGGCTGGGTCTGTCACACTGCTGGCTTGAGTCTCGCCTTCCCCAGCAACACCTGGAAGCCACCACCATAAGATGAGAAGCCAGAATGCCCAACCCACATGAGAAAATCGAGGTGCTCCTTGCTGAGGTAACTGGCCCAGGATGGGAGACTATCTTTTCCCTCCATCTACAGAAACAGCTGTACCACCTGCCAAGATGGGGTGGGCAAAAGAGATGGTGGGAGTCTCTCAGTTCTCCACAAAATAAAAAGGGCAATGCAGTAAAGTGTGAGGTGCAATCCAAGCTTCACGCAGTGCCTGGCCCAGCAGCCAGAGAGCAGGAGGGCACCACAGGCTGGGCCCAGGAGCCAGGCACTCTGAAGACACCAATATATTTTGTACTAAACTTGAGCGCACCAGCCCTAACTCTGAGGTGCCTGGGGGCAAGCATCTGTTCCTCACTGCAGTTGTCTGGAGACAATGACAAACCCCTCATGCTTCTATCCCTCAACACCCCCTCCAGATGCTCCCCCAGCACCACACAAGATCACACTGGTCCAGCCTTTCTGGAATGCTCTCATCATTTCTACATTTCTTGTCCAAGAATTCCACCTCAGGGAAACTCTCCAAAAGTCAAAGGTGGATCACTGGAAATATTCACCTTAGTATGATAAAATATTCACCTTATTTAGGATAGGCAAAAGATGGAGACAATCTAGCTGCCTAACAATAGAGGAATGGCTAAATAAAACAGCAGGCAAGGTGTTACATAATAAAATATATGAAGCACTTTTATCAGCATGGAAAATGTTTTCTCTGTAATACTGAACCAATAATCAAGGTATAAAAATGTATTTAAAATACAGTCTTAACTATAGTTAAGGGGGAGGTTTTTTTTCCCAGTTTCTTTATACTCCACAAAAATGTCTAAAGTAATCACACATTGCTTTCATACATGAAGAAAAGGTTCAAAAAGAAATACCTAAACTAAAAGAGAAAGACCATCCCACCAGGTTGTAGCTCGGTGTTGTGCCTGGCTCCTGAGGCTGCAAAGACTCTTAGGAATTCCTCCCCGTGCAAACATCTTCCCGGAGAGCCTGCTGCAGAACAGGCCTTCTACAGGGCACCTGAGACCACTC
This sequence comes from Homo sapiens, assembly GCF_000001405.40. Lineage (NCBI taxonomy): Eukaryota > Metazoa > Chordata > Mammalia > Primates > Hominidae > Homo > Homo sapiens. Next base: position 194,583 of record NW_019805490.1, on the reverse strand, counting down.
TCTCCAACCTCACCACCACCTGACACCTGAGGAAACTGAGAGTCAGTAGCCTGCCCAAGGCCCCTCAGCTGGTAAATGGTGAAACTCAGACCCAAGCCCAGCAAGGCCTGACTGAAGTGGGAGCTCATTTGGCCACAGCAATGGCTGGGCCTGAGGCACAGAGGCTTGGGTCCAAATCTGGAGCAAAGTGAGGAAGCTGTCACAAAAGACAACTTGGATGTCCTCAGCAAGGCTCAACAGGGAGATCACTTCCCCCTTCCCCCTTCCCCAGGAACAAAAGCCTGGCTGGGTCTGCACAGACTGTATGGCACGGGGAGCAGTGACAGCTCTGGGCTCCAGGTCCACTCTGGGATGATGCATCCCACCTTCAGGCAGAGAGTAGGCCAGCGAGGGATGTTGGGGGCCTGCCCTGCCTGTGTGAAGAACAAGTGCACGGACTGGCCGTTATCTCTCTTTGTTATGAAGCTTCTTTCTAACCATGAAATAGAGGTCAAGGTACAGTCTGTCTGGGACGGAGAGGCAGCCTTGAGTTTGAGGTCTGGCAACAGCAACAGGAAGGTTACCCTGTGCTAAGGATGTTTTTCTCCTCTCTATTTTTCTATTTCTTCTTTTTCATTTTCCAAGTTTAGCCTTTAGTATTAGCATATTTAAAACTTTAAGGAAACATTCAGTGTCTCAATCTTAAACTCAAACAAATCACCTGGAATTAACTCCACCAAAAAGAATTGAGGGCCTGGTACAGCCAGACCATGCAAAGCCCTAGGCCTACAACTGTGCCCCACAGGCGGGCAGAGCAGCTGGTAGAAAGTGCACTCTTCTGTCGTGCAGGATGGAATGGGTTGGAAGTTGGCTATCAGAAAATAAAAGAGCAACTTTCCCCTCCTGGATCTCTCTCTCTCCTCCCTGGGATCTCTCAGGGAAAGCGCTTAGTAACTCCATGGAGTAAGGCATTCATTGAACCACCTGAAATCTGTATTTTCCATGGGACCTGGAATCCTCAAGTGCAAACAGTGTGCTGACACCCCAACACATGGAGGGCCAGGAAGTCCTGAAAGACAGCATGATGTGTTTCTCTTTCCCACAGAGAAGCCCCCCACTCCATGGCAGAGGAGAATAAATCCCTGAAGCTGACTGCTAGAAGCACAGAAATTCTTTGAAATACCAAGTTTTGGACTTTAAGATTCATGGAAACTTTGCATTCTATGTCATAATAGATTCATGTTTGTTTTAACATAAAAGTGAGGTTTGGAATTAACTGCCCTTGGGAAAACTGACACTGTAGAAAACTCAACTGCTGGCCCTTCGGCATTCAGCCCTGGGGCACATGATAGCATTCACCCCACTCCCAGCCCCAGACCAAAGAGTATGCAAGGTGAGGATGAATTCAGCTGAGGGACCCAGGCCGTGAGAGGTCCGTGTCCATGGCTACACGTGCCTCCTTCCCCAGAGCAGATGGAGGCCAGTGGGGAGCCCACCGCCCCTTCAACGGTCTGGTTTCTGCAGCAAGCCTCAGCTGAGGGAGCCCCTGCCACAGGGGGGGAGGCGCTCAGACTCAGAGATACACCTGTACCTTCTGATCCTGCATCCTCACTCTGCTGAAGGAACACCAGGCTGCTCCAACACAGGCTGACCCTACTGAGAGGATGGGCTGGCATTCAACATGGCAGCCGCCCAAGTGATTTTCCAGGGTCATGTTTACTCTCCATGATCTGCCCTGGGGGCTGGCTCCTTCAGGGGAGGAAGTGCTCCAGCTCTGGAACGAATCATGCTGGCTGGTTCTACTGCCTCCTGGCTGGCCAACTTTGGGCTCTTTACCCCAGTTCCCTTGTTAGTAAAAAGGGGATAATAACACCCGTGGGGCTATGGCGAGAAGTCAAGGCCAAGCACAGCACCTAACACTCAGGTAAGAGTAATTCGTGTTAGGATTGACAGAGTGAAATTAAAAGACTAGGGCTGGGAGGGCAGGGAAGCACTGCACCTGTGAAGTGAGGTATGCTGTTTCCAGCACTTCAAATAACAAAGGTCAGTTCCGGGCCAGAGCCGACAGAATGGCATGGGCTCCACCACAGCCCAAGGAGGATCCCTTCGTTCCACTGTGTCTGACCCTCAGGGAATCCGCCTGGAGAAAACGGCTCCAAGAACTTGGGTAACCAGATGGACTCAAAAGGAGGCTCGGCTTCTGCCAGCAGTTCCCATTTCCCATATGCAAGAGATCCCTCCAAAGGTACAAGCAAAGCTCAGGGCTGACAAGTGTTTTCCTGGTTATCTGGAGAGATTTAGCTAACTAAGTATGTGAACTACCCCTAAGTGCAGAAACCAGTATACACCACTTATGTGACAGCTCTTCCCAAAAGCTGTCATGCATTCAGAAGTCATTACCCTGAGGTTGGGGTGTCAATATTAAATATCTTAAAACTTTATCAGTTGTAGCTAAGGTTAATGGAAATACTTTAAACATGTTAAGCAAATACTCTGAATGGGAAAATGCCAGGAAATACTCTGCCCCGGGGTGGGGTAGAAAAGCAGCCCCCACCAATCTGCAGAGTCAGAGGGTACTTCCTAACAAAGTGACAGCTGGATGTCAGTCAAGCAAAGAAAGACCAGAGGACCAGCAGGGGCAAAGGTAGGGACGGGGTGGCAGCAAGGTCCAAACCACCCCTGTGCTTCGGGCTGCAGACCCCAGCTCTCCCACAGCTCTCACTGCCCCTGTGGCACCTCCTGCTCTGGATCCAAAGCCTTAAAGGGCCCAGGGAAGGTGACCAACCATTAAGGGCCACTCTGAGTCTCTGCCCCATCAGCTCAGCCGCTACTCTCATGTCTGAACGGCTCACAATCTCACATGTTCTGGCAATGCATTAACGGATGGGACTTTGGGCTAAGGTGGGCCCATTCAGGCCACGGATGCCACAGGAAGCTGATGAGTGGCCTTTAGTGTCTTTAGGTTCTCAAGGCCCAAGAGTAAAGCCTCGAAACCCCACCAGGCTGTCAGCCTTGCTTCCTTTGGGAGCAACACTTTCCCTGGAGGGAGTTGGTGACAATTGTGATGACCGTGATGATGATGTCGGCAGCAGTAATGACAGCAACTAACATTGACTGAGCACTTGCCCCATGTGGGCACCACACTGAGGGGCTCCCAGGTAGGGACACGGTCCCTCCACAAGCTGCAGGGCAAGTAGGCGCAGGCATGCTGGCTTCAGTCACTTGCCTGCCATCACCCAGCCAGCAGGTGGCAGAGCTGGGATTTGAACCTGGACGGGCCGTCATGGCAACAGCCCCAGGAGAGACAAATGCAAGCTCCTTCCTTGACACATGTGCCCCAAGCTGGGCACTGGGGATTCTCAATTCATGGGGAAACTGCTCCTGCTATAGAGGGGTACCAGCCTGGGGAAAGGCAAAGTAGCCCTAGAGTACCAGGATGGAAACTCAGTGAGGGGACAGAGAGGAGCGGTGCTGCTGTGTGAACGAGCACTGCTGCTCCCCCACGCTGGCCCTCACTCACTGCTTCTCCCCTCACTGCCAATCTGGACATCTTCAGCTCCCAGCTCACTGCCTCGGGAGGCTCCCCAGTCTCCTCTAAACCCCTGCTGTCTTCTCACAGAGGCTGCTCCTCAGGTCAGCCTCACCACTTGTGGTGACAGGGCCCACTGTTGTTTAAAGTCTGTCTTCCACATGGCACTGGACATTCCATCGGGGCAAGGATGGGCCACCAGTGCAGACCCAGCAGGCAGCCCAGTGCTGGCACCTTATCTTACTGAATGGAATACATGCTCCTGGGAAGGCCCTTCCTGGGTGGAAGGTGGATGAGGGGCACAGTAGGCAGGGGAAAGCCAGTGCAGGGACAGGCGGGCGCCCATAGTGAAAGGCTAGGAGTGCCGTGGCCTGGGCAGGCAGCAGGGGCCCCTCCAGCCTGTCAGGACAGTGTCCTAGCTAGCAGGATGCACCCCATGTGGTCTGCCCAGAGACTGTCCTGGGGGAGTGAAGCCTGGGACAGAGGCCTGAACAGGAAGGGAGAGGGACAGGTCATAAAATCCTTGCCTGGGTCCTTCCCCCTCTCCACCCACTGTGGCTGCCCCCTGAGGGCCAGCTCATGGAGGCAGAACTTGGCAGCAGCTGGGGCAGCTCTTCTTCCCTCTCAGAAAATGTAAGCCTGGCACATGAGAGCAATTATAAATCTGAAAACACACAAGCAGAAAGCCAGTTCCAAGCCAGCTCTGACAGGGCCCTGGCTCAGCTCCTTGCCCCAGCCCATCCCGGGAGCACAGCACTCTCCCCCAGAGCTTCCCACCTGTCTCCCACCTTGGCCTGCCTGACCCTGCCTCTCCCAGTCTCTCTGAAGCTCCACTGCCTCTCAGCAGCCTTCCAAGGCTGCCTGGCACCCCCAGGGCCTCCCACACATATTTGTGCCATCCCTGCCTTTGTCGCCACCTCCACTCAGGTCATCAGCACTGGGCAGTGTTCTATAAGCTCACATGGATTAACCTACTCAATCCTCACAGCAAGCCTAAGAGGTAGGTCCCGTTATGTCCTGCATTGTACAGGTGACCAAACTGGGGCCCAGAGTTTGGGTGACTAGCCAGAGGCCACTAGTCCAGCAGTGACGGAGTGGGGCATGAGCCCAGGAAGCTCCCGTCCAGGAGTCTGCAAACCTCCTATCTTCCTCATAGGGCCAAGCCAGTTCTAACACTTATACACTGGTGGAGTGGCTACCGCCTTGCTTGTTTGTCCTACAGGGACCTCCTCGAGAGAATGGTCACTCTAATTCATCTTTGCATCTGCCACACCCAGAAGGGGGCCTGGTACGCTGCCAGTGCTAACAACAGTTCAGTAAATGAGCAATTGATGGCAAGCAACCTTTTCTCCTCATAACACAGTGGTTAGGAAGGCAGGTTTTCAAGTCAGACTTCTTGGGTTCAAATCCTTCATATTAGCTACGTGACCCCAGGCCAGGGATGTCACCTCTCTAAGTTCCCTTAAATGGAAAATGTACCTAACTAATTGGGCATTTGTGAGGTTACATTGAGATAATCCACGTGAAATGATTAGCATGGTATCTTTAAAAATTAGAAGTTGTTCAATATAAATTAGCGATTAAAACTACTACTGCTACTATTTTATCATCAATAAAATGGAGATGAGCATCCCAACTTCATTTGGATTATGGTGACAATGAAAGTAAAAGAGATAAGCTGTGTGCTGCACTGGCATCAAGAAAAGACTCAGAGGAGTGGCGCTCTGCCCCAGTGCCCTTGAAGCCTACAAGCCAGGGGGCAACAAGCTCTCCTGGAGAAGGTGACAGTAAGCAGTTTAGGCTTTGGAGGCCACACAACCTCTGTTGCAACTACTTGACTCTGCCATTGCAGTGCTTTATTTATCAAAACAGGTGGCAGGCTGCAGTGCGCTGACTCCTGCTGTGCACCGAGGCAGGACACTGTAAACAGTGTCCTATGAACAGGAACACTGACCTGCCCCTATTGAAGCCAGACACCCAGCCAATCAGCAGGGCCAAACCTGTGCTGCCAGCAGCAGGTGCTGTACACACGCCAGGGGCCAGCGGCAGAACTGAGCGTGTCTGCAGAGCAGGCCTGCAAGAGGGGCTACTCCCTTGGCAGCCATTTCCTGAGCACCTATTATGTTCTGGGCACACAGGACAGAATGAGACACCATCCCTGCAGTCGAGAGGATGGCAGCACAGTGCAGGGACAGCCACATAAACAGAACATGGTGTGGCATTCAGATCGTCTCCTCCTCTGTGACCTGGACGTAAGAATAGTGCCCACAGCTTGTAAGGCAGAGAGAGGAGTGCATGGAAACCCCTGGTTGGTCACTGGTGTGCTTATTATTCTGACCTGTCTCCTAGGAGGCAGAAGGCGATGGGCAATCCACTTGAGATGACTTTCAGAAGCTTAAGGGCATACGCTTTGTGCAAAGTCTGTTGAGGGTAGAACCTGTAACACACAGGCCAACGTGAGTCATGTTATATCGCAAATAAAAATCGGCCCATGAATATACATAATCCCCCAGGTAATTCTCTCAATCTCAGAACGGTAATGGAGCCACCCTCGCTCACTGAGGCATGAATATTTACCATCCTCTGGCTTTACTGCTCTCGATCTGGCTTCAATTTTGCAAATTAAAATGAGGGCTGTGTGGATAGAGAGATTACAGGAGAGCCTCTGAAGCCTGCTGTCCCCTGGTGAGGCAGCAGGCAGGGTAAGCTGGCTCCCGCCCGCTGGCCTGCTACTTCTGCCTTGAGGGTCAGGAGCCACAGAAAATGGGACAAGGGGTTGGAGGGGGGTCAGGACCTCAGAAAAACACAGTGGGGAAAGGAATGGCACTTAACATGAAACATGTTCCAGGTGGGACAGGTGTGAAAATCCCCAGGCTTTCTCTTTCTGATGGTTGAGAAGAATTCCCGAGGAGCCAAAAGGGCAGAAACTTCATGTGTTGCACCCTGTCTGAACCTAGATTCAGACCCTGTCCAGGACTTGAACACCGGCAAGTCATTTCTCCTCTCTGGGCCTCTGAGTCTTCATGGTACAATGGGGTAAAAACCGCCTTACTCCTGCAGGTGATGTGAGGATAAGGAGCTGCTGTACACGCAGGTGCCTGGCCCAAGTGCTCCCTCGGTGGCGAAGCCAGGCATCAACCGCTGCTCGTCTACACATCTGCCATCTGTTACCTGTTAGTACACGGCCACTCAGGAAGAGGAGTGGGATACTGTCTGTGACACTCCAGGCAAGACCAGAATGGCTTGCCATGGGCAGCCATGCTGGCAAATAGGTGACACTGACTTTGTTACAAAGGGAGCTGCTTGCAACCAGGGCCACCAGGGACAGCAGTCCGCAGTCTCGCTGGACTTACAAATGGCTGTGGAGAGGTTAGGGAGGGGCCCGCCATTTCTAACTGGGTCTCTGCCATTAATTAGGAGAGAGAACCAAGGGTCCTGTACCTTCTGCTGTCCTGGGTGAAGGGTGCAGGGAGAAGAGCATCATGTGCTGGAGCAGGAACGGGTGGGACAGGGAGCTAATGGCTGCTGCCTGCTGGCAGCTGGCAGACCAGGACATCTGTCCCCACTGCACAACCTGGCTCTCTGGAAACCAAAAGCCAGAGATGGAAAACAGTCACTCAGTCCACCTCAGTTAAAAAACCAGCTGGAACACAGTCTATGAGAAAGTTGTCCCAGCAAAACTTTGCAAAGGACAGCACTTGCCACTAGTCGAGCAACAACTATGTTCCGGGCATTGGCTGAACCCTTTCTAACCCCCCTTGCCTCACAGCAGTCCATCACGGGAGGGCGCCATGCAAGCTTCATGCAGTCTCACCACCAGCAAGTGCTGGGCCAGGGCAGGCTGACGGCCTGGCTCTCCCCACTGTGCCAGATGGGCTCCTGTCCACAGAGCCTGTTGTATGCCCTGTACTATGCCATGTCTAGAGAAACAGGGGACCAGGCACAACTCCATCCTGCCTCTGCCTGGAGTGCACAGTCACCTAACAACCAGTTCCCATGGCCCACATGGCAAGGGCTGCCCCAGTGTGGCAAGGAGGGTGGGGGAGCCCTGAGAAAGGAACCATGGTTACCACCTGGCAGGGAACTGGGAGGAAACCTCAGAGAGGAGGGGACATCTGTGCCAGGCCTGTGGATGGACGGAGCAGCTGGAGCAGAAGGCTGAAGGGGGCAAAGGCCCTGAGGCCTGCAGAGGGCCCAACTGGTCAGCAGCCGGCGAGAGAATGGTACGTGAGCACAAATGGCTGCAGCTGAGGCAGGAGCCAGGCAGTGCAAAGCCCGAGGGTCAGGCCAAGGAGCTGGAACTCTCCTCTGCCGGCAGATGAATACCGTGAGATGCCACACAGGGGTGAGGAGTGATGAAGTACAAAGGTCAGAACGACTCCAGTGGTAGCCCGGGTGGAAAGAGGACTGATGGGGAAAAAGACTCTGGGCACAGAGCAAATCGGAGCAAACTGTAATGACAGGAAGAGGACGCCAGCCCCAGAGGGGCCCTTGTGCTGATCCCTGAGCATGTCCACAGTTCTCACAGTGTGCCTGGCATGCAGCAGCACCAAGCACACGCTGAGGGTAGGAAAGGCCAGAGTGAGCGTCTGAGCTCCAGCAGCGGGGCGGAGAACAGGCCAGGCTTACAAGTCTGGGGACGCACTGCATGTGAGCACACCGTGTGTATGAAGGAAGAAAACCCACGGGTTCTCCTGGCCTGGCAGCAGACAGCCACAGACCTCCTGGGAATGCTGGCTGTCGTCCCCCAGCCAGCAGCACGCACTGCTTCTGCGGGGCCCTTGCTGCCCTATTGAGGCCTGGTACCAAAGGGTTACTGGCTCTGCTTGGAAAACTCTAACCCCCAGCCTGCCAGAACGTCTTCTATTTTTCTTTCTGCTTTCTTTAAGACCCCAGATGTGCTCTTGCACATCAAAAGAGAGCAACTTATAAAGTTAAACTAAATCAAGGGCTTTTGTTCTGAGGCATCGTGGCTGAACTAATTATTCCTGTATGTTGTTTAATGAAATAGTGGTGCCATATATTAAACCAGTTAACAGGATGAGCACATGAGTTACAAGGAAGGTCGGGGCTGGGATTATAAATTTAACTTTTTCTTAAGAAGAGATGAAACAAACCACTCAACTCCCTGCTGTCGTATGTCATGGGAGGGGAAAATGATGGCACTGAGCAGCATAGAGGGAGGGCTGTGCCCCGGTTCACGGTGCTGGCGGCACCGAGCTGGGCGGTAACCCCACGCTGCTGGCTCACCGCCCCAGGTCCTCTGTGCTGAGCTCCAGGCAGGCTCAGGGCTCACTCCTCATCCCCCACGTGCCCTTGGTCGCCAGATCTTCAGCCCACGTGACAGTCCTCCGGAAATTCAGAAACAGCCCTAAACCACTTCACACATGCTGAGATGCTGTGCAGCACACTTTCCCATAGCCAAAAACACTGGAAACCACGTGCCTGTCGATCATAAGGGGATGGGGCAAGAGTGCAGGAGCGCTCTTCTGTGGACCAGGATGCAGTGAGTGAAGAGAGGGGGAGAGCGGTAGGCATCGGTATGAGATGGTTCTGCTACATGCTAAGTGAAAACACTGACATAACAAACAATGCCTATGACAGAAGCCTGTTGTGCTTTTTATTCCTAAGTGTGTATATTAGGGTGTGGTGCATTTGTGTGCATTAAAAAAGGGTGAAAGAACACAGAGCATGCTCTTAACACTGGCTTTCTCTGGGAAGTAGAATTTTAGGAAACTTTAACTTTACCTGATAGTGAATTAATTATTCACAACAAGCATGTATTTCTATTATAACTGAATAAATACCACGCTCTTTGAAAAATAAATCCACAAACAAGCAGCAATACCTCTGCGCCACAGACTAGAATTAGAAGGGTGATCAAAAGGACTTGGTCTTTTCTGGCAATGCATAAAATATCACAATAAAAATATATTTCACGTACTACTTGCATAATAATTAAGAAAACATTTAATATTATGCAACCAATAAAATGGCAACAAGCTAAGAACTTTCAAAGATATGAGGACATATGAAACAGTGGTACCAGAATGCATCAGAAATAGTGACATTATATTTAGTAACAATTAAACATAGTGATCTCCACTATACAAATGTATAACATATAGCATAGGAAGGTGAAATAAAGGAAATTCATATAAAAGTTATCACTAGAATTATGGCCAATTTCTTTCCTTATAAACCCTGCCAAGGTGACACCACTGGCCCTGACGAGTATGCAGTTTTCAAGAAATGGAGCTTTACACTCCATACCACTGACAGTGTGCAGGGACTTCAAGCCCAAGGATGGCTTCTGACAAATAACTAATTGGCTACAACACAAGGTACCAATGGTAGACTCCCTCCCTCCCTCCTGGGCCTCCCCAGGAGCTCAGGCCCTGGCTTCTGGCAGAGGCCATAGCAGCCTCAGCATGGCCCTCGGGCACAGGCTCTGCTCAATACATCTTATTGGCCGTGTGGCCTTGAGCAAGGGCCTTACTCTCTCTCAGCCTCCATTTCCTGAGTATAAAGGCATGGAGGGTCCTACTGCCCATGATTACAAGCAAACTCAACTGTGGTCATCAATTCAAAGATCCTGGCTCACAGAGAGGGCTCAGCAGTCATTTTATTTTTCTGCTGATAATAATAGTGATATCTGACATGCATGGAGCACATATCACATACCTCACCCTGGGCCTAAGTGCTTTACATGCATTAACCCATTAATCTCCACTACCAATGAGGCAGGTACTCTTATTATCCCCCACTTTACTGCTGAGAAAATTAAGTTCCAGCAGACATAAATATCTTATCCCAAGTCACATAGCAAGGAAGTGGTAGCATTGATAAGTCTGGCTTCACAACCCAGCCATAATACACCACACTCTATTGCCTCTTTGATGTAAGTGTGGGCTCCTGTGTGTGTGTTAGGGAGAGACATTGGCTTCCCAAAGGCACATTAGGAAGCAGCCCTGAAGAGCAGGTGGTGTGGATGTTGATGGCTCCAGGCGACCCCCATCCCTGCCTTCTCAGCTACAGGTCTGCCCCAGGACTAAACTCCAGAGCTACACATTTGTGCACAGCACTGCTCAGCTCTTCCAAATCCCACTGGAGCAGTGGTTCTCAACCTGGGGTGACTCCCCCACCTCTGGGAAAGTTGGCAATGTCTGGACCTGGATACATTTTTGGTCGTCACATGGTGGGTGGGGGTGTTATAGATATCTACTGGGTACAGACAGGGATGTTTCTAAACATCCTACAATGCCCAGGACAGCCTTCATAGCAAAAAATTATCAGGTAGAAAAATGTCAACAGGCTGGGAGCAATGGCTGATGCCTGTAATACCAACACTTTGGGAGGCACAGGTGGAAGGATCACTTGAGGCCAGGAGTTCAAGACCAGCCTGGCCAACATGGCAAAACCCTATCTCTACAAAAACGACAAAAATGAGCCAGGTGTGGTGGTGCACACCTGTAATCCCAACTAATCAGGAGGCTTAGGCACAAGAATAGCTTGAACCTGGGAGGCGGAGGTTGCAGTGAGCAGAGATTCCACCATGGCACTCCAGCCTGGGTGATGGAGTAAGACTCTGTCTCAAAAAATAAAATAAATATAAATAAAATAATAAAATAAAATGTCAACAATGTTGAGCTTCAGAAATCCTGCACCAGAGAGAAAAAAGAAAGAGTTCCTTATTTGCTAAACATTTTCTGGATAACTCCCTAAAAACTGCTCTCAAGGACATTGAGCCACTGAAACCTCAAAGCAGACAGGATACACACAGCTGTTCTTACCAACAGTTGGTTAACGTGCTCTCCAAACAACTACTCTATGCCTCAATGAGAGGGAGAGAGAGAGCAGCATGTCCTTACGGTAGATTCCTAGGCAGAGGCTAAACAGACATCCACATGTACAGATGTAGAACCATCTTGCATCTAGAGTGGAGGAGATAAAAGCAAGGGGTAGCACACTGGGTAGGGCCTGGTGTAAGAAACAGGGGGAGATACATAAGCTTCCACATGCAGAGGTTATCACCAGAATGGCAGCAGCAGTGGCTGCCTAGGAGGGAGAGACCAGGGACCCAAGACAGGGGGTTGTCAGGGAGACTTAACTCTAATCACTGCATAACCTTGGCATCTTTTGCCTTTTTAACCATCTGCCAGTATTACCTTTTCAAAGTAAACTAACAAAAATGTGCTACATTCATATATGTCCACATGAGGGGCCTTCTCACACATCTCATGAGAGCCCGGGAACAGTTCTCTGCTGTGCTCATGAGGATGTCCTGGTTACAAGTGCCCTGTTAAAAATGGAGATGCCAAGAGCCTGACTTGCCAAAGCCCCGTTACCAGGCAGCGGTGAAGTCAGGTTCCCAAAGTGGACCTCCTCATGCCTGAGTCCTGGGTGTGGCATCCATAGACTCTGGGAGTGGGAGGCCTACCTGCCAGACCTGGCTGGCTGACCAACTAGCTTAGATGGTGACAGGGATGCCTGGGCTCTGAAGATGCAGCCTGGTCACTAACTGAATGCAACATGCCACCCGTGGCTCCCACATGGCATGGAAAGGCAAGAAGCACAAAGCTGCATCGACCAGAAACATGAGTGCAACCCTGTTGCCAGGAGGATAAACCCTTCCTTGCATCTCCATTTTGCCCTGTCCTTGGCTTTCACAAATGGTTACCCAGACAACTGCCCTTTTCCTGGACTCCCCCAATTGGATGTTGGCAGGAGACATCAATTTCTCTTTCAGGGAGAGGCACACTATCAACTGGCTGGGAGAGCCAGGATGTAGCCTTTTCCAAGAGCTGGCAGGAATAGGAAAAACCAGTTTCTACCCAGATTCTACAACATCCCAGGTGCTTCCCATGGTCATCCTCATCACAATGCTATGGCATGGAAATAACTTACAGACAAGGGGGCTGAGACCTACGGAGGCTACTTGACTTGACCAAGTTCACACCGCCAAGAAATGGTAACCCTAGACTTTAACCAAGGGCTGTATGAGTCCAAAGTTAATGCTCACCCTCAAACCAGACCATCTTCCCAGGGAACTATCTCTTTCTAGAAGTTTAGAATTTTCTATATATGGTAATGCAGAAAAACTGTCTTCTGGGTATTCTTTTACTAAAAGATACAGCTAAATGGTTAAGGAAAAGAAAAGGGAAGAGAAAAGAAAAATTGCAGAGGGCCTTCTCCCTCCTCCCCACAGCCTGGCCCAGGTCCCTTTGCCAATCCAGCTAGAGGAAGCCACACCTGCTGTAGCCCTGCCTGTCATCTGTACCTTGACAAGCAGGTCAGGACACAGGGCCTGCCACAAGGATGGTGGCCCACCCATCTCTCAACTGTTTCTCATTAGCGGGAACATTCCGCTTTTCAACAACCATGGACGCCTCTGTCCTTCCTTGGAGGGTGAAGGCGGAGCCTCTTCTAAACACTGGTATTCTGAACCCCGGTGGGTGCCCACACCAAACAAAGGCTCCCCTATTCCAGCGCAGTCTGGTGACACAAAGGCGGTGGGATCCCGCTACTCCATCCTCTGCGCATGGAAGTAGCCAGCAGTTGGACAGGACCAAAACTCCAGGAGAGAGAGCTGGCCTAGGTCCAGGTGCTTGGGGCAGCAGCGGGGACCCTGCCTGTCTGAGACCCAGCACTGCCCACTTCTGTGTAACTCAGGAGCTCTGGTTCTCTCATCTCAGAGAGAGATGATAACAGTCCCTACTTCACAGGGTTGTCTAGGGTTAAATCAGAAGAAAAGGCATGTAAAATGCTTGGCTTTGTATCTGCCACATAGTGGGGTCTTTCCCTTTCTCAAGTTCTGTCTCAGAATCTTCTCAACATGGAACTCTTGACGGTACAGCCAATCCATCAGAGGTGGAAATGGGATGAAGCTTTTCTTATCCCTCATGTGAATTCAGGGACAAATCAGCATTGATGAGCACTGACTGTGGGCCAGGCACGGTACTAGGTGCTGGGGATTCCAACATAGAGAGGTTGGGAGCCTTCTCTTAAGCAGCACAGAGTCAAGCGGGAAGAGGGGTGACTGGGCTATGATAAGGAGCAGAGCTCAACTCCATCCTCAGGACAGATGCAGCTCCCAGGAAGAGGTGGGACGTAAGAGCTGGATTTTGAAATATTTCTAAGAGTGTTTCAAATGGTCAGGGCTGGAAAGGGCGTCCCTTGCAAAACAACAAGGAACACTCCTGAGTGCCCACTCCAAGCACATGAATAATCAATGTATGCTCAGAAACACTCTGAAAAGAGATGGAGGCACAGAAAGGTGAAGTCCTTGGCCCCAGGTCACAAAAGAAAGAGTGCTACCGAAGCCTGAAAGGACAAGGCAGCTGCTGGACAGGGAACCAAACTAGCTCCGTGGGCCTGAAGCTCCCCATGCATGGCTGCAGAGGAAGACAGGCTGCCAGCCACACACTTCAAGTTTGGAGCTGTGCCCTGAAGGTCACGGGACCATGCAGGCTTTTAGTGGGACGTAGAGGGCTAGCCCCATTAGCTGGCACTCAGAACACAACTGTGGAGCTAAAATCCTTCCCTCCTTCCCTACAGGAATCTGGTTTCCAAACATTTAACATGTCCATGCTTCTTCTGACCACCTTTCAAATTCTCTCCTCTGTAGTAAAATGGCAGACCCAGAATGGGGCTCAGCATTACCGAAGAGGAAGGTGAATGCTGTGAAAGGAGAATTAGTTACACTTCACATGGGTCCACAGTTGAAAATTGCAGAAAGGTCAGATTTCTGTAAAAATAACTACATTTTCAATGAATGAGGAGACCATGCAATTAGAGGGAATCTCATGGTTAGTCCTTTTCTAAAACACATTGGTCTAAATCTGAATTTTAATTTTAAAAATTTTCTTAGAAGGATATCACCTGCATTATCTTTTCTTACTTTTCCAGTTCATTCACATTGTTGTGTAGTTTGTTTCCTCACCTACACTCCTTTTAAGTAAAACCAAACAGTTTTATCAAGTGGGCCTTTCCCCACACAGAATGTTGCATCAATAGAAGGCCTCCCCAGCCACTGCCACTGTAATAGTCACCTGCAGCCAGTACTGCTGAGACCAGCTGAGGGACAGAGGCCTCCAGACCTGCTTGCCAGGTGGGCAGGGTGGGGCAGCAGAGCACAGGGGCCTGACCTCCAGAGCCTGAGCACTACTGCAGGTTTCCAAACTGAGGTGGCAATGCAGTGCATTAAGACCAGTGGTTTTCAAGTGAAAAGGAAAATAAAAAATTGGAGTAGAATGCAATGCAATGGAAGTCAGGAGGTAAGGATACTATTTTGTAAAGCCTTTCACTTTCTCCACCTGCATGTGCATTGGGTCATGATACAGTCTATCTGTACAGTGATTATGAGGAAAAGGTTGGAAAACACTGTTCTGTTGTGTGCCTACAAAGAAAACAGCAGCATGACTCTCTCTGTGGGCCTCCTGTAAGTGTGGGAGACCAGGGGATAGGCGCAAGGCCACTGGCACGAGGTTGCTAAGAGGCAATCTCTTGGCTATGACCTTGTACAATTTTAGAAACTCTCAAGAAGCCAAACTAAGAGAGTGAGTAAAAGCCACAACCTCCAGGAGTCAAGATTACGGGGCAGGAGCAGTCAAAGCTGAAAGATGCGGAGATGGTTGTATGTGGCCCCTTGCTTCCAGAGGGAAAGGAGAGAAAAAGGAAATCCTGTGACTTTCTCCCTACCCTTAATTAAATACACAACTAAGGTGAGTTCTAATTTCCTAACCTTGCCAAAAGGCTCATCACTAAGCCACAGGAATATTCTTGGCAGTGCCTCAGATGGTCTAAAAATGCTGTGGCCAAAGGGCATCCAGATGATAATGGTGACACCTGCTTTTCTCCCTGAAAAGCACAGATACCGCACCTGCCTTTGGTTCTGTTATGACTTCATTAAGCTGCACAAGGTGTATGTGATTGGAAAAGCAACTGCTCCTTTGTTTTGCTTTTTGATTTCCTTCTCCAAGTGTGTCTATTTTAAATGGGTCAATGGATGTTAATGCTAGGAAAAGCTGACATTTGAATAAGATCACAGAGTGTGGCATCCAGCACCTCAGCAGGCCAAGCCAGGCTAGGTCAGGAGAGTGGGGAACTCTGAGGCCCCAGAGTGGGCGCCAAGAATCGGTGTGTCCAGGCCCTTCCTGCAAAGCACCTCTGCCCTTCTTGAGTAGAGAAGAGTTTCCAGAAGCTCCACACCTGAAGGAGTAGGGGTTTCTCTGGCTGGGCACAAAACTCCCAAGTGATTCTGACTTATGCCTCACTCCCTAGGCATTAGCCTTTCTCAGCTTGCTTTCACCCTCTGCCAGCATCCTCTAATTTGAATCTTCACAGCTAAAGTCACCATGACTTATGGCCAGAACCGATGGTCTTTTACTTACTGGTAAAAGTTTCTCCTTTGAACCTCAGTTTCCCCATCTGAAAATAAAGGCTTAGGTCCTACTCATTGGGTACACTGGTTATGTACATGGCCCCAGTAAGCGTTCAGCAGACAGCAGCAGGGGCCTCTCTCTTCTCTCTAGCCTCTGTGCGCTGACCCCTCTCATCCAGAAAGGACATTATCCTTGATTTTCCTGCTCTAGGCTTCCTCCTTTCCCATTTCTTCCTCTAACTCCAAACGCCAGCTGGCCCTCTCTCAGCTATCGCCTCCCCTCTGCCCTCTTTGCACCTGCTCAGTCTCCACCAGGTGCTGACAGCTGTTCAGGGCAGAGTCTCTGTCAGCTCTTCCTCTCCACTTCCACAGCCACCCACCGGAATTCAGGTCCTCTCCAAGCCATGTGCCAGGACTACACTTACAGTTTGTGACAAGCTGTTCCATCACCCTCTCGTGAACAAATAAACCTTCACTTTCACACTCTTGCTCATGGGCGAAGGCAGTCTTTCCGAATGAGATCATGCGTACAAACACCTAGTTGACTATCTGGCAGCCAGTAGGTTCTCAACCATAGTTGAAACACCTCAATTTTCAGTTCAAAAGAACAAAACACAAAACAAAACAAACACACCTCACGGACTCTCTTTAGCAGGCTGCAAGACAGGGATCAGCAGCTCCATTTCACAGACGGGGAAGCTAAAGCTCCGGCTCTATGCACCTGCAGACAGCAGGGGCGGTGTCTTGAGCTCTCCCATCCATGGTTCTAGGGCACAGGACCCATTTCCAAACTGGATTCCAAGGAGCCTTGTGTTCCCAGGGAGTCCTGGGGCTGCCATAGGTGTGAGGAGGGGCAGGAACAGAAGGGCCCAAGTCACCCATTTGCATTTCAGCCAGACTGGCTCCCTTTCTATAGGTTGTATTTGTGGGGATTCTTCATAAAATTTGATATTCAAGTTCTTTAGCTAAAAATGTTTAAAAGCTATTGGCATGAGGGGTAAAGCTTAGGTTTTGGGGGACTGGCTTACTGGTTCTCACTCAATAGCTGTGCGATTAAATGGCATTTGGCTTCAGTTTTTCCAGCTGCAAAGAGGGGATAAGAGTCCCAGCTTTGGAAGATTCCTGAGAGGATCAGAAATTAGTACTTGGAGAGCCTAGCTCAGCACGTGGCACACAGTAGATACTCAAGGAAAGCTATGTCTTCTCCCAATTCCCCCTCCCCTGACACATCCAATCCAGCCTGGCACACACACTAAGCTGGCACCAAGAAGGACTGAGGTCAGAGCCTTGGCCCCTGCCAGGATGACTTGGCTCTTCCAGTCTGAGTGGTCAGGAACCTGGGCCACTGGGCATCATATAATAAGAGCAGAGCTACGGCCAAGCTTGGCCTCCAGCCTCTTCTGAGACCCACTCCTGGGTCTGAATGACAGAGACTGAGGTCACTGCTGAGAGCACCACTTTTCCAACTATACTTAACTGTGGGCGCAGAGCATGTGTGCAAGTTGCCGTGAGTTCCAACTACTTAGTCTTTCACCCTTAGCCACACAGTTCAACTGACAAGATGGGCACTGTTATGCCCAGGTGACCCCAGGGAACCAGGCACTGCCTGGGCCTCACAGAGCTCCAACAAGCATGTGCTCTCGCCTGCCACAAAGCCCAGGAGAGGCCTACAGGGAGAGCGCACAATCAAAAGCATCTTCATCATCCTTGAAAATGGCACAAGGTCAGGGCCAACTCCACAGTCAGCATCATCTCCACTTTACAGAGAAGACCCTAGGAGACTTAGTGATGGCCCCACTCACACAGGTGAAAGTATTGCAGCTGGACTGATACCCTGCCCAATGTGTGCACAGGCTGAGCACTATTTCTCTTAATGCCCAGTGCCAGATGCTGCAGGAGTCAGTCTAAATACACTTTCCTGTCTGTTCTTGTTGCGAATAAAGCAGCTCAGTCAATACTTTGCCCAGTTCATCCAGCCAATATTCGCTGAACCCCTACTGGAACCACAGGCCTGGAGGAATAGAGACCAAGTGGACATAGGGTATGCCTCTAGATATTTTATAAAGGCTCATCAGGCACCCTGTGGGAGCCAGGCCTTAACTTCCAGGAAGTTTTCATGCTAGCTGGGCCCCGCTGGGTCCCTCTTCCTCACTGATACCTAGACATAATCACCACAGGGAGAGGGTACAAGAAAAGCCCCTGCTAATCTCCACCCCCAACAATAAACCAAGCCCTTTCCTCCACATTCAACACTGGGGTCTGGGCCCCAGGGAACATGGACTCTGAACTGGGTGTCATTTTTCTCCAAGTCTTTGGCTCCATCTGCTGTCTCTGACTGTCACATGGAGCTGAGGCTAGAAACAGTGCTCAGAGGGTGCCTGCCAGCCTTGGGAAAAGCTTGGAGAGGGCAGGGGCAGGCAAGGCCCCATGTGTGGCCAGGCCCCACACCCAGCAGCAGAGCTGCTCTCATTCTGGGAAGGTGGGGCAGGTAGGACGTACTGGTGAGAAGACTGCTAGCCTGACCCTTGAGCCCCCTGCAGTCTGGTTCCAATTAAGTCCAAAAGTGAGCCTAGTTACCAGGTTACCCTGCTTGCTACAACTTGTCTTAAAAGCTAGGAACCATTTCACGCAGGGTGACCTGGGGTTTCACCCATGGTGCGATGCTGCCGTATGGGCTAAGTAGAAAGATTTTAGAATTTAGAAAGCCTTGGATTGGGGATGAATCACAGCTCAACCAATTAGCAATTGAGTGACCTTGGAAAAGTCACCTTCCTAAGTCAGTTTTCTCATCTGACAAAAAATATAAGAAGTACCTTGAAAGGATAGCTTTACGTGAATTAAATGAGAAGATATATGTAAAGTGAGTAGCACAAATCTTATCTTATCCAATAGGTACTTTCAACTACCCATTTTACAGATGGGGAAACTGAGGTTCAAAAAGTTTTTTTAGAACTTTTAAAAATGATTTTGATTTTAAAAAGCTACTATATATTGTAAACAAGAATCACATCTAAAACAAAATGACTCAGAAAGGTGAAAAGTAAAAAAAAGATAGATTACGTTAACAAATAGAAAACTGGATTGCCAAATTTAAATCTAACAAGCCTGAATTCTAGGCAGAGGAGGTTAAATGAGTCAAAGGGGCCACTAATGGTTAATGAAGGGCTTAATTTACAGTGAGGATATGAATAGTAAATATTTATATATCAAAAGGCAGAGCAACAAAATTTGTAAAGCACAAATTGTAGGCAATGCAAAAACAAACAATTTATAAAATAAGTGATTAGTTTGAACTAAGACCTATATTATAAGGTGGGGGGTTTATCTCAAACTTTATATTCTTATAACAGAATAACTCTTCTTTTTAAAAGCCATTGGATCATTTACAAAATCATATATTAGGCCACAAGGAAAACTCAATAAACTCCAAACAGCTGACATGACACAGACCATATTCTCCCTTCACAGTGCAATAAAAACTTTAAATGCATGACAAAACAAAGAGGGGAAAAAAACCAAACAACTTGGAAATGAGACGATTTTCTCATTAAATAACTCGAGTTAAAGAAGGATGCAAAAGAGAAGTTGCAGGATATCTAGAAAGTAACATACAGTGGAATGCAACTAAAACGGTGCTCAAAGGACATTCACAAGCTCAAAGGACATTCACAACCTTAAACACCTAGGTAACTATTATATGATCAATGTATTTAGTCTTTAAGTCAAGAAACTAGCAAAAAGACAAATTACCCAATGAAAGAAATACATAGCAAAGATAAAAGCACAAATTATTCTATTAGAAAATATGGAATAATAGAATTGATAGATAAATGCAATTGCAAGTTCTTAAAAACCAGTAAAGCCCAAATACACAAAGTTAGAAATTTTAAAAAAGAAAATTACTACATATAAGAAAGTTTACTTTGCAAAACTAGATACAAATGAATTTGAAGATATAACTTAATAGATAATTTTCTAGGAAAATGTTATGTCAAAATTATCCCTGGCAGAGACTGAAACAAAAGACTAATAATACAAAGGAAAACAGTTTAAGTTATTAAAGTGCTACCCCCAAAAAGTATCAAATTCAGATGGTTTGAGAGACAAATTTCTTCAATCTTCTAAGGAATAGATAACTATTTTAACTGTTTAAAAAGAATAAAGGAGAAAACCTTCCAAATCCTTTTTGTGAGGCTAGCATACTAATACCAAGACTTGACATGACAAAAATTGCCAACCAGACATTTCAATTATGACATAAATATTACTGAAAGAATAATATAAATATTATTGAAAGACCAGAATACAACTAAGTAGGATACCTTCCAGAATGCAATACTAGAAAACATATTAATATAACAGCATAGTAAAAGGTCAAAAGACAAAAACCATAAATCACTCCAAAATACGCCATGAAGGTTTTTCCAAAATTAAAAATAATTCTTGATTTAAAAAAATAAAAATAAATGAGTATTTCCTTATGATGAGAGAAAAGATAAATGAGATCGAAAAGCCATCACCTTACTTAATGATAAAACACTCACCACATTCTCATTAAAATTACAAACAACAGGCTGGCATGGTGGCTCATGCCTGCAATTCCAGCACTTTTGGAGGTCAAGCCAGGTGGGTCACTTGAGCTCAGGAGTTCGAGACCAGCTTGGGCAACATGGTGAAACCTTGTTTCTACAAAAAATACAAAAATTAGCCAGGTGTGGTGGTACACGCCTGTGGCCCCAGCTACTTGAGAAGCTGAGGTGGGAGGATCATCTGAGCCTGGGAGGTCAAGGCTTCAGTGAGCCCTGAACGCACCATTGCATTCCAGTCTGGGTGACAGAGTGAGACCCTGTCTTGAGGGAAAAAAAAAAAAAATTACAAACAACGAAAAGATGCCTGCCATTTAACATTGTTCTAGAACTACTAAGCAATGTAATAAGATAAGCAAATAAAATTGAAGGTCTAAACATTTAAAAGGAAGAATGGAAATTGTCACTGTTTGCCAATGATATAATTATATACCTAGAAAACTCAAGAGAATCAACGGAAAAGACAATAAAAACAATACCGAAGTCTGTTTTGGGAAGGTGGCGGGTTACAGGATTATATTTTAAAATCAACAGCTATTCTAAACAAAGAAAAATTTTAAATTATAACGAAAATAAAAATCACATTAATAATAGCAACCAAAATGCCTAAATATAAACTTAAGAAATGTACAGGATCTATTTGAAAAAAACTCAGAAACTCTAAGTAAGTGGAAAGAAAGACAATGCTCTCAGGAAAATTAGATATTATAATGATGTAAACTCTCTTTATATTACATCTATATTCAACTCAATTCAAATTATAATACCAAAAATTATTTTTTGGCAATTAAAAGTAATATTAAAGTTCATCTGAAAAATGCACCAGTAGCTACAGACACTCAGAAAAAACAAAAGGAGAAATAGGGAGGGTTGAGAGGCAGGGACTAGCCTTTCCAGAAAAAAAAAAAAAACCTATTATGAAACTGTAAGAATCAAAAAGAAAAGAAACACTGGCATGGAAGAAAAAATGTGAACAGATCAATAAGACAACAATAAAAAAAGCTCAGAGATGGACTTAAATTCTTAACAAAGGTAGCATTTTAAATCGGGAGTAAAAGAAGGATTACCAACAAGTGGTGCTGGTGCTACTAGTTAACATGGGAAAATAAAGTTAGATACTGTGCTTTCTCCTTGTGTCAAAATAAAGGTAGGCTACATGCAAAAGAATGAAAGAATGAAAACAATTTCAGAAGAACGTATGGGTGAATTTATAATCTTGGAGGCCAGTTTAAGCAGGACAGAAAACACAGAGGTCATAAAAGAATGACAAATTAGTCTCTGTAAGTATGTAAAACTTCTAAATGGATAAAAAAAACCAAGTCAAAAGTTTAATGAGAGAAGGTACAGTAGTTATTTACCACACAACTGACACAGAGCTCATTTCCTCACTCACAGAATTTATATTAATTAATAAGAAAGAAACAGCCTAGTATAAAAATGGGCAAAGACCATAAACAGGTAATCTATAGACAATGAAATGCAAATGGACAATAAACATATGCAAAGATAACCTCATTCAAAAATTAAATGCAAATGGAGTAGCAAGGAAATACTACCTTGTTTCACCTATCAGGTCAGGTAAAAATTGAAATGACTGATGATCCTTAATTTGGGAAGAAGTCTGGGGACGTGGGCCATCTCACATACTGTTGTAGGAATGTAACTTGATACCACCTTTCTGGAGGGAAATTAGGCAATATTTATCAACATTATAAATGCAAAGCGGTCAGGTGCAGTGGGTCATGCCTATAATCCCAACACTTTGGTAGACGGGAGGATTGCTCCTGTTGTCCAGGAGTTTGAGACTAGCCTGGACAAAAAAGTGAGACCTCCGTCTCTACAAAATAATAATAGTAATAATAATAATAATGTTTAAAAAAATGCAAAGCAATATATCATTTGATGCAGTAATCACAATTTTTAAGGATTTACCCATGGATATACTCATACAAGTCCATCAAGTTACATACAATGGGATGTTTATGCAGCATCAACTGTAATTTTTTTTAAAAGGCAACAGTCCATCAATGGCACTAAAATACTGGTTAAATAATATGGTACAGCCATATAACAGGGTATTTATGAAACACTGAAGTGAGACAGATGTAAATATACATGCTGAGAAATATTTGTAAGATCACAATAATAAAACAACCATTTCTTGTGAGTATAATTTTTAAAATAGCTTTATACACTTATATACGTGAGTATATGCATAAAATTGTTTCTGGGAAAATTCAGAAAAATTGTTAATAATGGTTATAAAGAATGGGTTTGGGATAGAGGAGGAGAGGCTCCTACTCTTCATTTTGTAACTTTCGTGCTGTTAGAATTTCCCAACCATATATATGACTTACCTCCCCCAAAAAAAAACAAAAAACAAAATCAATGATTATCTGATTATTTTTTCCTCTTCTGTATAAAAATTAGAAATGTTTTTAGATATTTTGCTTATAAGCCAAACTTTTTAAAAAAAATAATTGTTTTAGGATATTTATTTCTTACACTTTATGACTGGCATATGAAACCTAAGCTGGAAATCAGGGCATTAAATCAGTCGGCCTGCAGGATCAACCTCTCCTACCATCTGAAGCACCAGACAAGGGGCACTAACCCAGCTCTTCCCTTCACCCTCCTTTATTAATATGGCCATGGGTTTTGTCCTGCTTTGAAACCAGGTGCAGTTACAGCAAAATGCACACTAATATTATAAGTGATAATAAAAATTAAACAGTATTAAAATAGCATCTTTCTACCACAAAAGGAACAGGCGTATCACTCTATGCATTACATTCCTGCCCTCTTCCCAGCCCCATACCCCCGACTGCCTTTGGACCAAGATGATAAATGTCATGCCAAGAAAGTTATCATTATAACCAATCCACTAGGAAGTGGAGGAAAATGATTTAATTTTGACAACTAAATGAGCTTTGACAGATGGTTTAACTAACACTCTAACCAACTTGCCCTGATAAAAATCAGCAGTTTTTCCACTTCAATGAGAAAAATTCATCTTCACTCCATTAGGTAACTTTGAGTAGCCCCCCAGGTCCCTTCTGCATGGCCTGACCACACTGGTCTGCCTGCCAGCTTCCCAGTGGGGTCTTCCACTGAGCCTCATTTCCTGCCCGCCATGGGAGTTCTTTCTCCCAGGAACTGCTGCTCTACCCCTCCTCATTAAATGTTGCGACATGTGTAAGTCCCTTCTGCACACCAGTCTCTTTCCTCCTGCCCCATTCCCAGGCTCACCCCTCAGGACTTCTCCCCTCCAGTCTGTCAAGAGTAACTCCACAGCTCCAGGAGAGAAACAAAGTTGCCACTAGGGAAAAGGACAGAAGGAAGAGGTGCCTAAGGAGGACACTGGACAGGTAGGGGGTGAACAGTTCTGAGTCTCTGAGAGTACGTTTAGCAGGCCTGGAGTCCAACACCTGCCTCCCCTTGACATCCTGATGGCCTCCTGGGAACCACTTACTGAGGGCCAGTTAGACTTTCTGTGACTTGCACCAGTAAAGTCCCTGACCGGTTCACCACATTTCAGTTCTGCAGCCCACCCTGTGTCCCGCCCATGTGCAGAGCCCCAGGCCCAGGAGAGGTTCACAGCCTAGGCATGATCAGGCTTCACAGGGGAAGTGAGATGTACACCAAGCCTTTTTACATATGGGTAGGAGCTGCCCAGGTAAAAGGAAGAGCTGGAACAAGCGTGCACACCGGAGGAGCTGCATGGGTGCAGCTGCGGGGCCTCCCAGTTATGTAACCTTTCACCACCACTGGCAAGTCTCCACGGCTTCACTGGCTGCTTCAACTCAGCAAAGACCCCTTTAAAGCATGACCCCCCCAGGACGGAACATTGCACATATCACATGCTCTAGCCTGGAGCTGGAGAGTGCAAATAACCACATTACCACTTGTGCTGATAGGTTCTTCTCCATCGATGGAGCTTGTTTGAGGATAAAGAATTTTACATTTATCCCTATTTAACTATAATGATCAAGTACAAAAACCTGAAATCAGCTTAAATAGACAATAAGATAAAATAATTTAGGCATATGCAAGAAACATGCAAAAAAAAAATACCCAAGCATAGAACAATAAGCACAGTATAGTCCTACTTGTTTAAAAAACACTAAGTATCTATTTATGCTTATACATGCACAGGAATTATCTGGAAGAGTAAATTTTCAAATTGTCAAACTTCTGGGAAAAAGGTACTGAAAGGTATGAAAGTTTTATTTTTCATATTGCATTAGGATTATTTCTTCAATGCACATAGTCTATACATATGTATGTGTTGTTTTAAGCTACTAAATTAGTGGTACCAAAAACTTAGTGGTAATTTATTGTAGAAGCCATGGGAACAGAAATAAAAATAGAAAACTAACATGATTGCCATTAATAATATATTAATAGTATATTTCATCACACTGGCCTTTTTTTTTTTTTTTTTTTCAGACAGAGTCTTGCTCTGTCACCAAGCTGGAGTGATTCTCCTGCCTCAGCCTCCTGAGTAGCTGGGACTACAGGTGCGTGCCACCACGCCTAGCTAATTTTTGTATTTTTAGTAGAGACAGGGTTTCACCATGTTGGCCTCGATCTCTTGACCTCGTGATCCACCCACCTCAGCCTCCCTAAGTGCTGCGATTACAGGCGTGAGCCACCTCGCCTGGCCCGCATTGGCTTTTTACCATCATTCCAGCCTATCAAGATCCAAGAATGAGATAAAAGGCCAGATTCCTGCTTACAGTGCTGGAGTCAAGAATGGGAGATGAAAGAAAGAAGTTAAGATGGGGGAAATTCTGGGACAAAGAGAAAGGCAGCTGGGGAGGTGGCCAGAACAGCTGTTCCAGAATCTCTAGGCCAGTTCTAGCACACCCAGACTTGGGAAGAACACATGCTCCTTTTCCAAGCTGGGGGTCTGCTCTGCCGGGGAGCTGACTACCACCAGTGAACATCACCTGGGGAAGAAAACCCCTGCCCAGGCCCAGACCCCAAACCAAAGAAAGCCACAGGGCTTACATGCTGGGAAAGGGGCAGAGCCAAAGTCAGGGCCACAATCAGGACACACAGGAACCACCCCAGGACTTGGATCACACCTCAAGAGTGCACGAGGTGCTCCTGACATTTTTGCCTTTTCTGATTTAATCCTCACAGTAACTCTATGAAAGCAACGAAGAAGAAGGCTAAGGTTTATGAAATACGTGGTCATCTCTGAGGAGCAGGTATTACTTATAATCCTCATGTTAGGGCTGAGGGAAGTAAAGCTCATAGAGCTGAACAGGACCAAGAACACACAAGGGAGTCAGCTGTTGGCCTGGACCTGAACCCAGGTCTGTGCTCTGGGTTTCCCATGCCTTCCTCCAGGCCTTCCCCATGTGTCAGGTGGTCACGGACATCAAAATATTTTTGTCTTCACAGAGCACTCAACAAGTAGTTCCTGAGCACATGCTACAAGCCAGAAAACAGTGGTGACTAGAAAATATTTGCAGGCTATCCATCTGACAAGGGATTAATAACCAGACTGTATAAGGAACTCAACTTAATAGCAAAAAACAAACAAACAAACAAAAACACATAAATAATCTGATGAATAATGGGCAAAAGACCTGAATAAATTTCTCTAAAGGAAGCACACAAATGGCCATCAGGTATATGAAAAAATGCTCAACTTTACGAATCATCAGGGAAATGCAAATCCAAACGACAATGAGTTACCACCTCACCCTAGTTAAAATGGCTTTAATCAAAAAGACAAAAAGTAATGGATACTGGTGAGGATGTGGAGAAAGGGGAATGCTAGTACACTGTTGGTGGGAATTTAGATTGATACGGCTCCTATGGAAAACAGTATGGAGGTTCCTCAAAAAAGTAAAAATAGAAGTACTATATGACCCAGCAATCCCACTGCTGGGTATATACCCAAAAGAAAGGAAATCAGTATATCAAACAGATATCTGCACTTCCATGTTTACTGCAGCACTATTCACAACAGCCAAGATATGGAATCAACCTAAGTACCCACTGAGAGATAAATGAATAAAGAAAATGTGCTATATGTACTCAATGGAATACTATTCAGCCATAAAAAAGAATGAAATCTTGTCATCTGCAGCATCATGGATGGAACTAGAGGCCATTATGTTAAGTGAAATTAGCCAAGCACCAGAAGACAAATACCATATGTTCTCACTCAAATGTGGGGAAGTGGGTCTCATGGAGGTAGAGAGTGGATTGGTGGTTACCAAAGGCTGGTGGGCAGGGGGATGGGATAAAGAGAGGTTGGTTAATTGTTACAGAGTTAGACAGAAGGAATAAGATCTAGTGTTCTAACGTACAGTAGGCTGACTATATAGTTAACAATAATGTATTGTATAGTTCAAAGTAGCTAGAAGAACTGGAATGCTCCTAATATAAAGAAAAGACAAATGTTTGAGGTGATAGATACCCCAATTACCTTAATTTGATCATTACACACTGCATGAATGTATCAAAATATCATATGTGCCCCCAAATATGTACAACTATTATGTATCTATTTTAAAAAATGGCCAGGTGTGGTGGCTCATGCCTGTAATCCTAGCACTTTGGGAGGCTGAGGCAGAAGGATTGCTTGAGCCCAAGAGTTTGAGACCAGCCTGGGCAACACATGCAGACCCCATCTCTATAAAAAACTTTAAAATCAGCTGGGCATGGTGGTGCATGCCTGTGGTTCCACCTACTCAGGAGGCTGAGGTAGGAAGATCGCTTGAGCTGGGGAGGTTGAGGCTGATGGCGCCACTGTATTCCAGCATGAGTGACAGAGACCCTGTCTCAGAAAAGCAAAAAACAAAAAACAGTGGTGTCATAGACTGGCACAAGGGAGTAAGAGAAGATGATCCAGGCATATGCCCCCATTTGTTCCAAGGGGAAAAGGTGATTTCTTGAAGCCTGTGTCAGCTTATCTGGCAAAATATTGCTGTAAACTGGGAGGATTCCCACTCCCTGCCTGAGGGCACATGTGATGCACCCTCCTTGGCTGTCCCAGGGCCTACTGACTGGCTTCAGCTCCTGGACTGCAGCAATGTGTGCCCCAGAGGCATCCAGGAAGTACTTGGAGAAGTCAGCAGGATTGGCCAGGAGCCAATGGACTATTTCAGCAAAATTGAGACAACTACCTAGTTTGAACCTAAGATTTAGGAGTGTGGTGAGAGTAGCTTAGGCAAAAAAGTGCCTAATTTTATAACTTAACATGTTGATATTTTCAATTTTTCAAAAAATATCTAATTTTTAGCATGGGAGAGCCAGTGGGAACAAGGCATGCAACTGGAGCCCAGAATCAAGGGCAGGCTGCACAAGACTCAAAGCTCTGCTGGAGCCCTCCCATGAGGCTATCCGAGACATGAGAATGAGGCAGGAAGCTCTGGGACATGTGGAGTAATGCAGAACTCAGCATGACCGTGGGGTCCACAGAAGGGTGTGTGCCAGAGTTCCACAACCAGACACTGCTCTCATAGCTGGGATTGGGCTGGGCTTTCCCACACCAGCTCCTTTCCTCCTGATGGCATCTTGACCCACAGGAAGTTTGGAAGGTTCTTTAATCTCTCCTTCCACAAAGGAAACTACAGCAGTGAGGTTCAGGGGCTCAATCCACAAATAAAGAAAGGGGCACTGGTAGAGCCAGTTCTCCGAAAGTTATCATCACACTTGATGGTAATCAAGAGAAGGGTAAGCATAAATCCTCGGCTAGACTTCTCCTGTGTTCCTTCGGTGAGCCCTCACAAGCTGTCCTCCCTTGGGGGACCGGGGCCTTCAGTTGGTGTTCCCTGTACACATCTCCCTGACCACCCCTCCCTCTCAGGCCCAAGTTGGCACCCCTGATTCTTACATGCTGTTCATCCCTGGTATGTGCCTATGGTCTCCCAAGAGGACGGAGGCCAGCTCTATGCTACTAACTCATCAGTGGGTACTCACCACCTCAGATATCATGCTTCTTTATTTACTCTTAACAGAAAGACTGCAGGGAGCTTTGCCAAACCTCTGGGACTCCAGAGGTCCCTCCCTGTGTGATGTAGAGCATGAGGTGCAGCTTTGGTATTGGCTAGCATTGGAATAGCATTGGCTACAATTCCTCTACCCCACTCCAAGATCACAACCACCTGACTGCCACTGGGGGCCTTCTGGCCAACACACGCAGAGTACTGACTGTAAGCCACACCTATGCCAACTGGGACAAATCCAAATCGTGTCTTTCAGGCCATCTCAGGGGCACAAAGGCCAATGGATAACTGCAGCAAGGTCACAGTGGTAGTCACATGCCAGAGAGACAGACGGAGGGGCATATGTGTGTAGCGTGGAGGGGCAGGAAGGTCAGTGAGGAGGTAACCTTCGAGCTGCCTCCTGAGGTGCCCACATGGATATACCCCTGTGCGGATGACGAGGAGACACAGGCCCTGCAGGTCTGTGCATGGCCATGAAGGTGAGTATGCTGAGAAAACAGGAGAACTACAGTTTGCTTTATCAGTAGAAGAATGAGAAAAGCTGAGGCTACAGAGAAAAGCAAGGGCCAGCATCAGGATGGCTTGCAAATGCTGGACTTGGTAGGAAGGGAAAGAGGAGACAAGAAAAGCTTATGGGTGGCCAGGATGAGGACAGAGTGGCATTGGACTGTGTTAGCTACATGGGATGGCCAGCTCAGACACCATCCTTCCTCCTGCCTCCACTCACCCTTTCTGCATACCAGGGACAGGAAGCCCCATCCTGCTGGTCATATTTCAAGATCCTACGTGGATTACGTTTTCCAAGAGAAGAGCTTTTAGGGTATTCCAACATCGGGACATCCTAGTGTGGGCTCAGGATGATGAAATCTCATGCTCTGCCAGGGCCCTCTCCCACCAAAGGCAGCCAGGCAAGCTCAGCTCCCAGTACCAGGGCCTGGATAATCTCTCACTCTCTATCCTTCCATCTCTTCTGGGATGAGCGGGTGATTTCTGGACCATGGTAACATGTGCTTTCTCAGGGGAAAGGTTAAAGCTGCCCTATAGGTCACTCAGTCACAAGAGCTGAGGCTGGGGCTGGGGACCAAACCCACCACATCACGCTGGAAAGCATTCCTTTTTTGCTTTTCTGCTAGTGCCTATGCACATACTTCCCATGGGGACTCTGGGCAGGAGGATGAATGGGCTGAGGAAGGTTCAAGAATTTCCTGGGTTCCCACCACCCCACTGAGACCCTCACATAAATGAGGAGAGCAGGGTCCAGGCCATGCTGGGGTGTCTGCCTCCCCAGCTGACTGCTGGGTCACCTGCTTGGGACTCTGGCAGGAAGCAGGCATGGAACCACGTGACTTCTCCCAAACTTGGGTCCTTCTCCATCTTCTCACCACAGTTCCAGCCCCAAGGAAGATTTAAAAAAAAAAAAAAAAAAGGAGCCTCAATTGTTGGAAGGCCCTGGAATTGTTTATTTTGTAAACAAACCAATGGCAATGAATTATGTTGAACTTTTAATAAGAAAAACAGATCAAACTAGGTCTGTAAATTTGCCAAGCAAAAAAAAAAAAAAAAAAAAAAAAAAAAGTAGGGGGAAGTACAGAAAAATGCCTTGAAGTAAAGATCACAAAAGGGGTTTCCTGTTATGAGATACGGATGCATTTCCTTGACCAAAAACAGACTGATCAAAATGCCAAATCAAAAATTATGAAAACTACAAACAGGTGACAGATTTGAACTTGCTTCCTTTGCTTCCCAGGCCCCAAGAGGCAGCCAGAGGGCCATCCAGCTCCTGTAGTTGGACACCACCAAAGGCAGGGCTGAGGGGACATCGCACTGCTGCCAGTGTTGAGTAGAAAACATTTTGGGGGTGCCTGGAATCAGCTGCAGCTTTTTGCATTGGCCTCTTTTTGTTTCACCTGAGCCTGGATGACCAAATGAAACAATTCCCCTCAACTGAGCACATTCCAGCAACGGACAAACACCACACATGGTGCAGCCAGCGAAATGTCCCATGCTGGTCTGTGGCTGGCAGAGACATAGCCATTTTCCCAGGCATCATGGGGACAGCCCTCCCTGACAGGCACAGCAGAGGCCTGGAGGTACATGCAAGAGATTGATAGTTCATCAAAATGGCAGCAACACACATTGGAGGTATGATGTGTTTCTGTTTTTGTTTCATGACAATTCTAATTCGAACAAAAATGTCAAATATCAGAACAGTCTGCCATTCCAATTGTCTGGAATGGCATCTTCCAATCCTTGCATATGCTGTTTCCTCTGATGGGAATACCCTCCCCTTACCTTTTCCACTTAGTAAACCTATTTCTTTCTTCTCAGAGCCCTCCATGTCTCCAAGAAAGCCAACCAGACCCTCCCTTGGGGTCCCTCCCTATCTCAAGTGCCCCCAGTGTACAGGTGCTCTACTTCCTTGGCTCTCTCTGTCCCACAAGGTCATGAGTTCTGATGGTGGAGCCAGTGTCTGACTTAGGTCTGGGGCCCTGCTGCTCAGTCCAGAGGGGGCACTTGGCACAACTTCTGAAACTCTCCTTTACCTGTTGTGCCTAGCAGAGAATTTATGTGTCATTTCTAGAGGCTCAATAGCTGACATTTTAAGAACACTCAGATATGATAGAACTTAATTCACTTTTCCCCTCTAAATTCCCCTTCCCAGAACAAACTTTCAGGAAGAGGCAGGTCTTCCTGTATGTACTTCAACTGTCAGCCCCTAACAGGGTCAGCAAACTCTATTCCTGGCAATCTTCAGGGCTAGGAAGGACAGATAGTCCTCCACCCTAGCCCTAGGGGACCCTATGGGAAGGAGGGATATCTGGGCCTCACCAGGTATCTGGTCTAAGGCACCCCAGTGAGGACCCCTAATGGCTCCCAACCACAATACCCCTGCAAGAGCACCAGCATGCCAGTCTACAGAAGTGCTGGCTCTGAGCTGGCTCTCTCCTCTGGATCTCTGAGGGGCCAAGGGCACAGCAGAAGGTAGGGAGCAGCCTTCTCACCAAGAATAGAACAAGTGCCTCTGACTACCGTCCAAAGGGGAGAAGCAGCCACCTTTGTGTGTGAGCTTCCCTAACTTCTTTGAGTACTGCTACCACTAAAAATATTTACCATTTACAAAGCCAAGAACTGTGAAAGGCATTTTGTAAAATTTCATTTAATTCTCCCAACAACTCCACAGGGAAGATACTCCCATTACCCTTTTAGAAAAATTAACTAAGGCTCAGAAAGGTGAAGTCATTCACCCAAGGTCACAAGCCAGAAAGTGACAAAGGGCATTCTAAGGCAGCACTTTCTGACTCTGTGGCTCGGGTTATTAATGTGATCCTATAAGGGAAGTTTTTTTTGTTTTTTGTTTTTTTTTTTTTTTTTTGAGATAGAGTCTTGCTTTGTCGCCCAGGCTGGAGTGCAGTGGCGTGATCTCAGCTCACTGCATCCTCCGCCTCCTGGGTTCAAGTGATTCTCCTGCCTCAGCCTCCCGAGTAGCTGGGACTACAGGCACATGCCACCACGCCTGGCTAATTTTTTGTATTTTTAGTAGAGATGGGGTTTCACTGTGTTAGCGAGGATGGTCTCGATCTCCTGAACTTGTGATCTACACGCCTTGGCCTCCCAAGGGAAGTTTTTAAAGGCATTAGCAAATATAAATATCTACTAGGAGAGACAGACAGAAAATTAGCAAAAGAAGGAGAGGATGTCCTTATAGGAAGCTTTTCTACTCTGAACTGATTCTCTATGCATCCACAACTGCCTTCACCTAGGCCAACACCTGCTATCATCTGCCTATACACATTTTCAGAGTCATCATATAGGTCTGTATTTTTGCCAAAATCCATAGGCTAGACCATAAAATAATTATCAACAAACTTCAGAGGACAGAAAACATGAAATGTGTATTCTCTGACCACAGTGGAATAAGAGTATAAATTAACAACAAGTTAACTGGAAAATCCTCAAACATTTGCAAAGTAAGAAGAACACTTATAAATAACCCATGGGTCAAAGGAGAAATTCTGTAAAAATTTTTGAAATACTTTTAACCAAATGATTAAAAAATGGCACATCATTGAAATAAAGCTAAAGCAGTACTTATAGGAAAATTTATAGTTCTAAATATTATATTAGAAAAGAAGGTTGATAATTAAGGATCTCAGCTTTCATCTTAGAAGCTAAAGATCAGCAGAGTAAACCCAAAGAAAGTAGAAAAAAGGAAATAATAAAGAGGAGAAATCAATGGAATAGAAAACAAGAAACAAAAGAAAAAAAATCAACAAAGCCAAAAGCTGGTTATTTGGAAAGATTAATAAAATAAACAAACATCTAGCAAGACTGATCAAAATAAAGAGAGAAATTACAAATTAAAAATATTAGAAATAAAATGAAGATATCACTACAGATTCAAAAAACATTAAAAGATAATAAGAGTATATTACAATTAACTTTATGCCAATAAGTAGACAAAAATAGGCTAATTCCTTACAGAAACACAACAAAACACACACAAGAATAAAAATCTGAATCATATATAATATACATCATATATATATTTAAATACATAATTAAAAGACTCCTCTTAAAGAAAACTATATGCCCTCATAGCTTCATTGGCGAATTATTCCAAACTTTAAAGCAAGAAGTGATACCAACTTTAAACATATTATTTCAGATAATAAAAAAAGAGCAAAAACTTCTTCTCTTTTTATGAGGCCAGAATAATGTTGATATTAAAACATGACATAGACATTATAAGAAAGGACAATTAAGAGCAATATACCTCATAAATTCAAAATGAATTAAAAAATGCTAAAATGTAAAATCAAAATCCAGCAATATATAAAAAGAATAATATTTCATAACAAAATAGGATTAACCCTAGGAATGTAAAGTGGGTCTGACATTCAAAAATCAATATATGTAACTTACTTAACAATATATGTAACCTACTTAGCAATAAGTGTAACTTAATTAACAGAATAAAGGAGAAAAACTATATAATAATTTAATAGAAGCAGAACAAGCATTTCAAAAAAATTCAACACCCATTTATGATAAAAGCTTTCAGCAAATCAGAAACAGAAAGGAACTTCTTGAATCTGATAAACGATATGCACAAAAAATCCACAGCTAACATATTTAATAGTGAAATAGTATAAACATTTTGCCCCTAACATCAGCAACAAGGTAAAGATATCTGTTCTCACCACTTATGTTGAACATTGTACTGTACTTCCTGGCAAGTGAATTAAAGCTAGGGGGAAAAAAGGCAAAAAGTGTAGAAAGGAATTATTTCCAGATATCATAACTGTTTGCAAAGAAAGTACTCAGAAATTCACAAAATAACTACTAAATCTAGTGAGAAATTTTAGCAAGGATCTAGTGAGCAATTTAGCAGGAAAAGATTTTGCAGCATATATGTCTTAAGTCCACTTTGTGCTGCTATAACAGAATACTTGAGACTGGGTAATTTATAATGAGCAGAAATTTATTGCCTCACAACTCTGGAGGCTGAGAATTCCAATATCAAGGTGCTGGCATCTTGCAAGGGCCTTCTTGCTGTGTCAGAACCTAGCAGAAGGCTTCAAGTGGCATAAGGGCAAAGAAAAGGTGAGAGAAAGAGCAAGAAAGGGATAACAGTATTAGTCTATTCATGAGGGTGGAGCCCTCAAGACCTAAACATCTCTTAAAGGTTGTACCTCTTAATATTGTTACAATGGCAACTAAATTTAAACATGAGTTTTGAAAGGGACAAACATTCAAACCATAGACAGCAACATGTGCTCAAAATATATAAATCAATTGTATTTCTATATACTAGCAGTAAATAATTGGAAAATAAAAAATATTTTCAACAGTGTCAAATAATAAAATATATAGCCTGGATGACAGAGCAAGCCTGTCTCAAAAAAGTAAAAAAAAAATACTTAGAAATACCTAGAAATAGGTTTATAAAAGAAGTATAAAACTGCACTTAAAATTATAAAACAGGCCGGGCACGGTGGTTCATGCCTGTAATCCCAGCACTTTGGGAGGCTGAGGTGGGTGGATCACTTGAGGTCGGGAGTTCGAGACCAGCCATGGCCAATATGGCGAAACCCCATCTCTACTAAAAATAAAAATAAAAAAAAGCCAGGTATGGTGGTGGGCACCTGTAATCCCGCTTCTTGGGAGGCTGAGGCAAGAGAATTGCTTAAACCTGGGAGGTACAGGTTGCAGTGAGCCGAGGTTGCACCATTGCACTCCAGCCTGGGCAACAGAGTGCAACTCCGTCAAAAAACAAACAAACAAACAAAACAACCCCAAAAAACGATAAAACATTACTGAGAAAAACTAAAGACCTATATCAATAGGAAGATATACCATGTTCATGGATTGAAATACTCAATACTGATATCAATTGTTCCCAGTTGTGATCTACAGATTCCATGCAATGCCAACCAAATTCCAATACTTAAAAAAAAAAAAAAGTTGACTTGGAAATCTATATAGATGCAAAGGACCTAGAAGAGCTGAAACAAAAGAACAAAGTTGAAAGATTCATATTACCTCATTTCAAAATTATAAAACTACAGCAATCAAGATAGCATGAGAAGACAATAAACGTAAACAGAGCACTGGCACAGAAGTAGACCCACACATATTCAGTCACTTGATTTTTTTTAAGAGATGCCAAGGCAATTCAAAGGGGAAAGACAAATTTTTTTCAATAAGTAGTGCTGAAACAATGCATACATATATGAGGAAAAAAAAAACCTTCAATCCTTTCTTCACACCATACAAAAAAATTAATTTGGAATTGAACACAGACCTAAACATAAAAGCTAAAACTTTAAAGCTTCCAGAAGAAAACATTAGAGACTATCTTCACAATTCTGGGATAGGCAAAGGCAAAGATCTCCTAGAGAGGACACAAAAGGCATAAGCCATAAAAGAAAAAATAATAAATTGAAGTTCACCAAAATTAAAAGCCTTCAAAAGACACCATTAACAAAATGAAAAGGCAATTTATAGACCGGGAGAAATCATCTAAGTATGTGTTATCTGACAAAGGACATGTGCCCTAAATATATAAGAACTCTTACAAATCAACAATAAGACAAACAACCTAATATAAAAATGTGTAAAAGAATTTAGCAGTCATTTCACAAAAGAAGATTATGGGATGGCCAATCCACACATTAAAAGGTGAGCAACATATTTCCATTCTACCATATTGGTGGCCCCCACAGCAATGAGACAGATGTCTGCCACTCTGCCTAAAGGAAAACCCTCAAACATGACAGCAAGCCTCTGCAGAAAGATGGCTGGAAGGGCGGTGCAGAGAAGTGAGCAAAGGTCCCAAAGGTAGCACAAAGGCAGGATCCAGGCTGCAGACATGTTTTGTTTGACCCATACTGTGTGACAAAAAAACTCAAGCCTATATTTTAAAATGGGACATTTCACTTGAAAATCCAGATTTCCAGCTTCTCCTTAAAAATGACAAAATCTAGGTATTCCAGTTTTGCATTCCCATGCACAGTTGAGATGAGTGGTGGGTCTTCAGTGTGCCCAGGTCTACTCACACAGTGTAAAGAAGTACAGTTCTTCCCATGTGCTGCTTCCCTCCATCTGCCTCCTGCCAGGCCCTAAAAGGCACCTGAATTTGTGATATGGCTCCAGAGCCTGCATCTTGGCAAGAGTCTGGAAGGTACTGAGAATGTGCAGGATGCAGAAAGAAAGGCATGAGACATAGTGGTGGCCTCCAGGTCTTGGTAAACTGGTTCCTATAAAGCGGGAGTGGGGAACCTATATTTGGAACTGTCCCAGGAATCAGCATTTAGGCCACTGGGGAGAAGTTCCACAGAGCTGAGTGGTGGTGTCGCTCTGTATTAGCAGTATTTCTCAGAGGGGCCCAACTGGCTAAGGCACAGCTGCCTCAGGTGGGAAAATGTGCAGACATGAATTGAAAAGCGTGTTCCCTATGCTGGGCGAGGAAGCTGGTACATATCCCTGTAGCTCCTTAGCAGTGCCAGACTCTGATCAGAGATAGCGATACTCTAACTTCTGCAGAACATTACTCCAACTGCAAAGGCCACCATTTCAAGGACAATCACAATAACCTCTGAAAAGCCCTATACCTCCAGGCACCAACGGACCCATGAGGAGCTGCAAATGTTTTCAAATAGGAAATGCCTTGACCAAAAATAACTTCACTGAAACTGGAAAATGCCTGTGCTGTCTTCACTGGCCCAGTCCAATAGCACAGGCCTTTGGTTCTGGCATCCAAGTTATTCTTCTTAAAGGAATACCACTTAAACTACAGTGATGGGGCAAGACATTTCCATCTGGAGACTTCTGATGGTTAAGTCAACATGTTCACCTGCAAAGTATAAAGTATAGGTCCTCTACTCCAACCAATGTACTGGCAGCTTGCCGTATCCTAGGAGAACTCCCTGAAGTCAATGGCCACAGTGAGCCCCAAATCTCAGGGCCCAGGGTGCACATTTGTTCAACAAGGGATTCCTGACTCCTGCTCTGGGCCTGGCCCTATCTTGGGGTCCCAGAGACAAGTCACAACAAGGAAAACCCCACTCAACAGACCCTGATTTGCAGATCACTGGTAAAGAAAGGCAGGAACTCAGGCTTTTGCTGTGGCACATACGACTTATATGTGGATTTATATATTCTTTATTCTTCTGGTCTAGAATACAGTGAAAAGGACACTGGAAGTGGAGTAAGGAGACCTAAACTCAAGTTCCCATTTGTCAACTCTATGACCTTGACCAAAACACATCATCCCTCAGAGCCGAGTTTTGTCTGCCAAAGCCATCTCCTAGGGATCCTGTGAAAACCAAAATCGCTTACTTGAAATAACTGAAAAAAGCACCTGTGCCAAACATTTACACTTTAAAAGAAGAAATACAGAAGTCAAGCAAGAGACTAGATGCAGCAGAAGTGTTCGTCACTGGAAGACCAGTACAAATGAATGATGGCGTACCTGTATTATCACTAATGCAGCAGTGAAAAAGAAAGAAAGGCAGGTCTATCTGTTCTCATACCAGAGTATCTTCAAAGACAGAGTTTTTTGGGGGGGGCGGGGGGAAACAAGGTACAAAACAATGTGTATACTATGTTATCATTAATATACAGGAAAAAAGGAGATAACGATATACATGAATATGCTTGAATGCACATAGACTATTTCTAGAAAGAAACCAGAAATGGTAATAGGGTAGGAACTATACATCTTTTACATAGTTTGAATTTTTTTTCCCCTATCTTGAGAATCCATTACCTATTTTTTTAACAATTAAAAATTTAAGTTAAAGATAAATGCTGTAGTTATTGCATCCCCAACTGATGGTAACCCAAGGGGAACCCTATTCTTACCGGCACTTTGATGTCTCTGGCCTATGGGCTTTCCCAAAGAGCAAGTCTCCCAGTCTAACTCCAGGAGACTCAGTCTCTGGGGTTTTCTCAAACTACAGCTCATCACATCACCACCTCATTCTTTCCTCCTTTTGTCTACAGCTAGCCTTGCTTTGCATATTTAGAATCCAGTGCATGTTGAGGCCTTAAGGAAGCCAAGGCTAGTAGGAAGAAAAGTGTAGCTGTTAAATGATTTCCATCCCCTCCCCAGCCTCCTCACTCTCTCCCATTTAGTACAGTTTGTCATGCTGGGACTCCACTTCCCAGGGCCCCCAGATTCCATTCTTGATCTCATTCCTTCCTCCCCCCATGGCTGCACAAGCCCGCCTGCCCCCTTGGAGCTGCATCACTGTGAGTTCTCTCTGAGCTCATCTCCACCTCAGCCTGACAGCAGGAAGGGCTTCACGCTTCAAGACAAAGGGGGACATTTCACCACTTTATTTGCCAAATTGGCCCTCAGGGTTCACTCTTCCAAATAATCTGTCTGAACACCAACATTCTTGCTTCCATAGATCAGGGGCTCAGGGACCTGTGGACAACCACAGTAAAAAACCACCCTTGTTCACAGGCTTCACAATCTTGTGTCAGTGGTAAGGGTGAACTGTGATGGAACAAATAAGTGAGTGAATGCTGGTGACAGGAGCCAAACATCATACTGTTGGAGGGAGGTCACAGACAAGCAAGGAGGCAAGCCTAGAATGAGCCATGTGTACTTGATTAGAGTCAGAGACAGAGCATGAGCTCATGTTCAGCTTGATGTAAATGCAGATAGGTAGATGCCTCTGTATCTATAATGGTAGATATGCACATATGGGTTGCTATATATACATTTCTTTCCTAGCTCTATCTGCTAAAAGGACCTAGAAGCAATGATGCCCCAGCAGCAAGGAGCACACACCCTGTCTCTAATACCATTCTCCTATAGAAGGTGTCAGGCTCCTTGGAGAAGTAGCTGATTCCAGGTCTGGGGCAGGAAACAGGATGAGCCTGGAACACCTTATAGTGCCAGAAAGTGCTCAGAAAACAAAAGGATGGGCCATGTCAAGAGGACACAGGAGCTGGCCTCATAGAGCTCCATGGTCAAGGCTGGAACCATTTGAGCAGCAAAATAATGTAGCATTGGATTATAACCCAAAGTATAAAATACATATCCAAAGTCTAGCCTGATAAAAATACATAACTGAGTTAATAAACTGGGAGAAGAGACAAGTCTCCTGTAAGGAAGAATTCCAAATAATTACATAGATACTCCTTTCTCAAGGAGGTAGAGTTTAACTCCCTCCTGCTTCCCGCCTGGATCAAGCTCTGTGTGCAAGGAGACTCCAGTGAGGGAGGGGTAGTGGAGACAGACACTGAATAGATGACCAGTATGTGTGCCAGAGCCACAAAGGGAAGGGTGCAAAATGCTCTGGGAATGTCCCTCATGAACTATAGTCAAGTCATGTAATAGGACCCCATACAGCAGTAAAAATTCATGAACTGAGACTGTACATATCAGCAAAGAGAAACCTGAAAATCATAGTGCTGAATGCGAAGAGCAAGCTTGGCATAGGGTACACACAGAGCGTCACCATTTATCTACAAGACAGAGCAAACAATGCTGTACACACATGCATGACTACAAACCCATGTGGGAGATGTACTTATATCAAATTCCAGATAGAAAAAATATAACTAGCAGAGCAAACTCATGAGTTCACAGATATTATCAAGTTCTCTTTTCACATAAATTTGAAAATGTTTTAAAGAATGATGGTTAAACGCCTAAGGTGAAGCACACACAGCACAGGTAAAGCACAAGAATGCAGCGTAGACATGGGGATGGCTGTGAAGGGGCAGGGAGTGGCAGGGTGCTGGCGGCTCCAGGAACGTGGGACTGGCCTGACGCTGGACAGGAATGGGCTAAGGGAGCGTGGGCGAGGGGAGCTGGGTTGGTGTCCGTGATGGCTGTGCGAGGGAGGAAACCATGGCTAAATTTTTGAAAACAACTACAGATTGGGGATCAGTAGGGAAGCACAAGAGGGTAGACCCAAACACAGAGGATCCTGCAGGCTGGACAGAGGAAGTGGACATGCTACAGGTGGTGAGGAGGAGGGGACACGGCAGTGCTCCAGCCCTGGCCCTCCTCACTCCCCTCTACCTCTCAGGCCCAGCCATCTCTTTCACAGGCCTGTCCCTGCTGCCCAGCCATTATGTGCTACAGTTCTCCAAAAGCAAGGCCTTCTCCCAAGCTGATTTCTCCAGCCCCACAGTGTGAGCACCCAGGGGGACACTCTCGACTCTGGCTCTGACAGCACTGGGCTTTCCACCCCATGCCTCCCAGGCTCTGCAGCACCATAGCTCCCACGCCAGAGGCACCTTCTTCCCCACACATGGTTTTCTGCATCCACAGCACCATCACCCATCTCATCATGTGAGCCAGAAACCCAGAAGTACCCATGACCCCACCTCTTCATCTTGCCCCGTGCTCAAGGCATCATGAAGACTTGAGGCACCCTAGGTACCTCTTAAGCCCAGCCTGTTCTCTCCCACTCTCCCAACACCTCCCTAGACCAAGCCGTCATCAACCCTCACCTGGACCCAGCCAGCTTTCCACACCCACTCTGGACCCCTCCAACCAGACTCCCACCTGGCCAGGGGTCCTTATTCCCTACCCTCTTCCCCTGCTTAAAATCCTTCAGTGGCTTCTCCTTACATATTGCATTAAAAAAAAAAAAACGTTAAAGCATGCTGGTTAAACGCTTAAGGTTAAGCACACATAGCTCAGGTAAAGCACAGGAGTGCAGTGCAGACATGGGAACAGCCGTGTAGACATGGGGGAGTGGCAGGGTGGTGGCGGCTCCAGGAGCCTCCCCTATGACATGTACAGTCTTAGTTCATGAATTTGTACAGCTATATGGGGTCCTATCAAATGACTCGACTATAGTCCATGATGGACATTCCCAGAGGATTTTGTACCCTTCCCTTTGTGGCTTTTGCACATACCCTGGTCATTTGTTTAGTGTCTCTCAGGGGAAAGGCAAGTGGGCAGAGGCTTTCCCCTCATCAGGTAACCCTGAGTGCCCAAAAGCCTGCTCCGACCCTCTGCTTGCATCTTAGCCTCTCTGAGGCTCCAGTAACTGAGGAAGGAGCCTTGGTGGCCTGCACAGTGCCAGAAGCCCCATCCCCCACCCCCAACCCCCAGCACTGGGCAGGCCCCCAAGGCCCTCCAGCTTGCATGAAGTCATTTAGTGGAGAAGCAAACAGATCATGCATTTCTATAGCTCCAATCCTATAAAATCAACTGGTTCATCAAGACAAGCTTTAGTCGTCAAGAAAAGATGGAATTATATGCAGTATTCTAGGAAGAATTGTGTAGTTCAAGGAAAGGCGGGAGTATGAAATACGTTTTAGAAAGATTCCCAAACTCAGATAAAACATAATTACTTTGGGCTTTACAGTCAGCTTCATGACTATAGGATCTTCATTATTGAAAGAGGAGAGACATTCAGGTTGTGTGGGGGGTGGAGGGCTGGAGGTGCCACAGCAGCACGGTGGTATGACTCTGCCAAGGCTCATGCCATGGTGTAGCCGTGTATGTTACTCACAGGAACTGCTGGAGGGAGGCTGATACATGGCAGCGCCCGTGCTCTCCAGCAAATGGGGAAGGGTACATGTACCTCCTTCTTAGTAGTGTTGAAGTTTTAAGGAGAAGTATGTATCATTTTTAAAATCTGAAGATAATGTTAAGATGTTGGATCTCCCTCTCCCATTTGGGCGGGTGCTGATTTAGCTTCCCCCAGTTCCCCAGTGTGGATGCCTTTGTTGGTCTAAGACTGGAAACAAAACAGGGGTTCTTCCTGCAGGCCAGGGGTGAGGGCAGCCTCACACAAATGTCACCAGCCACAAGGACACCCAGTTCTGCCAAGGTGTGGACTGCTCTATGAGCCAGCAGAGCTGGGGCTTGCACCTGACAGGACATTAACGGTGACACTTGACTCCTAGGGGAGACAGTGCTTGAGTGTCTATACCAATTCGGCCCCAGGACAAGGCTAGATCTCAGCACTTGTGCAGCATTGCTGGGCAGGAGGAACTGGAAGGAAGCACAGAGGCCAGTCTGGAGCTGCCTAGGGTTCCACAAGACGTGGGCTGCCTGGAGGGTAGAGCCACACAGAACAAAGTAAGTGCATGGAAGGAGACAGTACTGACAGCTTCCAAGCCCCACACTACCATACTTGGAGCACAAGTACCCTGACTTTTCACTTGTGGAAGCAAGTAAATTTCCTTTCCTTCCTTATGCTCATCTGAGTTGGTTACTATCACTAATAATAATCAAACGAACGAACATAGCCACCCCTCTGGACACAGTGTCCTCCCTTCAATGAGACCTGGAGCTGAATCAGTATCCTCAAGCTTTCTGCTGGGCTGTCCTGGGATGGGAAAGAGGACGAGCCTTAACCGCCTAGTCCCTCTGTGTGTTTCCAGGTGCCACAGGGCCCCAAAGGGGCAAGGGAGCAAGGCCCAAAGCCAGTGCCTGAAAGGGCTCCTCTGAGCAGCCTGCTTATACACAGCAGGTCCTGATGGGGAGAAAGAGCTGTGTTTTCAGAAGAAATCCACTGCAGGCCTCCTGGCAGGAAGCACCCAACCGTGTTCCCAAGAAAAGGCTACTCACTTAAAAGGGAGGCACAGTTGTAGGGAGCCCAGCGCTCTAGTCCCTCACTCTGGCTGACTTCCGGCCAGCCCTGCTTGCTTCCCGAAGGCCGTCAGCCACAGCCTGGCACAAAGCCTGTGAAGTCGGGAGATCAGTCACAGAGAAGGAAGCCAGGCCAGAGCAGGGAAGGATGACAGGCAACCAGCGGCAGAGCCAGCCTAACCCCAAGGTACTCAGACTCACCAGGTTGCCTCTCCCAGGAGGTAACAGTCCCTAGATTTTCCCCACCTGAAGTCTGTCAGTGCTGGCACCTAGATGATGAAAATGTTCACATACCAAGTCCCCGGTGAAATGGGCAGCTTCCCCAGTCCCCCTTCCTAAGCTGTGTACACTCTAGGGCTCACGATGAGATGCCTGCCACATATTCTGCATGTGCGCGTGTGCACATGTGCACGTGTCCTGGCAAGCAGCTCCGGTGCGTGTCAACATGTGGGTCTGCTTTCAATTGCGCTGGAACAATTCTACCTGATAAACAAAAACAGATCCAAAATAACCTTTGGCAAGCAGCATATTTTTAAAAGAAAGAGAAGGTCCGAATGAACTGGCAAGAGCAATGCTTAAGCAAACAAATTTGGTCAAGCCAAACATCCATGGTGCACATCAAAAAGCCCCTCAAAGGGCTCCCTGTGAACCGAGGCCGGCAGCAGGGAAGGAGGCTGGAGCTGATGCACTCCTGGCTTGGAAGAGACCAGCCACCCACTTCCCACCACCAGTGGCTGGCATTTCATGTGGGTCACAGGGTTAGACCAAGTCGGGGTCAGGAGGTGAGAACTCTGCTCACAGCAGGGGAAGACAGAGGCCCAGTCCAGGCACCCTTGCTCCAGGTAGCCCCTCCTCTGGGCCCTGGTGGGCAGGTAACTGTAAGGGCACGTGGGGAGCACGGGACCTGTGGGAGAGTCTCAGAGCTCCCACTTGGTGAAGCAGCCAAGTTCCCAAGGCAGGCTGGACAGCCTCAGCTTCTCCTGTCAGAAATCCATTCAGGCTCCAGAGCCAAAGCAGGATCAGGTCTGCAACTGCCTGCTCAGATCCCACGACCACCACTAACTCAGGGGAACGCCCCAGCTTCCCACACACTGTCAACTACAAAACAGCTGAGAACCGGAGAGTGCAAGTCGCCAGGCCCCCATCAGCCATAAGGCTCAAAACCCCCGCACAGGGCCCAGAGGAGGACCCCTGAGTGCCTGCCTCAGAGGTTCCTCCCCTATCTGTCCTTAGGACATGCTTGAACCAGCCAGGCCCTGGAGTGGATCCCAGAGGTGGCATGCTGGTTCTGTCCTCCCTGGTCCATCCAGGAAGACAGTGAGACCCAGCCAAACCCCATCCTGGTGAAACTCTCCAGGAACTTCCTGGAGCCAGGCCCAAACCCCTTACTGCCTGGCGTTTTGGGATTCTAGAACCTCCAAGAGGCTGGTATCTTCATGTCTCACATCCTCATCCACCCCATCCCCAACTTACCCATGCTACCTCTGCATACAAAGTCAAGTTTCTGGAACATACTCTTACTAGAAGTGGGCTGGAGGCTGCCACACCACATCAGGCCCCTTCTCTCTCAAGACCCCAAATCTCAGCTAAAATGGAAGTGACCCTGGAGGGGCTGCAATCACTCCTAGGGACCCCAGAGCAGCTGCATGCAGAAAGCTGGGCCATGGAGGAGCCAAATTAGGGGCCAGCTCCAGGGATGTTATAAACCATTGCTGCTCACAGGACAGGCACAGAAGTATGCTCAGAAGGAGGGTCCGATCCACATTTAAAATATGTGACTTAACGTCTCTGGACCTTGGATTCCCCTCACCTGTTAAAGGGAAGAAGCTCCTGCTATGGTGCTGTGGGGAGAGCAGGCTTTCCATGGACAGGAAATTATCACTGTCACCACCTGCAGAGACCTGTTTGCCTAGGCTGAAGCGGAGGGGGTAATGAAAGAGTCAGCAAAGATGGCAGCTGCTGTGAAAGGGACGAAAGTATTTGTATATGATAATGTGCAGGCAGCCTGGGACAGCAGGGAAGGTCACCAAACAATGCGGCCTCAGCCTCAGGCTGCATCTCCGAGGAGGGGAGTGTGGAGGGGAAAAAAAACAGTGAGTAGGAGAAAAAGGGCTGAAAACTTCAGAGAAATGAGCAGAAACAGCTGGGAGGGGAATCATGCAGGGCGGCTAGTGAAGGAGAAGGGGGTGAGGGTTGGTGCCCAGAGCTTCCCCAATAAAGTAGAGGCTGCCGCTTGCTGTGCGAGCCCCAGCTTGAGGGCC
The DNA here is from genome assembly GCF_000001405.40 of Homo sapiens. Lineage (NCBI taxonomy): Eukaryota > Metazoa > Chordata > Mammalia > Primates > Hominidae > Homo > Homo sapiens. The sequence continues at coordinate 149,799 of NW_019805490.1, read as the reverse complement.
CAGAGGGAAGACCGTACAGAGGCAAGGAGGGCACTGCCATGTGGAGGGCAAATGCCAACTGGTGCCAGGGAGCTCCTGGAGGGCTCAGGGAGGACAGGGAAGCCCAGTGGTGGCATCCATGCACAGGGGCCAGGAGGAGGGGCCCATTCCAGCTTTCTGAAAAGGAGGTGGCCCTCAGCAGAACAGTGCCAGGCCAGACCCCTGGGCTCCCTACACAGAGGCCTCCCCAGCAGAGAACGGACTTTCCAGGCCAAAGCCGAGTGAGGGCACAAGGGAGGTGAGAGAGAACAGGGAAGGACAGAACAAAAGTTGCTCTTTTTCCAGTTCTTTATATTTTTTCTTTCATAAAAGCCACACAAGAAACAGATGAATACCAGCTCGTTGTAAAAGATTTAAACACCAATTAAATAGACTGAAACATGAAAGCTCTCTTTCAGCCCTCTAAATTCCACTTTCCCTCACTCCTCCAAGATGCAGCCACTGTTCTCAGTTTGCTGTCTCCTTCCAGATTTTTTGATGCATTTGTATACAAACATATGCAGACAGTTTTCCTACATAATGGGACCAAATCATACATATTGAGATTTGGTTTTGCAATTAGCATTTTATTTATTCACAGGACATTTATTAAGGGCCCAGGAACATGACTGACAAAAGTCTCTGTCCTCGCGGATCTGATGATTCTAATGGTGGTCTTTCCACATAGATCTGCACCATCGTGTTCGATGGGCACGTGGTATCGCACGGTTTAGAGAACCAGACCCACCGCTGGACACTGAGCTCGTGTGCACTGACTCTTGGTATAAGAACAGTGTGGTAAACACCCGTGCCATGTTCCCTTGGGCAACTGCATGTTGAATAGGCAGAGAAGGCTGGCATAGGAATTAGTCCCCCCAGGAAGCCAGTCAGGGGCAGGCTGCACACCTCCCACTTAAAACCACAGAAACTGAATGGGGGCCATGCCTGGGAGCAGGGGGACAGGGAATGTGTGGAGCAACACCAATCCTGGACCCTGGCTCCTACTGGCATACAACTCTGGGTAGGTCTCGTCTCCCCTCTGACCCTATGGCTGCCTGCTTCATGGGAAAACGACCCCCACATGCTCAGCCCCAGGCAGCACTCCAAACATGGATGTGGTGTGTCTGGGGCAGGGCCCCTGAAGGGTGCAGGCCCATCAGAGTCCAGGCAGGCCCAGCAGCTGAGGGGGCCGCCTGTTCTAGGCCACTGGTTCTCCGCCAGGGATAATTTCCCCCCAGGAGGCATTTAGAATGTCTGCAGACACTTGTGGTCATCACAGCTGGGAGAGGGTGCTATTGGCATCTAGTGGGTAGAGGCCAGGGATGCTGCTAGACATCTACAGTGCCCAGGACAGAGGATTATTGGCTGAAACATCAATGTGCTGAGGTGAAGGAGCCCTGCTTGTAGTTCAGCACTGGAAGGGTTAAGTGGCCGCACAGCCCGAGCTGCCTTCCTGCCTGTCTGCACCCCTGCCCGCAGTAAGGGCTGTACTAAGCTGGGCGGGAGATGGCCGCCACTGCCCAACGCCGCCGCCGTATGGTTCACATTAGCTGCGCTCTGCTTGGCAGCGTTCCCTCTGGCGGCCGGCCTTCCCTCCCTGCCCCACCACTCTCCTCCCCAACTCAAAGGAAAATACCAGGATCCACACAGAAAACCAGCTCACTCCCCTCCTGTCTTTTAGCCTAGTTTTGAATCAAACAAGCTCTTAAACTCCTGACCTTCCGCCCAGTCACCCTGGTTTGTTTCGCAGCAGCAGCTGCCACAGCAGCAGCATTGGAGGCTGCAAGGGGGTGGGCAGGGGCCTGCCCTCTCTATTACCTGGAGATTTTGCAGACTGGCACTAGCACCATGCAGGCTGGGCAGCTTCTCCCAGAGTGTCCCTAGAAATACCCTCCCCTGCACCCTAATATGCCAAAGCTGGAGCCACTCAGACCCTTTCACAACTAGGAAGGCTCCCCCACCATGAACAAGAAGAGGGTTGGGAGCCTTTAAAGCATCGGAATTATAACTTTAGATGAAACAGCTGAAGCTTGCTTTTTAACTTTTCTTTTCTAGCCAGAGGCCCCAACTACCAAGGTTGGAGCCACCAACTGCACATAAATATATGTCCTATCCCAAACTTCTCTGAGCTTCAGACACTTATGTCAGCTTGCTTCCTAGACCTTTCCAAGTGGGTTCCCCAAACGTCCCCAACTTAGTGAAGCCCAAGCCATACTCCTGGCTCTGTTCACTCTCCCCTCCAGATTGTTCTGGATTCTCTCTCACCAACGGCTCCTCCACCTGGCCTGTCACTGAAGCCAGAGATCTGGGGTCCATCGGTAATATGCCTCTCCCCTTCACTGTCCCTATATCTAGTCCATCACAAAGCCTTGTTAATTCCATCTCCTGAATGCCTTTAATGCCCATTGGATTGCTGCCAGCTTGATCCAAGCCACCTCAATCTGCCTGGACTATGGCAACAGCCTCCCCACTAGTCCCCAGAAAGGTCCTGGCTCCCCTCAAATCTGTTCTCCAAACCATCTGTCTTTCCCTCAAACACACAAATAAATTGCACACACACTACATCACCCACCCTGCAAAACCAGCTGCGTCATAAGAATAGACAGAACTTGAACTGGCCTTGCATGGTCTGGTGCCACTTACCTCTACAGCACCTCTCACCCCACATTTGTCTCTGGGCTCCAGTCCAGATGCCAAATGCCTTCCTTTTAGGTTTTCAAACACATTAGGCTCTCTCCCACCATGGGGCCTTTGCATTTGCCCAGAATCCTCTCTACCCACACCTTGCTCATCTTCTCCTAGTAAGTCTTCCTCCTCCTTCGGACCTGAGAAGCCTCCCCTGACTTCAGCCCAGGTTGGTTCCCTTGCTATCTGCCCTCAGAGAACTCTCCCCTGTCCTGGGAAGGCCCCATCTCAGGCCATATGTGCACATGTGCTCACGTGCAGAGCTGTCTGCCAGGCAGTAAGTCCAGCAGGTAGGCAAATGCGAGCACACAAATCGGGATTCACCCTAATCTACACATCCACAATGGATAGCTTCACAAACACCACAGCTGACAGCAAGCTAAGGTAGCTATGCTGCCCCAGGAGGGCAGGGGAGCCACAGCTGTCACTCACAGACAGCTCTGGCTGGCTCACTCTGTGAATCAATCACCCTCATCTAGAATCATCTCATTTAAATACTTTTAAAACACGCACACAAAAACAAAAACAAAAACAAAAAACACCCAAACTTTGAAAGGCTGGAATTTATTTATAAACAAGAACATGTTATAATGAAGCATTTTAGCAAAACTTCAAAGAAAAGCAGGCAAGTGCCTTTTTTAAATAAGGCATCTCATTGGCCCTTTCCCCATGATGATTACAAGTTGACACCTGTGAATAATTAAAGCAAGGTTTATGGTATTTTATTATTGTTTTATTTCTTAAAAGAAAGAATTATAAATACTCAGTTTAAGTAGTACATTGGCTTTACGCACACTCAGGAAACACTCAACTTTCCTTTAAAACAAACAAGAAAGTCCCAGCAGAGCCCCAGAGTGATGCCAGGGCAGTGAGGGGCCCGACACAGACTGCAGGTGTGGTCTGCCCTCCCTGAGGTGCCAGGCCAGAGGGTGAGAGGGGGCAGGCAGAGCCGCTCTGCCCAGAAGGGTCTGCTTCCTCAAGAAGAGGTTGGGAGGCCAGGCTCCCCAGTACTTGCTGTGCTTAGCCTGGATGCATGCCCTGGCCTCCAGCCCTGCTGACCTCCTGCCTGTCCCACAGCGTCTCCCCTTCCCTCCTGGTGGCAGAATGTGCCCAGCATGCCCACACTCTTCTCCCAGGCCTCTGAATGGCTGTACCCCTTCATTGCTCAAGATATTCATATCTCCACCTCCAAGAGAGCTCTCTTGGCCTACAGAACCCCTCCCATTCTCAATCGCCTCACTGTAAGGTAAATAAGGTGATTTACCAACTCATACCCCTACTGGTAGAAGGTGAACTGTAAGAACAGAAATGGGACCTGCCTTACTCACCCTCTACTCCTATGACCTAGCCTAGCATCTGGCTCATAGTAGGTGCTCAAGACTATGCGCTGAATGAATATGTTGGACACTGATGTAAAATCATTATTTTCTTTTCCTTCCCACAGTAACTCTACAAAGCAGGCTCTGTTATTAACATTTCCATGTTTTGCGGATAAGGAAGCTGAGGCTCAGAGAGGTTAAGTCACCCAGGCTGCACAGTATGTGACAAATCAGGGGCAGGACGTGAGCCAGGTTTGTCTAACTTCAGAGTCCAACCTCTGGCCCATGGTTTCCTCAAACTGCCAATAAAGGGAGTCCCTTTGGATGATTTGATGGTCACAAATGTTAATTCCTTGGTTCCTGCTGACTGGAATTCAGGGACCCGGGGTGGACCAAGAATGTTTAACAAGAATCTCAAGCAACCCGCCCTAACCCCCAGCTGAGTGTGAGAAATAATGAATTAGACCCTGCTAGGCAGCCCTGACTTCCACTGTCAAGGGCAGAGGCTGCCTACAGGATTTATTCCCACCCTGTGCAGGAGGCTGATCCTGGGACTGAGCCCAGGAGGGTGAGGAGGGCCAAGAAGGGGCCTGGGGAAAAGCTGGAGTGAAAGCACAGGGTCCTGGGACTTACAGGCTGGCAGGGCATGAGGGGGCGGAGTGGGGAGCAGCGGCACCCAGGAGCCTCGAGACCCTGTGGGCCCCTGGAGGGGCTCTCTTGCCTGATTCCAGGGTGCAGCTGTGCTTCCCCATCACAAGGCGTGGCCTACAGGACCCGACTCCAGCTGGAACATCTTCTAGACTCGGCCTTCCAAACATCCTCCCTACTGCCCTTTCAGAGATGACCACAACCACCTACGAACCACCCCACTTCTCAGACTCTCTGCAAGGAGCTCCATGTTTACCTCAGTCACGCCAGACACTCTCTCGCCTCTGGGCTTTAGCACATACTGTTCCTTCTGCTCAGAATGCCTGGGCAAAGCCCTCTGCCTTCTCTGAGACTCAGCTTCAGTCGCCTTGCCTGGGAAGCAGGGTTGGAGCCCTTCCAGTGCCCCCACCACACTCTGGAAGCCATGTTCACCCAGTGCCTTCCCCATATGAAGAAACAGCTGCCTGCCTGACCACCCCAGCCCCACTGAGGGCTCCCCCAGGGCCAGCTTGGGCTCTGATACCTGTCAGGGACTCCAGTCCCCGACATGACACGCATCAACAGTATCTGGAAAGGTTGTGGGCAGGGCTGGCTTCATGGGTGTGCAAGCTGAGGTCACACAGCCCTGCATGGCCACACTTTCATCTGAATCAGAGCTTGCTTCCAACCTAGAAAGGCAGTGGTCTTCAGACAGTCAAAGATCAGATACTCCTTTGTGGACCAGGCAGCACCCATGCTTGCATTGGGCACAACCTGGCACTGTCAATTGCCATTTACACAGCATTTTCTGCACCAAGGCCACTCCCAGCTGGGGCTCTGACACTGGCTGGGCACCCATTTCCCAGGAGAGGAAACCGCTTTGGGCCCCAGTATCGAGGTCCTGCCAGTCCTCAGGTCACTGCTAGACCCCTCGATGACATGCGCATCCTATTCCAAAGGCACCGCAGCCCACAGCTAGAGGGAGGAAATGACTGCACCCCCAGAGGCCTACAGGCATACAAGTTTCGGTAAGCCCAGCAAGCCCGCATCCATCTCACCCCTTGCTTCTGCATCTGACAATTCCACTGGCCTGAGTCACAGTTTCCCCTTGAAACTTAACTGACCACTGAAGGTAAACAAGATTGTGAAAGCAAATGGCCCTTGGGAAGAACCATTCCCACCTGAAGGCTGTTCTTACTTATTTAAGAAGGTGGCCTGGCCATACAGAGGGGCGTGTCTTGCCCCAGTCACACAGCTGGCCGTTTACGCCTGGGACCCAAGACCCTGTGTTCCTGCAGGGCACAGTGGATGGGAACCAGCCCTGGCATTCCATAAATGTTGTTTCTAATCAAATCCCTATCTTGTCCTAGAAACAATAAAACTCATTTAATTCCACCCAAAAGCACGTATAAGTTAGAGTGGTTTTCATACGACAACTTGTAGGGTGCTACAGCTGCCCTGGGAGTGTCCCAAGGCCACCCTGGGCCAGGGCCCACACCGACCTAGGCTCCCTCAACATGTGGCTTCTACAGGGGATGTCCAGAGGCCAGCCACACTCCCTACCTGCGCCACATTTGGCACCTCCACATCTGCTCCCCCAGCAACCACTGAGTGCTGCCTGACTGCCAGGGCTCCATGTAGAGGGTGCAGGGGCTGAGGCTTCCTGTGGTGACTGCGCCCACATGCGTGCGTGCTCTAGAGCAGCTTGCCCCTTTCCTCCTCCCCTTTGCTGCGACTCGGAGGAAGGCAGCATGGTCAACCCCACTGATAGACAAGGACGCTGAAGCTCAGTGTACTCAGGGAACTCACTTGAGCTCACAGGGCCAGCACATAGGTACAAACCCAAGCCCAGTTGCTCTCGAAGCCCTGCTGTCACTTCTTTGTAACACTGCCCCTCAGCTGGAAAGGGCAGGGTATGCTTGAGTGGTGGCTGCACTCAGGCTTTGGGGTGAGCAGGGGAGAGGCTGAATCCTAAGACATCCACCTGGCCTAAGAGCAGGAAGCTGCAGTTGAGGAGCCTGGTTGGGCTGGGGCAGGGCTTGATTTGTGGTCTTGGGCACTAGAGCCCCATCAAAGGGTTGGGAGGCTGCAGGTCAACCTGGGCCCAAGTGGGACTCTAGATGCTTACACCAGGCTTGAAACACACCAAGCACGACCAGACTGAGCTGGCATCTCTATAAAGGGGGCCCACCTCAGCAGTGGGGCAGCACCACTCCTGCCTGTCCCCTTCCTTAGGAAGACACCACTTGGGTTAAAGCCACCATTTCTCCCCTGCTCCAACCATGCCTGGGCCACCCAGTGCCATCCTTGCAGAAGACTGTGTGAAATGCTTAGGCCTATCAGGAGCGCAGACAGACCCACTGTCACAGGTCCAGGCCGCTCTCAGCACAAGAAGCTGGCTGTACCCTCTGCCTGGACAGCTGACTGCAGGTCAGGACTCCAGCCAGTCATCCGCTTCTGGAAGCACATGCTGGTAGCAGTTCGTCTAGCTGCAACAGATTCTCAGGGGCCTGATGGAAAAGGGCATGCCATTCACTTGGGGTTTGGGGGTTAAGAACAAGCTCCAAGCTTCCACAGGAAAAAGGCCTGCAGGGGCAGCATCCTCCAACCTGCCAGAGCTTTAGGACACTGAGCATTGATCTCTGACAACAGCACCTGCAGAGAGAAGTCTTCCTGAGTTCCCTGCCTCCTGTGAGGTCAACCTTCCATCTTTGCCTGGAGACTGTCCTTCCTCAGCTGTGCCTCCTTAGGGAGACAACAGGATATTACAACTTGGCTGCAGGTGTGATTCAAATCCTCAAGCCAGGAGAAAGGCAAGACCTCACAGAGGCTCTTGGGGTCCTGGGTGCAGGCAGGAAATGCAGAGCTCAGACCACCCCACCCCAAGTCTCTGCACTCCATGGGCCAAGTAAAAAGGCCCATTAAAGAAAAGACAAGATGCAGAGTTGTACGGGGTGGTGATAAAGACAGTGAGGCTTACGTCAAGCCCTGCTGCAAGCACGCTACGTGGCTCTTGTCAAATCCTCATGACAACCTCTGGAGGAAGCCAGGGGAGGTAACTGCCCCGTGAGTGATGGGGCAGGACTCAAACATAGTCCATCTGTGTCCAGCACCTGAGCTGTGATGGTGTGGACACTGGGAAGCACCAAGCCAGTGGATATCTCTCAGTTTTGCCTGCCTGATGTCTATTCTGCATTTCCTAGGAGTAACCCAAATTTCTTAGTGAACCATCCCTCCCACCTTGTCCCTTCCAGCTCCAGGGGTGGACATGTAACCCAGCCAGCCCAATTAGAGCACTGTACTCATCCACAGGGATGAGCTCCCGTCCAACCAGGCCAGGAGCAGCCTGTTCCTTAATTGTGCTCCTAACAGCTAGGAAAGAGATGCCATTTTGCTCTCATATCATAAATGATACTTTGGTCCAAAAGTAACAGATAGCCCTGACTGGAACCGTGTGGAGACAGAGCTCTCACAATACACGAAGTTCTGAGGCGGGGCAGACACACAGCAGCCCTCAGGTGCAGGCTCTGCTTCTGGGCAACTCTCCTGCCTCCCAGCCTCTGCAAACCTCCAGCCTGGGAGTAAGGTGGCCGTTCAGCCCCTGAGTCCAGGCGTCACATCCTTCCTCCCTTCAATGTCCAGTGAAGGAGAAAAGCTGTCTTTTCCTGTTGAGTTCCAAAAAGCAGAAAAGCTTTTCCCCAAACCCCTAGGAGATGTCCCTTCACATATCATTGGCCAGAGTCAGGTAACAAGCCGCTGCCAGGGGAGGGGTGTTCCACTGCCAGGACGGATCCTTCGATAGCGTGATGTTCAGGAGTCAACCACAAGTAGCACTGCATCTTGGATTTGAAGGAGAAAATGGAAAGCCAGAGCTGTGGGGATTATGCCAGGGAAGGTGCCACCTGAGTGTGTGGCCCACACACGACAGGGCAGAGCCAGTTCTGGAGCCAGCCAGCACTCCTGATGACATCCAGACGTCTCCAGCCCTGAGCCTATCTGTTTCCTATCCTGCTTAAGGCAATTGAAGTTGGGTTTCTGTCCTTTGAAACCAGAGTACTGCCTGATACACAGAGAGCAGTGGGAGGTCTTATGAGGCTTTAAGACAAGAAACTGAGGCTGGAGAGGTGATAATGAAGAGCTATGCTCTGCCTTCCGTGCCATGCACTTTAGATTTTATCCTGGAGACAATGAGGACCCACAGACAGATGAGCAGGACAGCAATAAGGCTTTTCTGTCAGCAGGGCTGGGCTGGACTCAAGAAGAAGACCTGGGAGGCAAGGGGAGGAGCAGCATGCCACAGAAGCGGCCCTGCAGGGCCCGGGAGTTTGAACCTGAGCAGTGGCCATGGTGCTGCAGAGGAAGGGCCTGATCTGCGAGGTCCCTCCTGAGGGCGACAACCAAGGGTGGGCTGATCTGCTCAAAGGGCCTAGCATGGCTTCCTCTGGCTTTCCCAAAACCTTCCTGGTTTCCTTCTCTGCCTTCTCTCCTTCCCAGGGAGCTCCAACCCTGTGCATCTGGTGCACCACACATGGGCACAGAGAGCAGAATCCCGTAAGCTTCCACTGCCAAAAGCCAGACAACCATGAAACATCAAATGCACAGAAACTGCCTTCCTTTATGTATCTTCTGGAACAGAAAATAGTTCAGGATGAAGGTCACTCAATATTTTCTAGATAAAAACACATGGCAGCAGAGGGAGCTCAGCCTTGAGAGCCGATATCCACAGGTGTTGGAAAGCCAGCTCTGCAGCCTCGGGCACCTGATTCACAGTCACTGCTCCCAGAATGAGGCAGCACAGGGACACAGGGAGCATCTCCACTGCTGCTTACTGATGGAGCATCAGGATGCAGCCTTGAAGACAGGGGCACAGCCCCAGCAGGAAGTGGGGGGCTGCCCAGCTCTGGGTTTCTGTAAATGGCCCCAGGGTGGCAGTGACTCCAAACACAGCCCTCTCAGGTCACTCATTACCTATTTCCAATCAAAATCCTACTGAAAAACAACTTGTTTATTTCCTTTATTGGCTTTTTCCTATTATTCCTTTCACCAAATATTTTCTGGGCCGAGCCCAGGATGGATGCCGAGAATACAAAGATGGAGGAGACTCAGCTTCTGCCCCCAGGGAGACCAGGGTCCACAGGAGATGCAGGCACAAAGACAAATACAAGCAGCAGGCAGCACAGAGGACGGGGCACACCTCTACCCAAAGGATGTGAGCCCTGAGCTGTGCTGGAAAGTGAGCATACTGCAGGTAGGGGAAAGCCCGGAAGGGCTCCAAGGAGAGAAGCAATGCAGCATTCCTCTGGGAAGGGGAGTGCACAGCGTTGCTGGAGGTGGGGGAAGGGCAGATCTGGAAGAGTCAAGACTGCAGGCTTGTTTGGGCAAGAAAATGGATTCTTTCCAGATGTCATAATCTTATCTCACCCTTGTGATTAGCTTCAAAGAGCAGAGGCAAAGGTAAAAGTAAAAACACCTACCAGTATTTAAGGTTTTCTTTTCCCTTTCTGGGGGGTTTTCAATGAAGAAGAAAATCAATCTGAATATAGACTTGATTTGGGAGGACTATGTTATCAAATTCTGAACTCTTCCCTAAAAGCTTTATCAACTAAATAGGTATCCAAATATATCTAATAATGTTTGTCATCATTATCAGAACATTGATTGGATTCATAGTGGACCATAGTGGGGTCCACATAGTGGGGTCCGCAAAGCAAATTTGCATTTCAATAACTCACTTAGTAGCCCTGAACAGGACCTTACACCCAGGAAGGTGCCCTGACACTTACTACTTCCGGAACCCACAACAAAAATTCTACATGAGAATAATATCAAATGGCAACAATAAACATGACAAGAGTATCAGCTAAAGCTTGTATCTCCTAGATGCCAGGAACCTTATATACATTATCCCTAGTCCACACCACACCACCCTGACCCATCTTCCAGAGGTCCTGGACAGAGCCAAGCACACAGGGGTCATCCCAAGTTTGAGCTGAACCAGTGAAACACGAAGAGGTTGACTGACTTGCCTGTGGACACAGAGCTGGTACATGCCTGCCTTGAGTCCCTCTGCACTCCCAGCCCCTGCTCTCTTTCCCCATGGTCTGTGGCTTCAACAGTTTCTGATGTTACAACCCTGATAGCCAATCATCACCAGAAACATCACTAGCCTGAACCCCGAAGATCAAATCTTATCAGAGGGATTTCTCAGGCTGAAGATCGAGAGAGTCAAAATGCCTCAGCAGAAAGCTGGTGATTCTTAGGATAAGTGGCCTTTAAACTGTTCTAGGGACTAAATGGAATTTTTTTCTCCTTCACTCCCTGTTCCCCAACATTTTCTTGCTCAGCTAATTGGCCCCAGCTGGGAACAGACCTGGGCAACAGAAACGGGGGCCAGGGTATGGCAGGCTCCGCAGGCCAGCCCAGACTGGGAGGGGAATGTGACTGTTTATTTGGAATGGCTGTGCCCTGCCTCCAAGGGAGTTCAAGCGGTCAGATGTGTCCAAGTCTATTAGTGAAATCTGACAGGGATGTCACTGTGTTTGGAAAGAGGGCCATGGCCCCCCATGTCCCGGTGCCCAATAGGCACTGGCCACCAATCATGGCTGGAAGAGGGCAGGGGTGAGAGGAGGTCAGGAGTTCTGAACCTCAGCCTCTGCTGCAATGGGCTCTCGTACATGCCGCAGCCCAGGCAAGGCCTCAGCAAAGCACAGCAGCATGGCCACAGAACTGCCATGGGGCCTGCAGGCCCTGCCCTGGAGTAGAGGCACCACTACCAGCCCAGGCATCTCCTCTGGGGCTCCCGTGACAGCAGGGCACATGGCCAGGGCTGGGTCTTTGGAGCTGGATGAATGACTTCAAGTCCCAGCTCTGCTGTCCAGTTGCTTAAGTTTCCCGGGTCTAGGTTCTCTCACTTGTGGGATGGGCATGCCAGGAAAGAAAGGAACGGGCAGTGCTGGCCATCAGTAGGCAATGGTTCTGACATGTTGCCCCCAGAAGCCCAAGATGGTGAGCAGGGGCAGCGATTCCCTGCGAGGAAGCCAAAGCTCAGAGTTAAGGGACCTGACAGGATCAGAAAGAACTTAAGGCTTTTTCTGATTTCAGTCCTTTCCATGCAAAATTCATAAGTTTCTTAGGGCTGCCATAACAAATTACCACAAATTTGATATCTTAAAACAACAAAATATTTCTTCTCTCACAGTTCTGGAGCCAGAAGTCCAAATCGACGTGTCAGCAGGGATGGTTCCCATGGAGGCACCGAGGCAGACTCATCTCCATGCCTCTCTCCTGGCTTCTGGGGGCTTCCGGCAACCATGGGCACCCCTTGGCTTGGAACAACAGAGCTCCAATCTCTGCCTTAGTCTTTATATGGACTTCTCTCTGTGACTCTCCGTGTCTTCTCCTTGTCTGTCTCTTATAAGGACACTGGTCATTGGACCTAAGGCCCACCCTAATCCAGGATGATTTCTTCTTAAGATCCTTACCTTAATTACATCTGCAAGACCCTTATTCCAAAATGGTCATATTCTGAGGTTCCGGTAGACATATTTTGGGGGACCATAATTTAACCTACTATAGTCTACCCTCTGGTACCCAAAATTTACATCCATCCCACATGCAAAATACATTCACCTCTTCAAACATCCCCCAAACTCTCAGTCCATTAGGCCATTAACTCTAAGTCCAAAATCTCATCTAAATTATCATCAGCTCAAAAAGTTCCTAATGTCATCATGTAAGTCACCTAATCAGGTAGGGGTGAGACTCTAGATATGGTCTATCCTGGGGCAAAATGCCTCTCCATCTGTGGACCTAGAAAACAATTTACCTACTTCTAACATTCCAAAAGGGAGACGGTGGAAAAAATACAAGGTTCATTGGTCCCAAGCAAGTTTAAAACACAGCAGGGCAAATTCCATGAGGTTTCAATACCTGAGACTGACCTCTGTGGCTACTCCCCTAGCCTCACTTCTGTTTCCAGAGCCCTGCTCTCAGAGTCATTCTTCCTTTTTTAGTTTTTGAAGGATAACATGTGTTTGTAGCTGAGTTGTTCTATCAGCCTGTTTCTTGTCTGTAGAATCCCAGAAGTCTGACAGCTTTTTATTCATTTGTCAAGTCTCTCTCCCTTTCAGTCCAGTGTTCTTGCTGGTATAACATTCTCAAAACCCTTGAGGGTCTCTTATATACATCAAGGGGTCCATGCCATTAGCCAAGACGGCTCTCCGCATAACTTTGCTATAGAAGTCCATCTCTATTTCTGGCTGCTGCTAAGTTGCTTGGATCTGTGAGTCACACACCTCCTCTCTTCAACAGAAGGTTGTCCAGGCTCACCTTTGGCCTTCTCTCCAAGGTATGCTTTCTCAGCAGTGAATTTCCTAATCTTAACATCCTTTGCAATCTAGAGGGACTGAGAACCTCCCAAATCATCAAGCGCTGATTTCTGTTTGCTAACAGTTCCTTCCTCAATTCATTCCTTTTCCCTCATGTTTTACTATAAGCATCAATGGAGAAACAAGGCAGCATCTTTCACAGTTTGCTTAGAAATCTCCTTAACCAAATGTCTCAGTACATTGCTTACAAGTTCTGCTTTTCCTGACTAGTAAATTAGATCATCAGGCAGTAGACACCAAAAGTGTTAAAAAGTAGGCTGGGGAAAAACAGGTGCACAAAAGTAAAAGGAGAATTAAATTTGTATCTGCCAAGCACCTGCCATGTGCCCAAGTACTAAAGATCAGTAACTGGCATCCTGATAGGCAAGTTCCACCTTTATAAGGACAAAGAGGGTGGCCAAAAAGCTCAGAACAGGACCCCACTCGAACATCCCTGCCTCCTTACCACTACTGACTTCTCTGCCTCAGCCCTTCTCCATGCCCTCAGCCCTAACATTGCAGCCACTGACTCTTATCAAAAACCTTTTTCTCCCTCTAGAACCTCAGGTACCCCCAATTCAAAGTCTACCCCACCCCCCAGAGAGCCCTCTTTTGACACCTCTTTCATACTCCCAGGTCCTCTCCCAAGCTGCAAGCATGTCTTCTCCCAGAGTGGAAGGGATGCCAGGTCAGAGTGGCCCCCAGAGGTCTGACTTAGGAAGCACAGAGACTGGAAAGAAATTTAGTACTGATTCATTTTCTGTTCTAGCAAAGAATCTGCAAACAGTCACCAAAGTAATCTTAATTTTGTTAAATATAAACTGAATCTACTTTTACACTTTTGTGCTTTATTTTTGAAGATTTGCACTTTTAGTCCCTGGCTTAAACTAGATTTTATTCAAGTGGTCTTTTTCTGGGACCAATGGTCTTCAGAGGAGGACATGACAGCAGGTAGAGGAGGGGACTGTGACTCACAGTGTCTGGGGGACATCCTAACACCCAGCTCTGGCCAGGTTCCAGGGCTCCTTGGATATGGTGGGGCCCTGCCATTCGACTCCTCCCACTAGATCCAAGGAGCTCTGGAACCTGGCCAGAGCCAAGTCCTTTCTTTTGTTTTGTCCTTTCTGGTCAGGAGACTCTTCCCTAATACCCCTGGCCCCTGCAGAAGGAAGTAATAGACACACTGCTGTAAAATGAGCTGGGGGGTTGAAACCTCAGGTTGCCTTCATTTGGGGGAACCCTGTTCATGCCTGCCCTCCATGAAATGCCCCTTCCCTATATCCAACCATGCTGCTCTAGATGAGGGATGGCACACGCAAGACATGGGTGCCAGTAGGGACCCTCTCCACTTCCCTCACTCAGGCCAGGTGCTGCTATCATGGCCCTCTCACCCAGCGGGTGATGTGGTTCATTTTATGTGTCAACTTAGCTGGGCCACAGTGCTCCAACTTTATTCTGAGTGTTTCTGTGAAGGTGTTTTCAGATGAGATTAACATTTAAATTGGTGGATGTTGAGTAAAGCAGATGACCCCTATAATGTAGGTGGGCTTCATCCAATCAGTTGAAGGCCTTAAGAACAAAAGGATTAACCTCCTCAGAGAAGAGGGGATTCTGCCAGCAAATGGCCTTCAAGCTGCAGCTCCTCCCTAGGCCTCAATCCTGCCAGCCTACCCTGTAGATTTTGGACTTGCCAGGTTTTATAATAGTATAAGCAAATTCCTTAAAAAACATATCTATTTATCTATCTGCATCTAATACTAGGTGCATTAGTTGGTGTTCTCCAGCAAAACAAAACTAATAGGAGATACAGATATCTACATATTTACATCTATGTATCTTTACCTATGTATCTATAGATACCTAGATATCTGTATCTCCCATTGGTTCTGTTTCTCCGGAGAACCTTAACCAACACACCTAGTGAGCCAGACAACCTTAAAATGCCTCAATACAGCCTCCAGGTAGCCATTCCCAATTAACATGCAAATTGAAATCATGCACATCCAAGCCTCTCTAGCAGCTAGCTGAGTCCACAGGGCTGAGCACCTCCACTTCCCTGCACTGTAGGCTCCTTCAAGGATTAGAGAACTGCCCTGGACCCCAGCATTCCAGGCAAGGTCTCACATGAATTCTAAGTAGCATGTGTTCCCTACCTTTTATTCTTGTTGAAGGGGAGGGCAGTCAATGAGGCTGTAAGTTTCTCTTGTCGCATAAAGTAAAACTATTAAAAATGCCTTCTAAATAAGGGGAATATCAAGGCACTATCTTTTAAATCAGAGCCAGGCCATCATAGTAGAAGGAGGGGTGATGGGAAGGCACCAACCACTCATCCTTCTCACAGGTCTTCAGAAGAATAATGCGGCATCTGTCGATGGCCACCAGGAGTGCAAAACCAACCTGGATTTCTTCCAGATTCTGTGATTCTGAGCATCATAAGATTCACGTCATGTTTAATTTGAAATTACTGTGGTTAAGAAAAAGGTACCCAGAAATAACTCCACACATACTTGCCACCCTGACGTACAGCCAGTGTCCAGAAAGGGAGGTTTCCCCTCCAGCAGCCCCACTTGTTAACCATGTGATCTCAAGCCCACCTCACCTTCTGGAGCCTCAGTTTCTTTATCTACACAGAAGACCTACTTGGGAACACCTCCTTGAGGCACATCATAGGCCTCCAATAAACAGGCGCTATGAGAATTAGGGAGAGCAGCAGTCCTAGAATCTGAGGTGACAGACTTGGAGCCGGGCGGGGCCAGGCAGCCAGAGGGGAGGTGGGGCGGAGCAGGCAGTGGGAGTCCCAGGGCAGGCACAGCAGCAGGCTCAGCAGCTGAACAGACAAAGGGACAGTCCCCCTCCCTTGCTGCCAGCGAGGAGGCCAGAAGGGAAGACAAGGTAAGACTGACCTTGAGGGCAGGGATCTCCACACTGTCACCGAGGCTGATGGAGCCTGAAAGGATGGTCCCTGTCATCACAGTGCCTTGGCCTTTGATGGAGAAACAGTGGTCCACAGACATGAGGAACGGTCCCGAGGGGTCTCTCGTTGGGATGGAAATCTGGGACGTCAGGAGCTAGAAAAGAGAAACTGGTGCCACAGTCCGTGGGGAGAGGAGCCAGATGGGGCAGGGCAGAGGAAGGCAGAGAATGTGGCTGACCAGCAGTTCATCAAGGCTGCCAAGGTGAACTCAGCTCAGAGGTCCATGCCCTGGCAAGGTGGACAGGAGATCAAAACCACCTAACTCCCTGACTGCATTCCAAGCTTCTGCCATGCTCTCAGCTCTTTCCGCTCAGTCTGAAGGAAAGGGCACCTGGAGAAGCCTCATCTGTCTTCTCCCGTGGGACTGCTACAATGGTCTGTCCTGCCAGGCCCTCCATGCTGCAGCAGAGTAGCCACTAAAGGACACCCTGTCGCATTGCTCCCTGGCCTCATGCATTTCCCCAGCCTCCTGATGCCTTCAGAATTTAAAACTCCTCATCATCTAGCCCCTAGGTACCTTTTAGGCCTCATCTTCCGCCACTCCCTGACGTATGCCAGAAGCCAGCCGCCAGCAGGCCTAGAGTTTTACCAGCTGGCTGAGCCTCGCCTGTACTGCAGCAATACCTCCTCTGGACAGGCTTCTCTGTATGGCCACGTTTCCCCTGCCCCCATCACTATAGCTAACACTCTCCTGTGATCATCTCTTTATTATCTCCCCCATAGGGCTGTGAGAGCCAGGTATCTCCAGTAGCTGGCATCATGCCTGAGAGAATGACAAGTGAAAGAAGAAGAAACAAGGGGATGTGGGGAGAGGGAGGAGGAAAGGATTGTTCCCAGGGTCCTTCCTTCTCTGCGGACTCCACACGCCTCAGCCTCACCAGCCGATTCTCCTCATGCCACCTGTGTGCCGGGAGATGCTGTCAGGGCTCATCACCAATAAACAAATGAAAACAAAGACTAGGATTCCTTGTGTTTGCTACTTTTTCACTTCGTAAGGGAACAGGCTGTCAAAAAAGTATTCAGTGGTGAATGTTCCAAAGTCTTAGTCTTGTGATAACAATTCTTTTGGAAAAACACTAGAGATTCAAACAAAACAGGCTTGGTCTGAGATTTATGTAGGGGCTTCTTAAAGGAATATACAAACATCTTTCAAAGCAGCATTTTTGAGGATTTCGCTTTAACAAAAACAACTATCCCAGGCTCCCAGACAAGTGCTCTCAGGAGCCTGATGAAAAAGTAACAAAAGCCTCACCCAGAAAACATTTGTTTTGCTAAGCTGACAAGATCAGCACGTGTAAATCACAGAAATGGTGGCAGTGCATGTACGTGGTCACATCTCATCTTGGCTCTGCGGAGCCAGGTGCAGGGGGGCCGTGAAGCTGACCCCAGCGATCAACCTGGGTCTGAATCCCAGCTCCACCGTGTAACTCGCTGCCAGACATGGGTCAAGTTATTTAACATCTTTGAATCTCAGACTCTTCGTTGGTATATGGGGATAAATAATTTCAGCCTCCCTGAGTTTTTGTGAATGTCAATGATCCTGTATGTAAAGAACTTAGTACAGTGCCTGGCCTGTAAACATCAACATCACTGTAACAGTAAGCACTGACATGGCACTGTACCGAGCACATTATACACATTAACTCATTTAACCCTCACAACTCCACGAGGTATGTGCTATTATCTTCCAAGTGAAGGAACTGAGGCAAGAAAGAGTAGATCATTTGCCTGAGGTCAGAGAGAGTGGTGGTGGAGCTAGCCCCTGAACCACAGTCCAGCCCCAGAGCCATGCACGTTGCTACTCCACCCGGCTGAACTGTCCTGAGCACTCTGTGGAGGAACTCTGTGGCTCCATTCTCACTGCTACCTTCCTTAGTACCAGCACCATCAGCACCCACACACACCCTTCCTGATGGATGACTGGGCTCCCTCCCTGACTACCAGCACAAGTTAGGAAGAACAACCTGGGCCTCAGCCCCACAGCTTCCGAAGATAAGCCTCCCATCTTTGGTGGAGGTGCCCAGGATGGAAGCTGCATTGCCCCTGCTGTTGGGCTCATGTCTTTCACCCCTGCCTCACTGGCCCCCAGCCCAGGTGGGGTACTGGAGGAGCTGAGACAGTCTGAAGGACTGGAATGGATGTCACGGTCCCAGGGTTCCAGATGGGTGGGAGCTGCTTTGTCTGAGTGTAGGTATGACAAGAGAAAGGAGAAAGTGAGGCACAGCAAGGTGTGACGAGCTCTGCAGAGTTTATGGCTGGAGGGTGAATCATGGGCTTCAGTGAACCTTAGGAGTCCTAGTTTGGGTCTACCTTTTTGAGGGAGGTGGGGGAGTTGTGCTAAGGTGTTAACAGGGAGGTTAATGGAACCAACTGAGTCCTCTTGCTAGGGCTGCCTCTCTTTCTCTCTCAGGGGAGAGAGGGACACAAAGGGGCTGGCCTGAGCAGCGCTGGGGCTAAAGGGCAACCTGGATTCAAGATGACAGTACCTCAATGAGCTCTGGAATGCCCTGTGGAGCTTCAGTTTCGGGGGCCTCTGGTCCCCCCGGCTTGGCCGCCACGGGTATAATCGGTGCACCTCGGAACCTGAAATGGAAAATAAGTCCCATCACAGTTACAGAGATCAGCAACATGGACACAAAGCACGTCCATGAAGCACCTGGCACAGTACCAAGTGCAGTGAGCATCCTCTTCTCTCCCCACATCAACCAAGCCTAGAAGACAGCACCACTGTACTAGCACATGGCACATGATGCAATGGAGGCCCCAAATTTCCCCGTCTGGGGGAAATGTCCCTGCATTGGACATCAGAATTTTAAAGGGCTCTCTTAGATATTAACCTCCACTTTCAGAGCACTCCCTAAGGAGGCAGCAGTGATCCTGGCCCCTAGGCTTCTGAATAAAAGACCTCCTTGAAGAAGACCAATAAATACATCTCAGCCTTCTGAAGAGATGCAAGAAATAATAGTGACCAAAAAGTATCTGCAGATGTACCTGGAAGCACGCCTCTACAATCTCAGTTTCTAATGCAGAGCATTCTTGCCTAAACTCTACTAGCAAAGCCCCCGCATCTTTAAGAAGACATACTTATTCTGTGTGGACATTTATCTTTCCCATTTAAAAAAAGGAACATTGTTAGGGCAAAAAAAAAAAAAAAAAAAAGAGGGAAAGAGAAAATAAATAACCCATAATCCCATCATTTGGTGTATTTTCTTCCAACCATGGTTTTCCCATGCTTTGCCAAGGGATTCTTTTTTTCAGATTTTGGTTGTAGTATGTATACGATTTCATATCCTGCTAATTTATTTACCATTATATCACAAAGAACTTTCTGTTGAATGACAGCAACAACAATAACAACTTACATGGCTGAGCCAAGCCTATAATGTGAGGTTTAAATGAAAGCATCTACAACACATGATGGAGTTGTTGCCATCTTATAGATGAGAAAATGAGGCTTAGGGAGTCTAACTGATTTGCTCCAAGTTGTTGGCTATAAACCTTAGAGCCACATTTGAACCCAGCCCATCTGAGTCTGAAGCCAGGGCTCTCAGTCTCTTTGTCACACTTCTCTCCACCTGGGCCTGTTCTTTCATTGTTGACACCTGGACAATGGTACGACCCAGAATTTACATGCTTGTACATGCTTTCCTCCATTACTTATTTGTGATATTTCAAATTTTTCACTATTATAAATTACACTGTGATAAACATGTCAGCGGGCATGAATGTTTTGTTTTTTTTTTTTGCCTTGGCTGTGGGATGAATTCGTGGGGTACACATCTAAGAGTGAATACTCACTAATAGATCAGCAAAATGATACAGCAAGGACATCTGAAAAGCCCTCTTCCATGGAAACAAAGAACACTGGCAAAAATGATCAGAATCAACTTGTTCAGAACTGTGGAAATTAACCAAAGGCTTGAGCAATCTGTGGAGTGTTTATTCAAGAAGAGTCTCAGTAAAACCAAGTGAGCTTTTGATGTTTTAACTTGCCCTCTTCCTATGCTAACTCTGCAGCTGTCCTGAAAACCAATCATGGTGAAAACCAGTAGCCTGCCAGGCACTGAAAGGGGCAGAATGGGTTTGAGCTCCTTCAAAGCCCTTCTTCCAGAGAACGATCATGATTTTCCAGTCTGGTGGCTCCCTGGAAGGCCCTACTCACAATGCTATATTTATTTGACCTGCCTTGGAGCTTGCTTAGTGCAAATAGCCTTTTCCCTGGGGGAGTTTGTTGAAAATAATCAGAGGCAATTGTTTAACATCACAGCTGCCTGAGGGAAGCTGTGATATTTAATAGCCAAAAACTTCTCAAATTTCATGGAAAATATCTACACTTTCAAGAATCTCAATAAACTCTAAATAGGATAAACTCAAAGACACCCACACCTGGCACATTACAATCTAACTGTTGAAGGCCAAAGACAAAGAGAATCTTGAAGCCATCAAGAAAGAAGCGACTGAACTCATGTACAAGGAATCCATAATAAGATTTGCAGCTGGTTTCTCAGGAGAAATCGTGGAGGCCAGAAGGTATCAGGATAATATATTCAAAGAAGTGAAAGTTAAAAATAAAAATAAAAAAATCTACCAACCAAGAATTTTATATGCAGTAAAAAATGTTACAAAAATGAAGGGAAACATGGGATCACCACATGATCCAGCTATTCCACTCCTAGATATATATCCAAAAAGAACAGAAAACAAATACTCAAAGAAGTACATATCCATACATGTCCAGAGTAGCACTATTCACAATAGCCAAAAAGTAGAAACATCTCAAATGTCTATCAATAGATGAATGGATACACAAACTATGTTGTGTATATATACACAACAGAATATTATTCTGTTGTGACATAAAAAGACATGACATAAAAAGACATGAAGCATCAATACATACTTCAGTGTGGATGAACCACAAAAACACTGTGCTAGGTGAAAGAAGTCAGACACAAAAGGTTGCATATTGTGCAATTCCATTTATATGAAATACCAGAATAGGTAAGTCCATAAAACAGAAAGTAGATTAGTAGTTCCCAGGCTGGTGGGGCACAGAGAATGAGGAGCAAAGGGCTTAATGAATACAATTTCCTGTTGGGGTAATGAAAATGTTCTGGAATTAGATAGTGGTGATGGCTGTACAATTCTTTCCACATTGAAAGTATGAATTTCATAGTATGTGAATTCTATCTCAATTACAGAGAAAATAGATTGAAAGGTATGCTACCTTTTCCACTACCACAATGGACATCTAAGATGCCTATTTCACTGCACACATAACAAAATAGTCTTTTAAAAATTATTTTTAATATATACTTCATTTTAATTTGTATTGCATTGCCTTAATAAGTAAGCCATACAATATTGAACCACTTCCAATTGTTTGTATACCCAATGTATTTTCAGGAGACATTTCTGTAGCACTTCTAGTTCTGGAGTTTGTTTCCGCCAGGAAGAGCCACCCTTACCTTCCTGACACTGAGGCTTGCTCTAAGTGCTTCTCTGTATATAGTCTAGCATGCAACACAGTGGGAGTGGCAGAAAGAGACAGGACCTTTTACCGAGCACCAATGGTGCAAGCAATTGTGCTAGAAGCTTTCCAATCCCCATCTTCTCATCACAATCCTGAAAGGTGGGTATTATTCTTCCTCCCCCTATTTCATAGAAGAGGGTCCTAAAAGTTTGGCCAGCTTTGGTAGCTTGTTCCAGGCCACAGGCTAATGAGTGGTGGGGCTGTGATTTAAAGCCAACTCTGAGTTTACTTTAAACCTGAGACTATCATGAGAACAATCCTCCATCAGCCTAGGTTGGAGGCAGGGGCATGTGTCCCTTCTCAAATCCATATGAGAATTTGGAAAGCAGCTGATCTTCAAGGATCAGGGAACATAAATTTAAGTCCTGTAGCCAGATTAATAAAACCCTTGCCCTTAATTACATACATTAAATATATGTAATTTTAGTTCTCAAACCAACGAAAAAACGATATGATAGCTATAATTATAGTACCCAATACTATGACAGTTTGCTATCACTTTCAAATTGCAGACATAAATTTATTGAATTCTTAACAACCCTCTAAGGTAGGAAGAACTTCTGTCATCATTCCCATATTCAGAGTCACACATTCATTCTCCAAATATTGGTGAAGCACCCACCATGACACAGCACCTGGCTAGATGCTTTCACATGACTCCATTTAATCCTCACAGCAATGATGTCAGGTATTATATTATCATTTTAGAGATGAGGAAACTGAGGCACAGAGAGGTCAAATGATTGCTAAAGGGTCGCAGGTGAAGCAAATAGCAGAAGCAAGGAGGAATCCAGAGCTCAGCACTCTGGTCCCAAAAGCCCTATTCCAGAGCCCTGTCCTTCCCACGGTGCTGGGATCCCCAGAATGACCTCCAGCATCCACTCCCCAGGGACACTGACCTGGAAGATGGCATCAATGGTCTTTCAAAACACAAAAGCAGAAGATTGAGCCCAGTGCCAGCCTGGGCACAAAGAGGGGATGACAAAACATCAAGGTCGCTCTGCTCCCTCCCTTCCTCCTCCTCTCTCAGGGTTGACCTGCACATAGACCAATTGTCCCACATCCTCTTCACAAGCTTTGTCAAATTTGTGTGCCACCTAAGCTATTCTTTGCTCATTTATTTTCCTTAAAAGAATTAATGTTCTTACTTAAATATATTTATTTTAAAACGCAATTTCATGCCACTATCTAAATGGAAAACCACCACATTCCACAAATAAAAGGTAGAGTAGAAGCCCTCCCACCACTGGTCACTTTAAGGACATCCATGAGGCAACGCTCTGCACTCCCTCTGCAAAACCTGCTCCTGGCTCCTAGCATGCCAAACCTCCATGCTGGGGGGGGACAGCTTGACGCGCACAGGCCACGCTCAAGAGGTGAGTACTTCCTGCACTTTTGCCTCCTGACCTTTATGCTGAACCTGGTTATGCTGTAAAGTTGGTAATGCCCGTTATAAGCTTCACTGTAACAACATAATTTAATTTAGTATTATGAAACAACAGTGTGAAAATAGCTGTTTCTATGAAAACTAAATTGAATGCTCTGGAAAGGTGTGATAAAGACAAATCTCCTTAAAATCTGGTGTTAAACTAGGTGTGGATAAGAAAACCATAAAAGACCTGCAGGGAGGTTGTGTGAAAACAGAAAAATCCTGTACTCAGACTTGCTTCACTGAAATTGTGGGCAGTGCACTGCATTCGGGAGTGGTTTATAGATGAAAGGTGACTTGGAGCTCTAGTTAGTGGGCTCATCCTGGAAGAAAAGACGAGCTGGGCAGAACATATCCCAGCAAGTGGCAGGTGGAACAAAGCCGTGGAGCCCCTCTGGAGAGCATCTGAGCAAAGAGAAAGAAACTGCTGTTCAAATACTCACAACAGAATTAAAGTCAGTCACTGAGGCTTTCTCTGGGAAATCTTACTAGAGAGCACCTCCACAACACTGAGAAAACCGCAAAAACTTAGAAGATGTGACCAAGAGAAACAATCATATGCAAAGAAAAGTATGCCACACTTGGATAGAAAAAGCCAGAATGATCACAGTTGCTGCCCACAGTGATGCAACTGGAGCCTACACGCTACAACTTTTCCTTATTGCCAAATCAGCAAACTCTAGAGCTTTCAAAAACATAAATTCTGGGCCAGGCATGGTGGCTCACACCTGTAATACCAGCACTTTGGGAGGCAGAGGCAGGAGGATCACTTGAGGCCAGGAGTTCTATACCAGCCTGGGCAACACAGAGAGAACCCATCTATAAAACAAGTGTTAAAAATTAGCCAGATGTGGTAGCACATGCCTGTAGTCCCAGCTTCTTAAGAGGCTGAAGCAGAAGGATTGCTTGAGCCCAGGAGTTCAAGGTTATAGTGAGATCCAGACTGGGCAACAAAGTGAGACTCTGTCTCAAAAATACATACATACATACTGACCAAGAAGAACATACAGAATATAGCTTACTTAACTGTATTCAGACCAAATGAATTAAAGATAACATATAGATTATAAGTGATCATGCATGGAAAACTGAAATTATAAATGACACAAAAACCAAACATTCTTCAAAAGCACAGCCTGAAGAAGTGGAGTCAGGCCCGAATTCAGAACTCAAATCCACATGCAGCCAAGAAGCCCCAGACCAGCCTGGCCCGGCTGCCAGTGTCTTGGTGCTGATGAGGAAAGGGAGGCATGATGCTGCGAATGTTGTATTTCTTCTGTAACAGCTTTTATTGTTGATTTTATTAAATAAATATGCACGTATATGTTTTAAGTTAAAATATTATGTTTAAGGCATGAATGTGTCATTTTTTATGATTCTCTGCTTCAAGGGACTTTTTTGATTAACCAACCACAGTCCAATCTCAGGGGACAAGAAATCTTCTACTACTGTAGCTACAAAAATAAACACAAAGAAAACAAAATAGAGCTATTAAATTCTAGCTAGATACTATTACCTGCTGAAGGCACTGAGCCTGGTTAAAAAGTTAGGGAAATCTTTAAGACACAACAGTACCAATTTGAGACATTTTTTCTGACTTAATAAAAGAGATTTAAAGATAACTGAAGAAGGTTAACTTTCATTGCAATTTTGCCACATCCAAGCACAGTCCCAGATGGATCTTGTGTGACATGTGGTGCACGTCCCTCACTCTGAATAATACTGCCTCCATCTTCCTCAGACCCTAGGCCATCCCCTCACATTCCCCCACTATAGCCCCAAACAGAAGCCAGGCGAAGGATCCAGCCCAAGAAGAGGCACCTGAAGGGAAGAGCCCAAGCTTGCTGCCAGGTCTATGGGGGCCTTCCAGGAACCCATGCTGATACCCCAGCCCCGGCCCCGCTCCCCAGCCCCTCCAAGCTCTTCCCTGGACTCACATCCAGAGACTCCTACAGCCCCAGATTTCTCTCCTCTTGGGACAAAAGCCCTCTTGCTTGACACCCCCACCCTGCCACTTTCAATCAACATCCAATTTCTCCTTCTTCTCATATTTCAAAACAAATCCCACTTCTGTTTACCCATCAGAGCTTATGGCTGATTTTCTTACAAGGTCACTTCTGTCTCCTTCCCTTTTAAGTGCAGGACATTTACTAAGTACTTCCTCTGCGCCAGTCTCCACGGAACGTGCACAATGAATACACAAAGGGCTCCCAAGAGCAATGGGGGTGAGGGGCTGGGGCACCAGACCAGGGTGCCAATTCCATGTGACACTAAGAGGAACGGGGGCCAGGGTTCGGGGAAGCATGGCAGAGAAAGAAGTTCCTGAAGGTCAAGAGCAGCTCCCAGTGGTCAACTCAGTGCTCTTCCCTTGCAATCGCTTTCCTCTGTGGCATCTGACCAGGTGACTGTCCAGCAGTGGCATCCTTCCCTCCTCCCTGACAACCCCATACCTTTATTTCCATGGCCCTTGACTATCCTTCACGTCCCCGAGAGGCCCTTCTTCATCACTCATGCGCCCACTGCAGGCCTCCCCAAAGAGTGGCCAGAGAGGCCAACTCTTCCCCTGCATACTGACCATGAGGGCCACAGCCCCCTTGTGGGCCGCTCCCAAACCGCATCCCCAGCCAAGCCCCATTCCCAGCACTCTAGTTCTACCCTGCCATCTGCCATCAGGCTGCCTCCTGGCCTCTAATTCCTGGCCTCTGATATGGGATGGCATTGCCCTGGCCTCTGAATTAGTCCTCTCTGACTGCATGGTCACTGATGTCTCTCATCAGTCACTGCATCCAATTGGTTCTCCTCTTAGGATCTTGCTCCAATCCATCCTGATTTTCATTCTTAATGGCTTCCACTCTGGGTCAGGCTCTTCTCACCCCAGGCCTCCCAACTGCTCTCCAAAGTGCATGCACAGACCACAGCTGTGAGAACCTTCCAGCAGCACCACTCTGAGGTGCTGGCCCTCTCCCCTCCCCACTCTCAGGACTCTGTGACTGTCCTGGGATGAAGTCCTGGCCCAGGGTGGTACACAAGGCCCTCTGGGATCTGCTCCAGTCTCCCCACACTGATTCATCTCAGCAAAAGCCCTGGGTATCTGCATTTTTAAAACCCAAGCTCACACTGTTGCCCTCACCTCCTTCCCCTCCTCTCCTAGGCAAACCTCACCCAGGCAATGGCAGCCTGAGGCAGGATTCCAGCTAGAAACCTAGGACTAATTTCCATTCCACAGCTGGTTTATGCGATTTCACCTCACTCAGCCCCCATTTCCCTGTCCAACATGAGATGGCATGACCTAGATCACAGGGTTGTCTCCCAGACTGAATCGGTTAACATGTGTAAAAGTGCCGTGTGGAACTCACGAGGAGCCCTGGGAACTGCTGCAACCACCAGTCGTCTATACCAGCACAACAGCCACAGATGATGGCACCCCTTCCCAGTGGCCAGTTCCTGGCCTGTGCTCCATATTTTGAACCTCACCCCTGCTTAGTCATCACATGCCCTTCTAGAGTTAGTCCTCATTCCTGACTCCCCAGCCAGAAGCAAACTTGCCTTCCTCAGAATCCCCTTGCTACTCTGAGGAGCCACTTCAGCTCTGGCCTTTAACTCCGACACAAAGCAAATTCCCTAGCTCACCTTCGCCATCATCCAGGTACTCAGGCTCTCCTGTCCAACTGCACAGGAAGCTCCTCAGTTGGGAGGAGCTTAATTCAACTGGCCTTTAAAACCTCATCCCACTGCCCTGGCCTGGTTGGGAGCAAACCCTTGAAGAAAATCAGATTTTTTTCTTTTTTAAAGACAAGAGACGTAACTCTGAGGAAGCTGAAGTTCCCTAAAGAGCAACTTAAACAATCTCAGGGGCCACTCATTGCTCCAAAGGTCAGTGTGACACGATGATTTCAGTTCAGTAAGGAGATTCCAAAGAGGGCCACAGACCCACCTGTCAATCAGTTCTAGAGTAGCTCAGACATGACACACTGCCCCCACAGAAGTAGCGGGGCTTAGGTCTTTGCCTTGAGAAAGGCAATACCCAGAAGGACAAAAGAGAGCTTGGAGAGGGAACGAGGGAGGCAAAAATAATTCACAAAGGAAGGAACAGTGAGGAGAGGGAAGGAAAGAGGAAAAGGAAAAAATAACACTGAGGAAGAGAGACAGAAAAGAAGAAAAGAAACACAGGAGAGAAAATGGGAAAGGCAGGAAAAGAACTCAGACTTCTCTGCGACCTGCTCTGTACCAGGCACCAAGCTTGGTGGTGTCCATACCATCTCAATAGTCCATGGGCAGGGGTTCAGGTACCATATTCAGAGAAGCTATGACTCGCCCAGGGAGCCAGGGAGTAAGTGGCTGGTCTGCAGGAGTCCAGAGTCCAGGCCTCTCCCATAGGAGAAAGAGATGGGTAGGAGAAAAATCTATTCTTAGCACGAAGGCTCCATCCGCAGAGCTGACGGAGCCAAGACCAAGCCATGTACACTGGCTCTGCTTCCACGCCCTGAGCCTGAGGCTCAGAGGGACACAGAGTTGTAGGAACGTGCATGGGGAATTCCAGAGATTACCTATAAAGCTTTTGGAAATTCAACTATCTTTATCCAAACCCTTTTGGGCAATATATAGTAATAGAACATAACAGTGTGTTGGGCCAGGTGTCTGGCCCTTTCCCAGACTCAAGAGAAGCTAGCCTTCCCAACACGCTGAACATGCTACACATTAGGGCACCCTGGCTTCTGGCTGTACAAGGGAGACCCAGCTCCATGGAGCCCTGGGGAGTAGAGTTTAGCAGCCACTGGATTGGTGTCTGGGGTCTAGGAGTACAAGGGGCTCCAGCCAGAGACGGCAGCTGCACAGCTCTGTAGTGCGGGCAGGAGCTGACCAAGAGCTCATTCAAGGACTGCTGTCCCTGCCATCCCACTGTCTCCTCCAGACTTCCCTGGCAGCTACAGTATGTTGCGGTGCTTGCTGGGCCTAGACGTGCTGACTGTGTATGCAAGCTGACATTCGTTAGCACACAAAAAAAGTTTCAGATAAATATATATGTGTATGTGTGTGTATATACATATATATATGAATTTATAATCCATATAAAGATATATAAACAAATAGAGTATAAATTTTACCTTTGGGATAGTAGATTCAAAACAGCCAACATTTATTAAGCCTCACTTTTCTCAATAGTCAAGCCAGACACAAAACCTACCTCTTAGGAAACTGTAAGGATCCGACTGATTCCACGAACTATGTATGCGAAACCCCTAGTACAGTGCCAAGTACACAGCAGGTTCTCCACATGTTACAGCTATTATTCCTACATATCCATGGTGTGCCAGGCTCCACGTGAAATGCTCCCTCATATTAAACGCTATGAGACTGAACTTTTCAGCTCCCCTTTTACAAAGGAAGAAATAGCAGCTCAGAGAGATGGAGTGAGTCGCCCAAGCACACACAGTTAGTCAGCCACAAAGCTAGTATGGAAAATACACCTAGTCAAAGTCCACTCAGTAGCAGAGAAATTCCTTGAGATTGGCATTCAACCCATTCACAGGGAGGGAGGCAGGATCAATGGAGTCCCTGGTGGGCTCCAGACAGAGGGCTCTGGCTAAAACAGACAGAAGGAAATAGAAAGTGTTTAAAAAGCAGGAAGAAACACAAAGGGAGTCTGGGGGAATGATGTATCAAGGATGCTGTCAGATGATAACATTTAGTGGAAAAATAAACAGAAAAGCCTAGAACACAGAACAGTGTCAATGCTGTGATAACAACTACCTCAAATTATGTACACGCAGGAAAGACTGACAGGGATCCTGGGGGAAAAACACTTTAATTTGATGCATTGAGAAGATTGTGGGTACATTTTTATCTTCTGTTTTGATTTCTGTTAACATTGATAAATGCTTATGCAAGAGTAATTTTAAATGCTTTCAGAGATAAAGAAATCACAAAGAAGAACAAAGAGTTTGACTACATAAAAATTAGAAACTTCTGCATGTCAAAAAAAGCAACTAAAATGGAAAGACAACAAATGCCAAAGACTTATTTGTAGCAAATATGATAGAAGGGTTAACAGCAATATCTTTACTAATATTAAACACTCCCAAAAATTAAAAAAAAATTAAAATTGCAAGAGGCAAACAGACAAAATTTTTACATGGGCATAATTCACACATACAAAAGCACAACTGTTCAAAACACTTCAGGAAATAAAGAACCACAAATTAAAACAAGAACAAAATACCATTTCTACTAAGTTACCATTTCTACTAAAACACTATTTTCTACTAAGTTTCAAGTATAGTTTAAAATTATAAACCAAAGTAATCTGCTGACACCTGTGTAAAATGGTAGAACACTTCTGGAAAATAATATGGCAATGCACAGCAAAAAGTTTAGAAATGTTCAGACCCCTTGATCTAATAATCTCATACCTGCAAATCTATCATGAGGAAAAAGGTGAAAATACAGTTTAATGATGTACAGAGATGTTCACCTTAAGGCTTTATTTTTAAGAACAGAAACTTAAGCCAGTCTAGTAGGTCAACAGAGTGGTGGTTACATGAGCAAATGATATGTAAAATGTTAAGTAATAAAAGCAGAAATAAAAATGTACATGCCTCATGACTACAACTATATGTAAAGAAAAGATGGGGGGAGGACTCAGCAAAGTTGCAGGGTACAAGTTCAAAAATCAGGTGTGTTTCTATCCACCAGCAATGAACAATCCAAAATAAATTAAGAAAATAATTCCTTTACAATGGCCTCTAAAAGAATCCAATACTTAGGAATAAATCGAAGAGACAAAAGCCTTGTACGCTAAAAACTACAAAACATTGCTAAAAAAAAAAAAAAAAAAAAACCAAAAAAAACTAAAGATGACTTAAACAAAAACATATCCTATGGTTCATGGATTAGAAGATTTAATGCTGTTAAGATGTCAATACTACCCAAAGAGATCTACAGATTCAATGCAATACCTATCAAAATTCCAACAACCTTTCCACAGAAATGGAAAAGCAGATTCTCAAATTCATGTGGAACTGCAAGGAGCACCAGATAGCCAAAACAATCTTGAAAAAGAACAAAGAGAGAAGAGTCATACTTTCTGACTTTGAAACTTAATACAAAACTACAGACATCAAAGCAGTGTGGCACTAGCCTAAGGACAGACATATAGACCAATGGAATAGAACAGAAAGCCTAGAAATAAACCCACACATATATGGTCAATCGATTTTTTACGAAGTTAAAAGGGGAAAAGACAATCTTTTCAACAAAAGTGCTTGGAAAACTGGATATCCACATGCAAAATAATGAAGGTGAACCCTTAACTTACATCATATACAAAAATTAACTCAAAATGATCAAAGACCTAAACTTCAAGAGCTAAAGCTACAAAATTCTTAGAAAAAAACACTGGATAAAAATCTTCATGACACAGGATTCGGCAACAGTTTCATGGATATGACTCCAAAAGCACAGGCAATTAAAAAAAATGATAAACTAGACTTCATCCAAATTAGGAAGTTTTGTGTATCAAAGGACACTATCAACGAAGTGAAAAGACAATCTACAAAACAGGAGAAGATATTTGCAAATCATATCTCTGACAAGGGATTAATGTCCAGAATACATAAATAACTATTACAATTCAACAACAACAACAACAGAAAACAACCCAACCTAAAAATGTACAAAGGACTTGAATAGATATTTCTCAAAAAAAGATACACAAATGGCCATTAAACCATGAAAAGATGCTCAATATCATTAGTAACTAGGGAAATGCAAATGAAAACTATGATGATATACCACTTCATACCTCCTAGGATGTACTGAGAGGAATTGAAAGCAGAAAATTGAATAAATAGCTATACATCCATGTTCATAGCAGCATTATTCACAGTAGCCAGGAAGCAACCCAAGTGTCTACCAACAGAAGAATGGATAAATAAAATGTGGTATATAGACATAATAAAACACTATGCAACCACAAAAAGGAGTGAAATTCTGACACATGTTACAATAAGGATGGACCTTAAAAACATTATGCTAAGTGAAATAATCCAGACACAAAAGGCCAAATAGTATATTATTCCACTGATAAAAGGTATCTAGAACAGGCAAATTCATAGAGATGAGAAGCAGAATAGAGGTTGCCAGGGTGGGAGGAAGGGAGAAAGGGGAGTTATTGCTTAATGGCTACAGAGTTTATGTTGGGGGTCATGAAAAAGTTTGGGGTATATATAGTGGGGACAGGTACACAGCACTGTGAATGTACTTGATAGCTCTGAATTATACACTTACATGTGGCTAAAATGATAAACATTATGTTATATGTATTTTACCACAATAAAAAAAATGTGGAAGAAAAAGTGGGGGCAATACTACACATAGTTAAAAAGAAAAAAGAAATGAAAAAATCCAAAAGTGCCAGCAGCTGCCATTTGAGAAAAGAAATCTTTGGGTGGGCTCTTCTTTCTTTTAACTACTTTTCTCTATTTTCCAAGTTTTCTTTCAGTTACTCTTTGGACAGAAAAAAATACATTTAATGTTTTGAACACTTTTTTGGTTTTGATAGGTACATGGTTCACCAGTCCACATTTTCCCTTTATAGACAGAAAGTTTCTTTGCATCTGGACTGGCATTTATGAAGGGTTTACTTAACAAGGGAACATAAGAAAATGAAATAGTCACTTAAAATCATTTAAAGAAGTTCTTTGCTTCATGGAGGTAAAAGCTAATGTTCAGCAGGTCACATGCCCACTGATTACAACCCCTCAGGGTGACAGTCCTCTCCTTTCCCTACCAGCCTGCTGGTGCTGGATGAGGGCAGGAGGGGCTTCCAAGGACCCTCAGATGGACAATTTCCTCTGGATGTGTGATAAAGTCCATAATTTGATCTTCAATCAATACACTAAAATAGAAATAGTAATTTTCACAAGCAAATGAGAATTTTCCTTAAATTTAATCAAAACTATTACTATTAATTAACCCTTAAACGTACCCTAAGCCCTTCCCTGAAGGTCCCATTTCTATAGTAAATGATACTGAGGTTGTATCTGAGTACTGAGGTTGTACTGGGTTTTTTTGCGGGAGTCCAAAAGACCTGTTCTTCCTTTTCTGACAAGTAAATAAAACGACAGGGAGATCAAATAACTCACTAAAAAGAAGATATAATTTTTTATCTTCCTTTTTACAGTCTCATATCCACTTCCGCTGGGAATAACAAAGTCTGAATTCTTATGCAACACTTATCTAAATGTGTCGATTTTATCGGATTGATGAATTTTGCTAACAAAAGGCAGCGCTAGAAAATCTTTTATGACATATTTGGCCCATTCACAGAGCTGGAGCTTTAATTTAACCAACTTGAGAATTCTGAGGGAGAGCTGCAGGTGTTGGATCTGAAAAAAACATCATAAATGGGAAGGCATATCAATCTTTATGACAGGGAAACAAAAACGCTCTCTACTTGCTTGCCCTCCATGGGCAGAAGAAGGAGAGGTGGAAGTGGCAGGATATTGTCTCAGGCTGCATAGCAAAGAGGAAGCATCCCTGTCTCCCAGTGACCGCTATTTAGTATTGATCAAAAGGGACTGGCCTAGAGAGGAAGAGAGAAATTGATAAAACAATGAGGTCTGTCAACACTGTGCTCAACAAGGACATTTTCTCATTTTCTTGACCACATCAGAATTAGTCATTCCTGTGGCCGCCTGAGCAACCAGGTGGCTTTCTGTCTCACAGTCCCCCTGTGCCTCCCGCACCCCTGCCCTTCTAGGTAGCACTGCCAGCTTTCTTCCACACTTACTGTGATCCAGGCGAATTGCTTCACCAGGGCTGTGGATTCTCCCGCTAGATATCTCCCCAAGCCACCTCCTCCCTCCATGCTCTGCCTCAACTCAGAGCAACACCTTCTCTCCCTGGTAAAACCACTACAGTTCAGTAGCCTCTGCTGCTCCTTCTCCTTCTCCTCCTTCTCCTCTCTGCTGCCTCCTGGGTCCTCCTCACCATGCCAGCCTTCCACCTGCAGCCAGTGATCTCCTAATGAAAAACCTCATCTAGCCACCCCTTGCATAAAATTCCTTAATAACTTCCTACTTTCCACAAGATAAAACTGTAAACTCCTTGGCAGAAGATGCTAAAAAGGTCCTTTGTGATTTGGTGTTTCCTAGTCTGGCTTCCAGCAGCAACAACCATCTGTCGGTCTGTCCACCCAATCTTACAAGCTTCTGTAACAGAAACAACCAGTCATCTACCAAAATTGATCTTCCCCTTTTGATAATCGAGTTGTAGAGAAGCAGATAGCAAGAGAACACAGTCCTAGCCTCTCTTGCACCAAAGTATGGCCAATATATGTAGGCGGGACTAAGTTTTTATCAAGACAAGCTAAGTAGAAAGGATCTGAACCCTTGCCAGTCCAGGCCTTGCACACTGGGCACAGAGTCCCTGTGCTCCTTCTCCTTCCTGTGAGCTGAGACACAGAAGGGCTTGTGCCTCATCAAATTCTAGTTTCTTTATGCTCCTGTGGTTTTTGGCCTCTTTTAAAAACACGTTAGCCTTTACCTCATTTAATGCAGCCCTTATGTGAGCAAATGCCAGGTTGAGATCTCACTTACTAGGACGGGAGGCTGACACCTGCCTGTCCAATTCATGTTTGTGAAATGAACATGGGAGGCCCCAGAAGCCTTCTTATGCAGTGAACATTGCTCTCATTAGCAGACCTACTTGGTGTTCTCTAGGGTCTTCTGCATTTTCTTGGTCATTTTATCAATTGCTGCCTGTCTCTTTCCTTCAGGTAAGAGGTCTATTTTGTTCAGCACCACGACCAGCTTCTGGCAGGCAATCTGGCCGATCACAAGGCATTCCGCTGACTGGGTCTGCATCCCCTTGGTCACATCGATGACCAGCATCATCAGATCAATGATCTGGGCCCCTGGAATAAGAGAAGAGAAGGTTAGAAAGGGAAAAGGGGTGGTGAGCCCCACAGAAAGTTGCCCAATGCCCCAGGTCAAAGCACTGCAGTAAAAGTGAGCAAAGTGGAATAAATGGTGACTACACAGCTTCTGGCTACAGGCCCTGTGCTAGGCACTTGGACCTGAAGCTTCAGAACTGCCATGGCAGATGAGGAAACTGAGGTCCACAAAACACAGAGAGCTTGCCCAGGATCGCACTGCTAACACGCAATAGGGCTGGGTTTAGGTATAGGCTCATCTAACTCCAAAACCCGTGCCTTTCTATTGCACCAATCCTATCACTTTCATTCCATTTGACAGAGGAAGAAATGTCTCAGCAGGGGGAAAAAAAAAAGTTTCGTACTAGGCTTGGCAAATGGCTAGATACTTGCCCTTGCTAAGAAATGAGAGAAGACTGAGAAAGTAGAGGAGGCAGAAGGGGGAGGATTAGGGAGTGGACAGCATCTTTTCCTCACAGTGCTACGGCTCAGTCCTATTCCTTCTGGGGTGTTAGGAGCATCTAAGGTTCTGTGTCATAATCGCTAAGTACTGAACATTTGTGTGCGTGTGTGTGTGTGTGTGTGCGTGCACGCTTGTGAGCATCATCCTACTGTACAGCACACCTGAGCTGAACAACAGCAGGTAGACAGACAAGTTACAGAAAGTGAATGAAGGGAAACTGCTATAAATCATGTCAGGAACATAATGTTAGCCAGTGAAGTGACTGTTTCCTTTTTAACGGGATTTGGAGTCATTTCAACAAGAAGCGTGTAACTTCGTACTGCAGGAATATACAAACATTTTCCCTATTAAAATGAAGAATAATTACATTTTGAGCTTATAAGAATGCCCATGAAGCATTTCTCGGGATCGGATTATGGTCATTGGCAATGCAGAGGAGACTGCTCTGTGAATGACTCTGATGATGCTGATTCTATCCCACTGCTGGGGATAGAGGGAAGGCATGGAGGAGGGAGGGCCTTTCTTTTTTCGGGCACTCTGACTATGCACACTAGGTCAGCTTACTTAATCTCCAGTAAACTTATGTTTCAGATGAAGAAACGGAGACTCACAGACATGGGTCTAGGTCATGTGCTCTAGATCACACAGCCAACTAGTATCGAAGACACTAGAAATCAGGGCTCCTGACACCACTGCTGAAGAATTCTTCCCACTGTTCCAAGAGGCCTCTTGGTCACCCCTGTCCTGTGACACTCCTCTGGCCTCCCACAGAACGGTGTGTCTCTCTGACTTCAGGTAGACCTAGGCATGCCCCAACCCTCCTGTCTCCCACTCTGCTTCTCCCTGTCCAGCCTCCTCTCCTCATCCTGCCAGCTGGGGCCACAGGGCTAGGCTCAGGTGCACGCAGCAGCAGCAGCAGCATCTCCTCTGCCAGGTCAAGGGGCAGGAGGGCCCAGGTCTCTGCTACAGCCACAGAGGGGATGGACACTGACTCTATCATCTACCGTGAACAGAACAGACTATTAAAAACAGGCTCGACTCATCTGATAGACTCCCTCTCATAGCTACTGAATTACCAACTCTCCTCTGGACTCTTTCTCTGTTCCAGCTCCAGTTCCCATAGCCCATGGCAGGCTCATGTTGGCTAGTCCCTAATGGGCTGCTGCAGCTCAGATGTGGCCCTCCAAACTCCATCCTCCAAACAGCCTTCCCAAAGGCACTTTCTAAAAATATATCACTGATTCATATACTGCTGGGCAGGAGCGGGGGTCGGGGGTTAACTGGTATAACCTCTGCAGAGGCACATAATCTTTGACCCAGCCAAGCAGCATGTTTGTTACAGCTAATGCTGGAAACTAGGTAAATGTCCATCAGCAGGGGACAGGTTGAAAATAAGAATATAATGCTATAATGCCATGACAGAATACTATACACCCATTTAAAAGAATGAAGAAGCTCTTTATCTACCACTATGGAATGATATCCAAGGCGGAGTGAGTGAGAAGGGCAAGGCACAATGTGCAGAGTGTGATTTGTGTTGAAAAGGGGATAAGGTATACGTGTGTGTGTATGTGTGTGCATGTGTGTGGGTGTCACATACTGCATAAGTATTTGCTTCGACACACATAAAATATCTCTGAGGGAATGCAAAAGAAACTAATGACTTGGTTGTCTGCTGGGAGACCAAAGATGAGTAGGAAGGAAATTCTCTGTACATTCTTCGGTTCCTTTTCATTTTAAACAGGGATGTGTAGTATCTGTTCTAAAATAAAATTATAATTTTAAGTGCATAAATAAATAAATAATACAATAAAACACAGACCTGACCATGCCCTTCTCATGCTAAGAGCCCCACTGTCCACTGGAAAAAAAAAAAAAAAGACTCCCCAATGTGGCTGTGGGAGGCTCCCTGTTTTTTAACTACCAGTTGCTTCCCACTCACCTTGTGCCAAGCACCATGCTGTGTGCTCCACAAACCCTTTCCTGGGCTTTTCGCCCTCTCCGCATGGCCCCATGACACTCATGCCTCCCTCACACAAGCTGAGCCCAAGCCTTCCCTACCCAGAAGATACACCCAACTGTCTTCCGGGTCCTAACCATCAGTAAATCTGGGAACTGGCCACAGGGCTGTGAGACTGGGTCTTGAGGCAGGATGAGATAAAGCCCAGCAGGGAACAAGGAGGGAGGAACACGTTGGGGGCCCAGCCTATTTTCCAGTCTCCACCTTCACAGCAGAATGGATCCTGCACTGGCCCCACAGGCCTCCCTCTCCGGTGGGTGAAGCTGTGCCCACAGAACCAAGGCCACTCAACCTCATGGGTTCCTTAAGGACTTCTCCAGAGTAATTCTGACTATCCAAGTTCCCTCTAGAACTTAAACACCTGCCACTACCTAGCCCCTAATTTACAGATGAGGAAGTCGAGGCTTTAGGGAAGTCTGTTGACTGCTCATGGTTATACAGCAGGTAGGTGGCAGAGAAGAGATCTGAACCCTGGTGCCCAGGTTCTTAACTCCCACGCCACACAGCCCGCCCTGCCCAGTGGGGACCCAGCCCACAATTTCTCCCCCTCCCCCCATCAACTCTCCCACTTCCCATCTAAAGATCAAGGTAGGACCCAGGTGGACTCTCGCCCCTTTCCCTTCCTTGCCTTTGCCCCTGCTCCTGCTTTGCCCAGAACACCTGCCCCAGGTTCACTTGCCCCTGATCCTTGATGCCCCACCCGGCTCCATGCTGAGGGTTCATAACCAAGGCCTGGGTTTTCAATCTGTATTCACAGCACAAGACCCAGCTTGGGCACAGCTTAATACATCGTTGCTGGACTAATGCAGCAAATGTCCATATCCCTGCCTCTTCTACTTTATTCAGCAGGAATCTGTTCCTCTTCTTCAACAGTCGATTTCCTATTGGTATACACAACTATCCAGTCAACTATCCAGTAGGGGAATGACTCATGTGCTCCACGCATCAGGCCCTCTTGCTTCTCACGCCTATTGAGATCCTGTGGATGGGAAATGAAACTGATTGACAGACCCAGAAAACTAAGCATAGATAGGACCCAAACACTCAGGAGCCAGTTGGGATTTCATCTGCAGCCTGATCCAGCATCCAAAAGCCGTCTTTGTTCCAAAAGGCCAGGCTCTTGAGCGGACCCCGTGCAGCGCAGCCAGCACCAGGGACTTCTAAGGAGCCCAGAGGTCAGAGGGACTTGACTGGCCACACTGGGAACCAGACTAGCACTGGAAACCCGGGGTCATCACCAGGCAACTGCCTGCTGCCTGGCAGCAGCTCTCAGTTACTTTCTTTTCTTCATCAAACTTTTGATCAGACGACAGGAAGTGACACAACTGGCCCGTCTTGCCTTTTTCAAAATCCCTAGTAGTTTCATAGAATGAATCAAACAGTGTCCTTCCCAATTCCCATGAACCCAGGGTAGAAAATCGCTCTGAGACTAGAGGGACATAGCGAGTGAGTGGGTGGGAAACACAAGACAAAAAAATCAAGGCTTATAAATGATCCTCTATATTTCCCAATCTATCAGAGTTTTTCATCTAGTTGTACTGACTATAGTATCCTTAAAAGATTTGCAGAATAATTATAATAGGGTTAAAGTTTCTCAGTACATTTAAAAATTACAATTTCCAATTCTGTAAATTATATATCTTAATCATTTCAAAAATAATGAAAAACTTACAAGGGTCAGCATTTAACAAAGCATAAGTTATCTGTGAGGTGTAATTTTCCTTTTGGGACTGAAGGAATAAAATATGTTCAGAAAAAAATATTTCAGCTGGAGAAACTTAACATTATACTTTGAACATATTTTAGCAACCTCAAAATCAGATTTTTTTTTAAAAAAGTCAAAGCTATGGGCATTATAAGAAGGAGAAATAATGTTACATTTAAAATAAAGAAAAAAAAATTTATTTCCAACTTATATTTTAAGTTCAGGGGTACATGTGCAGGATGACCAGGTTTGTTATGTAGGTAAATGTGTGCCATTATTTGTTATTTATTTTTTTATTTTTTTAATTTTAGAGGCAGGGTCTTACTGTTGCCCAGGCTGGAGTGCAGTGGTGCAATCATAGCTCACTGCAGCCTTGAATTCCTGGGCTCAAACGATCCTCCTGTCCTAGCCTCCCAAGTAGCTGGGACTACAGGTGCATGCCACCATACCCAGCTTATTTTTAAAATTTTTTTGTAGAGGTGGAGTCTTGCTATGTTGCCCAGGCTGGTCTCGAACTCCTGGCCTCAATAGATCCTCCCACCTCAGCTCCCAAAGTGCTACTAGGATTACGGGCGTGAGCCACTGTGCCTGGCCAAAATTTGTTTTTGACTGGTGACTTTTTAAATATTCATTGAACAATGTAAATACATTTTATCAACAATATAAAACTGCAGTGGCAATTAATATCCTACTATTATTATGACCATTTGCCAAATACATTAACTCTCTCTGTGCCTCAGGCTCCTCATCTTATACAAGGACGATGATACTGCCTATGTTATTGGATTGCACTGAAGATTCAATGAGATCAGATATGTAAACAATTTAGAACAGTGCCTAGACATATGAAATCCTCAATTATATTAGCTGTTACCACGGTTTTCACTTCTACATCTGCTATTATGACATGCACAGTGGTGGTCTACATGTCTTCATCTCCTCTTACCTACATCTCAACACCAACTCTGCAATGTGGGTATTACAAATGGGAAAACAGGCTGGGTCTGTAACCCCAGCACTTTGGGAGGCTAAAGTGGGCAGATCACTTGAGCTCAGGAGTTCAAGACCAGCCTAGGCAACATAGTGAAACCCCGTCTCTACAAAAATACAAAAATTGGTTCAGCGTGGTGGCACATGTTTGTAATCCCAGCACTTTGGGAGGCTGAGGTGGGTGAATCACTTGAGCTCAGGAGTTTGAGACCAGCATGGGGCAACATGGTGAAACCCTGTCTCTATACAAAATACAAAAATTAGCTAGGCGTAGTGGTGCATGCCTGTAATCCCACCTACTTGGGAGGCTAAGGTAGGATAATCACCTAAGCCCAGAGAGGTCAAGGCTGCAGGTCAAGGCCTGATTACACCACTGTACTCCAGCCTGGGTGACAGAGTGAGACCCTGTCTCAAAAAAAAAAAAAAAAAAAAAAAGAGAGAGAGAGAGAGAGGACAAAGGCTTAGAGAGGTGAAGTAACCAAGTCAGGTCAAGGAGCAAGGATTCAGAGGGATTTGAACTCAGTCTACTGATTTTGCTCTACAACAGTACCCTGAAACTCTGAGCAGCAAGATCTTATGTCCAGAATAAAACAATTGCTCTGTACAAGCCCCCTGCAGGTGTTCCAGGACAAAACGGGCAGGTTTCAGAGGTCCCCACCTCAGAACACAGCTTCTCAGACTCCAGGGCGAGAGCCTTATATTATTATTTGCAGCTGTTTTTATTCATTTATTCAATGTATTGCCTATCTCCTCATTATACAGGTAAGAAGACTGAGGCTGAGACAGGTTAAATAACTTGCCCAAAGCCACCCAACTAGGGGCAAGAACCCAGGACTGATCAGGCTCCATCCAACACAGGTTGCAGCTGTCCCAACCCTGACTCTCTGCCAAGGGCAGGGGATGGGAAGGCAGCAAGACTTCAGTCACATTGCAGCCCATTCTGCAGAGAGAGCAAGGAGAAAATCAGTTTTAAGGAGAATTAGTTTTCCTCCTTCTGCAGTTTTCCTGAAACAGGGTAAGCCTGGACTTTCCCTCTCAAATTCCTACTGGTACCAGGAAGGTGTGGGACTAACCAGCAGTGTCCAGCCTGTCCTCCTCAGCACAGGCTCAGAGGATTTGGAAATGGAAGGGGCTTAAACAAGAGGGTCATTTTAAAGACCAAGGAAACAAGGACCACAAATAAGAGGAAGTGGCAAGAGCAGGGCTTGGAGGTCCCCAAGCTTGGATATGTTCAAATCACAACCTTACCAGGAGCTTCAATTTCCTCATCCACAATCAGGACCTAAACAAAGATGCCTCCTGCAGAAGATTAGGAGAGACTCAGCCCTAAGCACCCTCAGTAAGCAGGAGCTGGTACTAACAGCTGTGAGCACTGAACCTGGGCCCCATCACTCTTGGTCGAACTGTAACAAGGCCTGCTGTCCCCACTAGTCCAGGCAGACCCCAGGCAAACACAAGTGGACAAAGCCTGCTGATGGAGTTGGGGAAGGGGAAAGGGGAGGAGAGAAGGAGGGCGGTCACGACCAGGCCCTGCACAGTGCCTGTGACCTAGCACCCACCTGGGCACAGGGCAGCATGCCACACTCATGCACTCTCTCTCAGCCTTTCTGCTCAGCCCTCTCACTGAAGCCAAACATTCATGCTGCCCATGCTGCTAACAACCACCAGGTTACTCCATCGACTGCAGGAGGTGCTAGGAGTTTAACAGGCTAGAGGCTCCTGGCCAGGCCCAGACCCTCCAGTGGGGACCAGGTGGCCAAAGGAGGCCCCAGTCACAGGAGAAGGCTCCGGGGACCCTGGTCCTTGTTATCACCATTTTCATGAACAGTTTCAGATGGAGGGGAGTTTTATAAAGCTATTCACCCTCTCTGTGCTCCATCTCCACATCTGTAAAACAGAAACAATAATTGCATTTCTGTTTTCTACTGACAGTGGTGTCTACCACTCTAGTTGGAAACTCAGGTTCCTGTAGAGGAGACAGCCCAGAGGGAGGGCATGTTTTGATCTGAGGCATGTGATCAAGGAATTCATAGAGAGGGGTGCTGCCTGTGGGCAGGAGGAACGGGGCGGCAGCTTGGAAGCCCACCTCAAGTTCTGAGGCAGGCGGGGGCAGAGGGTAAGCATCTCGCTCTGCCAGCTGCACAGCCTCAGGCAAGTACACCTCTTGACCTCCTGGAGCCTGGGATTCCTCCTTGGAAGATGCTGATGCCAGAGACAACACAGTAAGTTGGAGGAGGGCACCTCACCCAGCATCTGCCACATGCCCCAGACTCACTAAATGCAAGCTGCTGCAAGTATCACTATGCCAGCACAGTAAGAGCTCAAGAACTGGCCTCCTCCTTCCTTTAGGACTCACATATACCCAAAGGCCTTGTGCCCTCCAGAGGAGGAAGAGGAAGAGTATTAACGGCAGCATGGAGCGAATACAAACAGTGCCTCCCCCAACTCCTGTGGACCCAGGAGCTGGCCCCTCACGGGGTTTCTTGGTAAGTGCCAGCCAACAGCCTGGATCACTGTATCCACCACTGGGCAGGACATCCTTTTTGTTTGAACTGCCCTGCAAAGGCAGGCTCCTCCACAAACATCCTGGCCAAATCTCACCAGACTTGCAGGGAGACCCCTGAGCAGGAGAAGCTGACCCGGCAGAACTAGACATTGCTGTCCTGGTCCCATGATGCATTAAGAGTCAAACCCTGGCTTCTTGGTCTCCAGGTAAAGGATATGCCATACCACGTGGACCAGAAGAAGTTTAAGAACTCCAAGAACCGGAAGTAACTAGTGGGAACAGAGTTGACCCAGCGTCCAGCAGGGACACTGCAGGGTGCTGCCTGACTGACAAGAAACCCAAAAGCAGCAGCCACAATTCAAATAACAGCCATTACACACTTTGGGAGGCTGAAGTGGGCAGATTGCCTGAGCTCAGGACTTTGAGAACAGCTTGGGCTAACATGATGAAACCCCGTCTCTACTAAAATACAAAAAATTAGCCGGGCATGGTGGTATGCATGGAGGCTGAGACACGAGAATTACTTGAACCCAGGAGGTGGAGGCTGCAGTGAGCCGAGACTATGCCACTGCACTCTGGCCTGGGCGACAGAGCAAGCTCAAAGAAAACCCCAAAAAACCCCGAATAACAGCCACTGTGGATTGAGAGCTGAATTGGAGCCAAGGACTTCACATCACTGGTTGCAAACTGACAACTTAAAGATGCCTGAGGATCTGGAATGGGCATTGTCTAGCCTGTGCAGTGCCTGTTAGAATATGCATACACTGCCAACATTTACAACTTGAGAAATGTCACATAAAAATCTCCATGAATTAGCACATGTGGTTAGACTGGGCCTTTGTCTGATGTGGCTGAGGAGCAGCTGTCTCCTGGAGAACAGGCATGCATTCCCAACTTTACCCTGGTTCCTGCAATTCCCTATTGCCTCACACCCCAGCATTTGTACTACTAGCCTGGCTCCCAACAGGCACCTGAGCTTGTGACTTCTGCATTAGTTCTAATCCTCACCACTATCCCCTGGAAGAGGAGACCTCCCATTTCCATAAAGAGAAATCTGAGGTCTAATTGCCCAACAGTCAACAGCAGAGGCAGCGCTAGTACCAAGGGCTGTCTGACTTCAAAATTTCTGCTTTTTCTATTATCAGCTGCCTCTTGGCCAGAATCATGCATTCCTGAGTGCTCTGGGAACCCTAAGGCATCCCAAAGAGCAGGTGGGCAAGGCCCTGAGGATAGAGAGGAAGGAGAACAAAGTGCACAACCTGAGGCATAGTCCTGCAGGAGGGAGCCAAAGGAGACATTCATCACCACCTGAAGAAAGGCCAGGGTGAACAATGAGAGCATGTCAGCAGTGGAGGAACAGGAGGAACAACAAAGAAGGTCCATGTAAGACATCAAGGCAAAAAATAAATGGCCCTGGACAAGATAGCAGACAAATAGAGGTGTTGGACCCCCGCCAAAAGGAAAGAAAGCCAAAAAAACAAGAAATGCTAGAGACTCATGGCAAAACACCCGCAGAGCTGGGAGAGGGGAGCAGGGCAGGATGCAAGTCCATTTGCTGGCTGCACAATCTTGGGTAAGGATCTTTCCCTCTCTGACCCCAAGGTCCACATCTGGAAACAGGGACAATCACATAATTGTGATAAAGGGACAATGGGTAGCCATCTAGATAAAAATAAAATTGGATGTCTACCATACACATGACACCAGAATAAATTCCAAATGGATCAAGGTTTCAAACATAAAAACAGAAAACCAAAAAAGTACTGAAAGAAAGGGTGAGAAAAAAAATTTTTATAATCTTAAAAGTAAAAAAATAC
Source organism: Homo sapiens (assembly GCF_000001405.40). Classification (NCBI taxonomy): domain Eukaryota; kingdom Metazoa; phylum Chordata; class Mammalia; order Primates; family Hominidae; genus Homo; species Homo sapiens. The sequence continues at coordinate 106,414 of NW_019805490.1, read as the reverse complement.
CTAGGTAAGATACAAAACCCACAGAATAAACACAGAAGAAAATAAAAAGGAAACACTGACAAATTCAACAATATAATAACCAAATATCTCTGTATAGGAAAATACGATAAAGTCCAGTGACAAGGGAGAGAAGCTTAAAATGCATACTACATACAAAGGACTGTTTTCCTTAATATTTCAAATTGGAAATATAGAAATGGATTTTTTAAAAAGAGCGACAGTCCAATCAAAAATGTAAATGGTATCAACAGCTAGTTCACACGCAGCACGTTTACTGAACACTCCCTCATGCCAGACGTAGAGTTGGTGGCTGGCACACTTGAGAGGCCAGACAGACAACAGTCCCTACCCCTTGCAATCGAGAACTCACAGTCCAGTAGGGTAGAGCAAAAGCAAACATTAAAACACAGTAAGTGAATTTCACAGTAGGGTCAGAGAGGCTAAGCATCCTGGGGAGAAAGAGCAGGAGAAGTAGGCTCCGAGCTGTCTGCGAAGCAGGTGGCCTGCAATTTTAAATCAGGCTGTCAGGAGAGGCCTCATTGAGAAGGAGCTATCTGGGCACAGACTCAGCGGAGAAGGAGTTGGTAGGCAACAGAGGGAGGAACAAGTGCAAAGCCTCCACATGCGTTTGAGGAAGAGGAAGGAGATGAAGTCAGAGAAATAAGCAGGGGCATAAAGAAATAAAAATAGCTCAAACATGATAAGACATCACACCTTACTAGTAACAAAAAAATGCAAATTAAAACCACTGTACACTGAAATTCTGTTTTTCACCTACTGTACTGACAAAATAATACTGATGATAATACAAAGAGCTAACATGTTGAGTGTTCGGCCTGCCTAGCCCTGACATTCTGGGAGCCTGCTGACACTCTGTGTCACCGCCACCCCCGCCCCCCGCCATTTACAGATGAGGAAATTAAGTCACGGGTCGCAGAACTAGAAAGATAGGGAGCTAGAATTCAAAGTCAGGCTATGTGGCTCCAGAACCCAAGTTTTATACAGGAGGCCGAGTCACCTCAAACATTTGGTAACACTCTTGGCTGGGCACAGTGGCTCACGCCTATAATCCCAACAATTTGGGAGGCCAAGGCAGGCAGATTACTTGAAGTCAGGAGTTTGAGGCCAGCCTGGCCGATGTGGTGAAACCCCATTTCTACTAAAAATACAAAATTAGCCGGATGGGGTGTTGCGTGCCTGGTGTTGCTGCGTAATCCCAGCTACTCGGGAGCCTGAGACAGGAGAAACACTTGAACCCGGGAGGCGGAGGTTGCAGTAAGGCGAGATTGCGCCACTGAACTCCAGCCTGGGCGAAAAAGTGAGACTCCGTCTGAAAACAAACAAACAAACAAACAAACAAACAAACAAACCTTTGCCCATCCACACAGGGGAGACAGATAGTCCTGCCTGTCACTGGGGTGGGGTTGGGGGTAGGAGCAGCACATGCTGGCAAATGGCCGTCAAACACCCCTGGGGACTAGCAGTGACCCACGTGCACATGGGGCACATATGTGGACACTCATTGCTACGTGTCTGGAAGAGCAAAAGGTCAGAACCAGCCTGACTGCCTGTTGGAAGGGAAGTAGTTAACTAAACCATGACATGTACATAAAACAGAACATGACCCAGCTATTTAAAAACACCACGGTAACTATTCACTGAATAGAGCTCTAGCGGAGCTGGTGTGTTCACTGTGTGCACAGTATATTGCCACTTCTAGAGAATCCGTGGGAGAAAGAACATGCTTAAAAATCATGAAGTGTCTTTGGAATCTTTAGAAGAAAATGGTTATAGCAATTTGCTTCCAGGAAGTAAACTAGGTAAGCAGGGGGTAAAAGGAAGATTTACTTTTTACTGTGTACCTTTTTGTACCTTTAAGATTTTGAACTATGTACATACATACGTTACTGACTCAAGAGCAATTTATTTTTAAAAGTAAAGCTTCAGGCTGGGCGCGGTGGCTCAGGCCTATAATCCCAGCACTTTGGGAGGCCGAGGTGGGGGGATTGCTTGAGCCCAGGAGTTCAAGACCAGCCTGGGCAACATGGAGAGACCCCATCTCTACAAAAAAAAAAATACAAAAATTAGCTGGGTGTGGTGGTGTGCACCTGTGGTCCCAGACATATGGGAGGCTGAGGCAGGAGAATCACTTGAACCAAGGAGGCAGAGGTTGCAGTGAGCCAAGATCACGCCACTGCACTCCAACCTGGGCAACAGAATGAGACCCTGCCTCAAAAAAATAAAATAAAATAAATAAGTAAGTAAGTAAAAGTAAAGCTTCATATCACTGGAAAACCAGCATAATTTACCATAAGTGAAAAGTTTAAAAAAAGAAGTACAATAAAAGTAAAACACTGTTATTAAGTTCTAGCCAGACATGGTTACAGTAACAGGCACTGAGCTTACAATGTTAAGAGAAGTATAAGAGCTCCCAGCACCAACCTGAGATCTCCTTAAAGTCATCAGAAGGACTTAAAGAATCTTGAAATGGGAATAACTTTCTCACTGGGATCGACGTCCCTTAACACCATATCTGTGCACACATCAAGTCATCTCAGACACAACTCTAGGTATGTACCTGTCCTATTAGGAAACTTGTCAAGAGGCTAGCTTTGATCTACAAGTTAGACAATCCACCTAAGGCAGGGTGGGAGGGTAGCAGAGAGAAGACACCCAGTTATGTCTGCTTAGTGGTCATAAAGATTTTCTGTTAATGAGGTTTCAGCCTTCTGCAAGACCAGTGGAGGAATCCATGGAAATGTCCTCGCACCACAGTCAGCCTTGCTAGAGAGCAACTCCTAAGTCTCTGTCTGGCTGTACCCAAACCATGCTGTCGTATGCAAGGATGGTCACAAAGATGACTCAAGGGTGATGGGCATACGGGAGTCCTATGTACTATTCTTAGAGCCTTTCTCTAAGTTTGAAATGACTTTGAAATAAAAAGCTTAAAAATGAAAAAAATGGGCTGGGAGCGGTGGCTCATGCCTGTAATCCCAACATTTTGGGAGGCCGAGGTGGGAGGGTCACTTGAGGTCAGGAGTTCAACACCAGCCTGGCCAACATGATGAAATGCCATCTCTACTAAAAATACAATAATTAGCCAGGCATGGTGGTGTGTGCCTGTAATCCCAGCTACTCAGGAGGCTGAGGCACGAGAATTGCTTGAACCCGGGAGGCAGAGGTTGCAGTGAGCCAAGATCACACCACTGCACTCCAGCCTGGGCGACAGAGCAAGACTCCGTCTCAAAATAAATAAATTAAATAAATAAATAAATAAATAAATAAAAAGATGACTACAGGTCAGGGAATCGGGGAAAGGAAGAAAGAGAATGAACACATATTGCATGCTTAAGAATGCACCAGGCACATTATTTCAATTAATCTTAATAGCCCAGGAAGGAAACATTTATTATTATTCACACACACAGGTGCAGAAGCTGAGACTTGAAGAGATTTGAAGGATCTGAAGTGACTTGCCCTCAGTCACACAGCTAACAAACTGGAGGACTGGATTAGAACCCAAACCTCCAACTCAACAGGAGAACTTGTACCATGATACTAAGCAATATCGCCTGTCTGCCAGAGTCTAAGAGCCTGCATGCCCACCATGAGGCTGAGGGAAGAGGAAGTTAAGGAGATGCTCAAGGTCAGAGGTAGGGACCTATCCAATGTAGGATGTTCCCTATCTAATGAAAATACAAAATAAAGTGATCTTCAACAGAAGCATGAGGGAGCTCAGGTAGATCTGTAAGAGAACTTCCTGAGAGCAAGGGCTGGTAAAGATGTGGATGGATAACTGGAGACATGATTAAAGAGCTCTTTGGCTAGAAGTTTTCAAAACAGCTGATCCACATCAGGGAAGAAGTATGAATTAAGCCAGGGTTCTCCATCCATGAGCCACCTTCATGATTTCTGCCAGACCCATGGATACTACCTCTACTATTATTTACTCACATGTATGTTTAAATCATATCATTTTTTAAAATTCAAATGCACTTATATTAAAAACAACTTTACATGACCATAAGTACAACACTCTTAAATTTGCGTTAAGGAGAAATTAACTGTAAAGATAAATAAAACATTATTAGATGTTAACTGGATAACATGGCCTGCTGAAGCACTGAGCCTGGAACTCACTCTGCCGAAAAGGGGTCAGTGAGAGGTAGGGGAAAGGTGTGCTGGCACTAAATCCAGGGACTGGAAGAAAACTGGAAAATGCATGACCTTCAGTCCTGCTAAGCCAGAGCATTAATGATGCGCCAGGCATCAGCTTATCGTCAGCCAGGAGCGGCCCACCCCTAGGGAGGCAATGAAGTAGACACTGATCACTGGGAGGACAAGAGGCAGAGTCAGCCTCATACAGGAAGACACACGAAGAGTGGAGGTTTCCAAGCTCCTGTCAGGGCCAAGGAGTCCGGGGGGTGATGGCTGCTTATGTCGCCTTTCCAGATGGAAGCAGACATGAGGGCTCTGTAGGGCCACAGGGCTCCCAACCTAACCAGGGAGTTTTGCCTTTTTGCTTCTTTAAGCTACCGTGTCATAGTCTATCTAGGGTAATCTTTTTAGCTGACTTTGCACAACAGTACAACTCCTGTTCAAGAGCAGTGAAAAAGAGCAGAAAATGGAATTTGAAATGTAGAAATAAAATAATTGTGGCCCATAAGCTATAATTTGATTTCATGCTTTAGGCTTCCTTAAAATGTACAGTTTCTGTTCTCTCCCGCCTCAGTCCCCTTCCCCCCATTTTAACCATTTTAGGATTTCCTCTAGCACTGAAGAGAAAATAGGATTGTGGAAAATGTTCAGTTCTCAAGTGTCACTACCACTCAGGGCAAGCTCGATTTTAATGTGAACTTCCCATTCCGGGTAAGAGGAAATTCTTCAATTAATAAACCGGGTGTGCAGAGGCCAGTCTTTAAGGTTTAATCAATTTCATCTGTACTTAGGATAAAAAGACTGACTATTCTACTTTTTTCCCCTCGTTTTCCTTCTTTAAAAAAATAATAAAATGAATGTTTTATTTTAAATTCTTTGAGGTTCGTATCTCCTGTTTCAGGAAATATTGTCTATTTCATGCAGTGAGTATGAAAACTTCCCCCCACCCCCTGCCCAACTTTTTTACTTTTCCTCCGAATCTTTATTCAAAAATAACTAAATTATCCTTTGCCCTCATATACTATAACAGCTTGGGAGATGATACGAGTTATACAGGATTTTGGCAGACACCTTGAGGGGCTTGGGGGTGGGGGTGGGAACAGAGAGACAAATCACCAAATATGGATACAAGAATTTTTGGACAAAACAGTAAGAGGTAGACACAGGAATGTGAATTACAAAGAAAACCCTAAGCACACTTCACCATCAGCGACGCCTGAAATCCAAACACAAACCTCACCCAGGGAAGAGCCCCTGCCCTGTGTGTCCTCGTGTCTCTCCCAGTTCTCTCAGCTGGGGGAGTCGGGGGAGATACGACAGGATGGCTTGGAATCTCAGAATTAAGCCAGGGAGCCTTCCCAGCAGTGCTGAATAAACACTCAGACTTGCCAACCAACCAGGAACAACAGGCCCTAACAGGGCACCGAGAACCCCTGACTCTTTTGTTACATGACATGGACACTGAGTCCACCTTGGATCCTGGGGCAGGGTTGGGAATCAGGCCCCACAGGAAAGGGCTCAGGGCACAATCCCTGGGGAGGGCCAGCCTGAGTTGGAGCCCCTGCTCCACATACCAGCAGTATGATCTTTCACAAAATGCCTGGGCTTTCCAGGCCTGTTTCTTCATCTATCATATGGAGATGAAACCATTACTAACCTTTTAGAAAGGTATGTGATGTGCCTAGCAGACTGCTTAGAACAAAGAAGGTACCTGATCCATGAGACGGGAGAGCCAGAGTTACAAAGATCTGTGCAATTCAGTGTCATCTCAGCTCTTCCCACAAGGTGCCTTAGGGAAAAGGCTATTTTTTAAAGTCAATATTTTTCACAAAAATTCTGTAACTCTGGGGTCCTGTCAATGTGATTTCCATTGTGAAAATGAGTGGAAAGCCTCATCATTCATAACAATGGCTACCAATTATCAAGGTCTCGATTGGGCTGGCCACAGTGCCAAGCAACAACCCATCCAGGTATGAGAAATCTGAGGCTTGGAAAGTTAGACACAGAGCCCAGTCCACAATGAGGGCTCACTAAAATGAGTGAGGGGGAGGAGGCGAGGGAAGACAGGAGAGAGGGGATGGAGGGGAGGAGAGGAGTAGGGGGACAGTGCAGTCCTATAGCTAGAATGTGGTGGAGCCAGGAGCCAATGCTGGCTCTGCCTGATCTGAGGCAACATAAATTAGTTCCACCGGCCACCTACCTGAAGGTCACCAAAGAGGATTTCTCTTGGAGAGCACCCAGTGATCTCCAAGGGAAACTGTGAAGGAAACTTCCTGGAGTCCTCCATCTCTAGATTTCAGGGCATGCCTACTGATGCATGGGCCACCTTGAGAGTGAGGGCAAGGTGTGTGGGGAGACAGACAGACTTTGAGGGAACATTCTGGATTCTACTTCAACTTTCCCAATCTGCATGCTAAGCGAGACCTGTCTAAAGGCCCTTACCTATTTGAGCCTCAGTCTCTCCTACCTGTAAAATGGGGATCATATACTATAAACAGAGCAGTGTGAGGCTCATGGATACTTGCTAACCAACCTCACTTGGGTCTGGAAGACAGCAGGTGCTTCATCATGAAAGTGATCATTATGAGTGCTCTTGAGCCTGAGTTCCCATTCTCCCTAACAAATGCTATCATTCACAAAGGCCTGTCCTAAAGTAAAGGAAGTGGAGAGCAGTTGTCCCAAATATAAAAGCCTCCAGTGGCCAAGTACAGTGGCTCACACCTGTAATCTCAGCAATTTGGGAGGCTGAGGAGGGAGGATGGCTTGAGGCCAAGAGTTTGAGACCAGTCTGGGCAACATAGTGAGACCTCCAACTTTATAAACAAATTTAAAAAACAAAAATTAGCCAGGTGCAGTGGCACATGCCTGTAGTCCTGGCTACTCTGAAGGTTGAAGGAGAGGATGGCTTCAGCCCAGGAGTTCAAGGTTGCAGTGAGCTATGATCGTGCCACTGTATTCCAGCCTGGGCCACAGAGCACGATCTTGTCTCGAAAGAAAATAAAGAAAAGGAAGGAAGGGAGGGAGGGAGGGAGAGAAAGAATGAATGAATGAAAAAACGAAAGAATGACAGAAAGCGGGCGAGAAAGAAAAGGAAAGGAAAGAAAGGAAAAGAAAAAAGAAAAGAAAAGAAAAAGAGAGATAAAGAAAGAAAAAATAAAAGAAAGAGAATGAAAGGAAAAGGAAAGGAAAAGGAAAGGAAAGGAAACCCTCCAGGGCTGGTGGGCACCTCACATGAGCAACATGGGCTAGGCATAAGTCAAGGTGTGAGACCAAAGGGAACAGAAACTCCCGCACCCCATTTGGAGGGGACCGTTTCTCCTCAGCTCCAGTACACCATGGCCAGACAGGAATGTAGGCCTCAAGTTGCCAGATCCTCTGATTTTTTAAGAGATGCCAAAAATCTGGAATATTATATGAAATTCGCCAATGTTTAAATGTTGACAACCAATTGAAAAAAATGTTTAAACAGCATGGCCCAAACAAAACATGTCCATGGGCCAAGACTGGCCTGTAGCTCCCTAGTGTGAGAACTCTGGAGTTTTCGCTAGAAAGGAAAGTTCGAAGAAACAGAATAAACATCTAGCCTTTTAGGCCTGTAACTATTGGAGTCAGAAAAGCACTCAGGAATCAGTCCGCTATGCCTGGGGTAGGGCAGATTTGACAGCCCACTCCTTCTTTCTCCCATGAGACATGTTTTGCCCATGGTGGGGGTGGGGAAGGTGGATGCCAGGAGGGTCATCCTGGAGGAAAGGACAATGGGCTCTCTGGGGTCCAAATGAGAGCAGACGAATCTCACTCAGCCCTTGCCCCTCCAGTGGGGCCACGTGGGGAGAGCACTTCGCTCTCTAGCCTTGGCTTCTTCCAAAGCTGATGAAAAGGCCGTGCAGAGGCTGCCAAACACTCGCTCCCCAACACTCTGGACCGAGGCCCCACACCTAGTATCATAGCCACAGTATACATATGCTGTGTAAAAACAGGGCCTACTTCATAGACTGTTAGGAGGACTGAAGGAGTTAATGCATGTGAAAGCTCCAAACAGTCTCTGACATTATTTTCTCTCTAGTGGGGATTTTCCCTAGAATTTCAAACATAGGTTTTCATACTGAGTCTCAATATAGCCCCAGGAGGTAGAAAGCCCAGGAATAACCTAAGACAATTATTTCCCTGGATCATGAAGCAGGAAAACCTCAGAGACACCAGGCTGGAATTTCCTCTGGGACAGAAGTTATTCTTACCAAGCCCTTTCCACAAGAAATGAGCACTGTTTTTATAGGTGACATTTAATGTAGTGTTCACTATAACTAGGCTCCGTTCTAAGTGCATTGCATACATCAGCTCATTGAACTCAGTCCTAGGATACAGGTACTATTACCAACACCCCCATTTTGCAGATGATCACATCAAGGCACAGAGAGTTTGCATTGCCTGCTTGCCCAAGGCCAAATTGTCAGGTAAGTGCAAGGACAGGATCAGACCCCACTCAGGCCGCGGACCTGGTATCTAGTAGTGCTATGTTGCCCTCTGTGGAGAAGAGAGTGAGGGTCACAGGAGGTCAAGGTCAGAGACCGACTCCCCAACCCTGACCCTCCTCCCTGGGCAAGGAACAAGAAGGCCAGTGTGGTTGGGCCCCTACCTGCACCACCTGACAGCCTCACACCCACCACCCCCATCTCCTCATACTCCATGCTTCAGCTCCTCACTCAGCCATGCTCTCTATCACCCCAGGACCGTGGCCCATGCACATGTGCCTGGAGCATTCTTCCCACCTTGTCCTTTCTCTGGCAACCCAGCCTTCAAATTTTGGCTAGATGTCACCTCCCAGGTATTTTCCAGGCTCCCTCTCATCTGGAGGTGACAGCCCCTCCTCAGAGCCCCACAATCCCTGTTGCCCTAGGATAGTGCTGTTTGTGACTCCCAAGCTCCTCTGCAGCTTCACCCACTGGGACAGGGACCTGGGCCACCTTGTCCCACAGAATCCCTTGCACATGGCAGCAGAGAATAGGTGCTCAACAAATATGTATGAAGTGAATGAAAAGCACTGAGAGGTCAGAGATGACCGGGCCTGTTCAATTACTTAGAACACCCCCTCCAGCAACAATTAATCAACTCTTCTCTAGTCCTCAGTGGTGGCATCCTAGTAACACTTAAAAAGGTTATGTATGCTTGTTTAGAAACAGAAAAAAGGGGAGAAAAGTTGAACAACTGAAGCGGCTGTGCCAAGAGAAAATCAAATGCTGTGAAGATCCAGTGGCCCAGGGCCAATAGAGAGAGGACTCAGGGGCTGCAAGGACTGCATCCACTTGGAGAAGACCCCAGTAATCTGAATGAGGGGAGGATGGGCCCTCAGATATCCGCTTTACAGATTAAGAGAGTAAGACTCAGAGAGGTCAAGGAACTCTCATCCAAGGCCCCACTGGCAGCAAAGGCAAGCACTGGGACTGAGCTCGGGCTCAATTCACCCCCGGACCCAGACTCCTCCTCCCCTATCATGGAAGCAGGGTCTGTCCTCACAAGGCCCCTGAGTTAATGCCGCTCTCACCAACTCTTACACTATGGGTTCCAAAAAACAACAGTTGTCTTAGACCCTTGTAGAAATGGGTCCCCAAGCCACAGAGAGCCCCTCCTCTGAAGCAAAGAAACCAAGGCAGGACATTCTTGACTAACCCTAAGCTGAAGGTGCTGGAAGGGCTTGGGCCAGTGCTCAGGGCCCTGACTCAAACCCATCAGGAGCTTCACCCCATGAAGTGTCCTGAGGGCACTGGGTCACAGAGCCTGCGAGAGTGGACCTAAGAAATTGTTTACTGGGAGAGCAGGAGACCAAAAAAAGAACGGAGTGGGGGGGTAGGGGGAGGAATCTGTCACAAAAAGTAAGTAAAATCAGCAGAATTCCTTCATGAAAAGGGTGGAATTAGCATATGGGCTCAGCTGCCAAGTGAGGCCATTGAAGCAAGCAATGTAAATGAATTCAAGATACAATTAGACATTTTTCTGGATGGAGACAGAGGGACTGAAGAAGGCATGGTAGGTCACATTTCAGAAGGAGCAGCAGGAACACACTGCACTGTGAAGCAGCCTGCAGAGTCCACCATGTCCTGCAAGCCCCAAGCAAGCAACCAGAGGGACAGGATGCAATGGCCCGAGAGGGGCCGGGGCAGGGGGGCCCCCTGGTGGAGGCGACAGGCAGGCCAGGCTGGTGTCCCAGGCAAGCATTCCCACCTTAGTGGGCTCTCCTTCCCCACTATTAATTTCTCAAGATGCCTGATACTGTACCTGCAAAACCAGCTACCCTCTGTGCACCACACAACCCTCTGTGCACCACCATATCTGGGCACAGAAATAAAAGTTTGCTTCTGTTACATTCTGTATGGCTGTCCCTAGGCTGGGTTCTGAACTTCAGAAATTAATCCAACCCAGTCCCTGCCCTCGAGAAGCTTCAGAGTCTTCTGGGGGAAACACACACACACATACAGACAACATCAACACAGTGAAGTATGTAAAAGTTAAATGAGAAGTTTCTGCTAAGCAAGCATAGAAGAGGGGAATTTAGCAACTGGAGGGAGGGAGCAGGCCGGAAAGCTAAGGGAAGGGGCCATTCAGGGCACAGGACACAGCAGGGGGCTACGGAAGCCCCAGCTGCCAGTGCTGCACGGAGGATGCTGAGCATGCACTTCCCCGGGATCTTTGGGGAGATGGCCAGATCACCTCGAGCTTTGTTAGAAAAGGACGGAATGACCAGAGGCACCAACCGCTGGCCCCTGGACCAGATATGACTCAATGGCAACAACTCAGTACAGCTGTTCCCAATCTTCTCAAGAGCACATGTGGCCCACCCAAGGAACAGAAAATGCTGGGTCCTTGTGAGGGACACAATTTATTAGGCCCTCTCTAACCCAATTGGTTCTGATGTCCTCCTTTATGTGGCTTACGGCATGGGCTGTCTAGCTTCGTCAAGCTCCTGGGCCTCTTCCTGAAACATTCATTTCCTTCAAGGTGAAATAAATGTTTACTCCCAGTCACTCTAAAAGGATCACAAGCATTTCCTTTGTGTTCTCAGCACACTTGCTGGCAACGAGTGTTTCCACAGCCCCTGAGCTCCTGCCCCGATTCTTATTGGGGCTCTGTTCTCCGGCATATCCTGAGAGTCAATCTCTTGCATCAATGAACTGAGTCTCTTCAACTGAAACTAGAAATAATTGGTAACACTCTGAGAAGACAATAAGACACATCTGCCTCTGTGCCCAGCACTTTGGTCTGTAAAGCAGCATGAAACCAGACCACCTGAGGAGTGACAGGACACTGAGCAAGTGCTTGGCAGTGTCCTTTCCTTCTCTCCAAAACCTGCAGGTGCTCAGAGCTGGTGTCCTCTCAGCTCCAATGCCCTGCCCCATAAAGCCTGGGTGCCTAACCATCCAGACCAGAGGAGAGAGGAAGGGGATGCAGAAGAGGTCTTGGGGCCAGGGGACAGTGCAGTAGAGATGGAGAGGTGGCTGGTGCTCTGTCCTCCTCCCTGGCAGATAAAGACAACATTATATTTGCATTTATAAACAGCTACTATGTGCCAGGCACGGTGCTGGGGATGCTTACATCTGCATTCACATTATCTTCACAACAACCCTGCAAAGTAAGCACTCTAATTCCATCTTCCAAAGGTGGAAACTCAGTCAGAGAGGTCAAGTCACAGGCTCAAAACACACAGCGAGTGCATGGCAGAGCTAAGATCCCAAAGGCTGTATAGTCTTCTATAACCTTCAGAACTCCCTGTAGCCATGTAGCTTCATTGTAGGGGGCCTTGGCACTGCCTGTGTACCAGAAGCACCTCCTTAAGAATAGACACAAAACCAAAAAAAGACACTGACCCAGGGCTGGGGCTGGACTTGCCTCACTGTGGCATCCAGCCCTGTCTTCCAGAAAAGAGCTCTTTACACCTCCTTAAGAATAGACACAAAACCAAAAAAAGACACTGACCTAGGGCTGGGGCTGGACTTGCCTCACTGTGGCATCCAGCCCTGTCTTCCAGAAAAGAGCTCTTCTGCACTGGTGGGAGGCTTCCTGGAGCAGTGCTCATCTTCCTGTCTGCTTCAGCCCCTACATCTTGGGCGAAACTTGAGGTTGAGGTTACATGCTTCGCCCTACTCGGGGTAACCATGCCTGGGCAGCCAGGTGTAGTACATAAAATATAAAGCTCACTAAGAGGGGTGTGGATTCAAATCCCAATACTAGGGTCTGACCTGAGGAAGCCAATCTACCTCTCTGAGCCTCGGGCTCCTCATCGACATGAAGGACTTGGGGATGTATATGTTCTTATATCCTTTTGTGGAGGGAGGAGGTAGGGAACCATATTTGAAGAACATTTTTCAAGAAAATTCTAAATATAGATAGGGTACTGGATACCAAAGAATAGTTATTATTAGCTGTGCTAATGACATTGATTTACGCAAGAAAATGTCTATATTTTTTAAAGATATATACATAAGTATTCAGGGGTAAAATGACTCAAGATCTCATAAATTTGTTTAAAAATACTTCAGCAAGAAAAGCAGGGGAGAGAGAGATGAAACAAGCACGGTGAAATCTTAGTAACTGTTCAGTCTGCCTGATGGGTACATGAATGTTTGTTCTCTTTGTCCTGAGTATGTTTGAAACCTTTCACTTTTCACATAAAACCTCCTTGAAGGCAGATCTAATAGGAACATGATAAATGTTAAGTGAGAACCTGGGGATAAGGATGCATGCATGAAAAGACCCAAGGGTGACCACAGGAACCATCTGAATACAGAATTAAGTCTGGAGAACTGTGACGTTTATTCTTCCATTAAAATGATGGGCCTCTTATACACCAATTGCATTTACTATCATTCTTGAAAGAAGAAATACATTCTATGAAAATTATTTCACTAACGCCAACTAAAAAAAATCCTGAAGCAGAACTACCAAAAACAGGAGGAGAGGTGTCACAGAGTGGTGCTTCATTTCTCAAGGTGATAGCTTGGGAAATCCAGGCTTAAGCAGGTTCATTGAAGATTTAAAAGTAACCCTTTGTAGAACCATTTTTAGCTCTAAGGTAAAAACAAAAAAACTGTAGACCTGCACAAATGAAAAGAGAATGAGAAACAGAAGATCACATAGAAAATAACAAAAAGAGCAGGAAAGAATAGAAAATGTTTTTTTTTTTAAATGGAACATGATGACAAAAGACCAAATATATAATAATAAATGTAAAAGGGATAAGCCAACCTATTTAAACAATGAGGTTTTCAAAATACAAAATATCCCGTTTTTATATCTTTGATGTCATTTCAAATGATTTCTTCTTTTCCTGTTTTCTTCGCTTGTTTTCTGGTTTTCCTGCAGTGCTCACACAACATGCACGCACATGGGCACATGCTCATGGACATCCTATGACTGCTTTTTATGCACCAGGTGCTGGTCCAAGGCACTTTACGAAGACAATCATACAACATTTCTGTGTTGTTGTCACTAAATTTCCCATTTCATACATAAGGATACTGAAGCCCAGTGGTGTCAACGTTACTTAAAGGTACACTCTTTTGTAATTTTGTACATAAACTTTATAACACAATTGGAAATATGTATCACAAGTTGTATACCATAATTCAATAGTGACACAAACCACCTAAAGTCAATGGTCAGACTCCATAGCTTAAGGGTACAGTCCCCAGCAAGACTGCTTTCACTTCAGCTACCAGCTACCAGTTCAGGGGTCCCTAGGCCACCCACACTTCTGACCAGCTGGCTGCAAATCCAGGGGGTTCCCATGACCTCCTCAGGTTAGATAATTAACTAGAACAACTCACAGAATTCATGAAAGCACTATTCTTAGGATTACAGTTTTATTATAAGGGTAAGAATCAGGACCAGCCAAATGAAGAGACACATGGGGTGAAGCCTGGGAGGGCCCTAGATTCAGAGCTTTGGTGCCCTCTCCCTGTGCAGTCAGGGAAAATCACCCTCTGGGCATATCAATGTGTTTACCAATCAGGAAGCTCCCTGAACCTCAGTGTCCAGAGTTTTTACTGGGGTTTCATTACACAGGTATGACTGATTGAATTACTAGCCATGAGACTAAACTAAATTTCCAGCTCCCCAGAGGTCAGGAGGTCAGCCTGATATCATATGGCCCATAGGCCTAACCCTCTAATGACATGGTTGGTCTTTCAGGCATGACCAGTCCCCATCTTGAGTCATCTCCTTAGCATAAACTCAGCTGTGCCCCAAGGGCCCACCATGAGTAACAGAGACACAGTTATCACTCTGGAAATTCCAAGGGTTTTAGAAGCTCCAGGAACCTGGGACAAAGACCAGACAAATTCTTTATGATATATAATACAGCTAAAAAATGTTCATATATTCCTGTCCCTTCCTTCCTTTACAGAATATAAGGCCCCACCCATAAATCAAGCCATCTCATTTTTGGTAATCTGCTCTAAAGAATAATCTGAAATGCAAACAAATGTTCAACATGTTGTGGTTAAAGTGCGTAATATTGTACACAGTGCATACATTCATCAAGAGTAGACAGATAAAGTATGGTAGAGCAAGACAATAAAATAATACAGAGCCATTAAACATGTTTTCAGAGAAAATTTAATTATGGTATAGAAGAAGGCTCATGGTTCAAAACTTTGCTTAAATAAGGATCTAAAATTTTATACCCAGTAGAATCCCTACTAGGAAAAAAATGCCAAAATAGTTAACCCGAGTAACAGGTTAACAAATTATTCTTATTTCTTTCCTATAATTTGCTCTATTTTCCAGATTTTCAACATACATGAGTACTTCTATAGTAAAAAAAAATACTTTAAGCTGGGCGCAGTGGCTCACATCTGTAATCCCAGCCCTTTGGGAAGCCGAGGCAGGCAGATCATCTGAGGTCAGGAGTTCGAGGCCAGCCTGGCCAACATGGCAAAACCCCATCTCTACTAATATACAAAAATTAGCTGGCTGGAGTGGTGTGCACCTGTAATCCCAGCTACTGGGGAGGCTGGGGCATGAGAATCGCTTGAACCCCGGAGGGGGAGGTTGCAGTGAGCTGAGATCGTGCCACTGCACTCCAGCCTGGGTGACAGAGTGAGATTCTGTCTCAAAAAAAAAAAAAAAAAAAAAAAAAAACTTTGAAAAAACACACGAAGAATAAAACTACCTACCCTAACTTCCATGAAGCATTAATAAGATAATTAATCTGAAAGCACATGGCAATGACTGCATTTTTAATACATTTTTAATACTTAGAATTTCTTTTTGGTTTGTTTTCAAATTTATCTACCCTTTTTTCATAATGTCCTAATCTTGCTATAATTTCTATTCCTTTATTTACATTTCAAATATTCTTATTTTAAATTCTCTTTCAGATTGTTTTATGGTTTCTAGTTTCCAGGATCTGAGTTTTCCCACTTGAGAATCCATAGATTCTCTTTCTCATGGTGGTAATTTTTCCTGTATGCCATGTAATTTTGTCTGTAAACTCCTCTTCAGCAAACGTTGTTTTCTGTGGGGGCTTGCACATGTGTGCAACTGTAAAGGCACCCCCATAGGGAGATCAGGGGCTACGGCAGCCCAGGGCCATAAGGAGTCACCAGTTTCTATGTTAATTTCTTGGCTGAGGATTTCCATTAGCACCAGTGATGAAGATATGAGGCCTGCATCTGAATCCATGCAATCTCAGGAATTCTGTCCTCTCCTGGGTGAAGGAAACTTTCTCAGCTCACCTCGCAAAGCAAGCAATTTAATCTCCACCAGTTACAGGCAACTTCTGGTCTTTTTTCTTAATTTACCAGGTGAACCTCACATCTCCAATCTGTATACCCCTGGAACTAACTGGCTTCCATTCATATTCCCTGCTGAGAATTTGACCTCCTTTTCTAGTCTAGCTCTTGAAGATGCTCCTTTCTTGCTTCTCCACCTGGCTGCATATTTTTTCTTCTCTTAGTGTTTCCTCACTTTATCCAGCATTTCAATGTGTTTGGGACACAAGGCTTCCAGCAGCAGCATGGCCCACCATGTTAACTGGAAGTCTGAAAAAACATGGTAAATTGCAAGGTGCAAGTGTGGCACACCTGTGATGTTTCTGAAGTTCTCCTGTGAGGGACATGCACTATCATGTTATTTTCAGCACTCAAAACACTGATGGAAACCAAATGTACTGAGAGTAACGAGAATTCACTTTGGTGAACAGAGAAATATAAACAGAGTTGTGTTGTAGACTCCATATCAAAAAGACTTGGACTTGAACCCTGGCACTGCCAGCTGTGCCATCTGGGGCTACTCATCTGTCCCACCGCCCAGCCACAGGGATAGCATAAGAACTGGCAGCAATGCACATACAGCACTGAAGAGGAAACACAGGCTTGAAGCCGGGTCTGTTGCAGGATACTCCCGGGAGGTTGGCCCTTTCTCGCCTGATCTGACAGCACACATTCAGGGACAGGCTGGCATCATTCTGTACTGGTTCCCTCAGGCAGGCACATAGTCAGGGCCTTAGAACAGTGAGTTAGAAGTGGGGAGCAGAAGGGCATAACATCTCTATGGGACTGGCATAGGAGGCTTCTTGCATGTGGAGGAATCCTCAGACTGCATGGCGGGTAGCATCCATAGCCATACTTCACCAGGGAATGGGGGGAAGCAGGCCAGCCGCACCTCTGAGAGTATGTTGTTGTTGTCTCTTGTTTCCTGTGACTCTCTCTGTGAAGCCCCATCATTTGACAGTAAAGACACCTTATGGTCTCTACGTGTGCTGGGGCTTTGGTATCAGTGATGGCACTGTCCACAATGAACAGCCACATAAACACCATGACGGAGCACTCAAGAGTGGGAGTAATTGAGATTATTCCTGGTTCCACCTCTAGAGAAGCAAAGTGTTCAATTCATTTAACTCCAAAGATATTTCCTGAAAGGAACTCAGGCACCTTTGCTTGGGAGCACAGACTCTGGAGCCAGAATGACTGGGTTCAAGTCTCTGCTCCACCACTTATAAAGCTAATGACTTTGTTAAGTTACTCACTCTCTCTGTCCTTCAGTTCCCTCATCTCCAGGAGTTGTAATCCTATAACTAGGACTAGATTTGTAGTGCTACCACATGGAGTTGTGGTCAGAAATATCTGTTACTGTATTAAAGTGCAGAGAACAGAGCTGCCACCGCAAATGCAAAGAGTTTACCATTTTTATTACTGCTATTCATTCTTTCTGCTCATGCATGATATTTAGGAACAATACTGTATTCCTTGGACACAGCTCTAAGTATAAAAGGGATAATTTTTTTCACTAATGACTTCAGACAGTAGGGTAGCACTGGGTCCCAGGGACACACTAGATGGGCACTCTTTCGATATTCATTTAGCCAAGAGTTTTTTTCTTTTTTTTTTTTCTAGTGTCTATTACATGCCAAGCACTATGCTAAGGGAATGCAGCCATTTAACAAAACAAATAAGGTCCCTGTCCTCATGGAGTTTACATTCTAGTGTGAGATACAAATAATGAATAAATATTTTCTGCATAGCTTGTACAGAGAGATAAAAGCTGCACAGAAAATAAAACAGGATTATGGGATAAAGTGGTGGGAGGTGATGAGGATATTATTCTAAAAAGGGTAGTCAAGAAGGTTCCCTTGGAAGATAAAAGGGATGGGGAAACAGCAAGGAGAAGGCCCAAGTGAGGAGCAGGTCTGAGGGGGAGAAGGAAGACCCAAGTGGCTGCAGACAGCAAGCCAAATGGGGGTGACAGGAGTGGGCTGGGTCACCAGGAGCCTTGAAGGCTGCAGTATGGAGTCAGGATTGTATTTTACTGTTAACAGAAGGCCAAGGGCAGTTTTTCAAGTGGGGGAGTGATATAACCCTGATGGATGTTTCAAAAGGTCACTCTGTGCTGTGTGGACAATGTATATCAAAGGACAGAATGGCAACAGGGAGGCCAGAGGGCAGTTGCTGCCATCACTCCAATGGGAGATGAGGTGGCTGGGGCCAGGATAGCACTGGGGAAATGGTACCACTGCACCAAAGCACACTGCCTGAATGAGTCCGCTCAGCCATAGAGGGAGGCAAAGTCCGAGCAGAGGCATCCAGCACAGAACGTCCACTCCTCTGCT
Source organism: Homo sapiens (assembly GCF_000001405.40). Taxonomy (NCBI): domain Eukaryota; kingdom Metazoa; phylum Chordata; class Mammalia; order Primates; family Hominidae; genus Homo; species Homo sapiens. Next base: position 88,158 of record NW_019805490.1, on the reverse strand, counting down.
CAGGCCTCGGCATAGCCTCCTCTCGTGGTCTCTTCCAAGGTCCATCTCCCCACTGCACCGTGAGCTTCCTGACGGCAGGCGCTGGATATTATGTACAGAGCACAGTGCCCCACCATGTGCTGAAAGTTCTGAGGGAATGCCTAACTGAAGGAGGACATAAGAAAGAGAAGAATTCTTATGTTCCTTAGCAGGAAGTCTACAGATAATGTCTAAAGCCAAACAAAAAGTAGCACAATAAACATGGTGTAAAGATTATATAAAAATAATAAGCTAAGAGTTGCAAATGGTTGCCTTTGGGGTAGGGGAGGCTCTGTTCTTATTCACTTGCTTGTCCAGCTTCTTTACTAGCCCGTCAGCTCCAGGAGGGCTGAGTCCCTGCTCCTGACACACGCAGCACACTTAAGTGCCGAAACAATGAACAAGCAAACCAACGGCCAGTCCGGAATCACTCCTTCAAACCCCAAACCCAAGCCTCTGGAAACATACCAAAGGAATGTCTGAATGGACACATCTAAAGCAAGAATTAAACATAAATCAAGACGGTTGAGCAGCTTGAGTAGTCCACTCTAAGACAGGGACACTGCGCTTGGCCCAGAAAGCTAGCCGCATCTGTTTGCTTAAAGCAACTAAGACAAAAATTGTTTTAAGTTACAGCTGGTGTCTGGCCACTCTATCAAGCACTTAAGATATAGAGCTGATTATTTTCTGGCAACAATGAAGAAAGAAAGGCTGAAAGTACGGTGTCCTGTTACCAGCTGTTTCCGGAGTAGTTCTTACAGTCTATGTCTGTGAAGGGGCCAGAGCCAACTGAAGAGGCCTATACATGAAACTTGTTGTGGTTTGTCTCTTTTTTCTTTCATTTTTCCCCTTATTCACTTCACTTACTTAAATCACAAAGAGTATAACCCTTTGGAGAGCACCTCTGTGTACTCTCACTGCTAGTTAAAAAGCCCCTTAAAAGGGGACTTGAAAAACCAAGAAAAGAAACATGTATCCACTGTGGTCTCTTGGTCTTTACCCATTTACTTGGATTCCAACACACACTCTCCACTGACCTGCTGTGTGGCCTTGAGCAAACCCCTTAACCCCCTGAGCCTGTTTCCTCTTCTATAAAGCTAGGATGATGAAATGTACCTGAAAGAGTTGTGCAGCCAAGTGGAAAAATGTTCGCATAGTTCCAGGCACAAACCCTGAAATATAGAAGATGTTCCCTAATTAATATTTGACTCTTTCTCATGACTCACACCTCCCTACTCCCCATGATGCTGAGGTTTCCCCTGAGGACTGTCCCCAGGACAATAATCACAGCAAGTGTGGAAAAGAAGACCACAGCCAAGGCAAGTTATATACATGGGCAGTGGGGGACCAGGGGGGGCTGGTGCTATGCCCCAGGTGCTCGTGTATTCCTTTAATTCAAACATGTCAAATTAATTTGAACATGTTCAGGCAGGCCCTGGGGAAGGGAGCAGGCCCAGAGGGTCTAGGCCTAGGGTCCTGAGAGCCAAACCAATGGCCAAGGTGCACGTGAACACATTAAAGGGTCACGGGTCCTTAAGCCCTTCTGCTGGGAGATTGAGGGAGGCAGGATCCTGTCTTTCCTGTCTTTGGTTCTGCTATGGCAGCCTAAGGTGAATGAACAGGACACCACTACTACCCAACCCCATTTCACCCTGGGATGTCCACCAGTGAGCACATGGTGGACCCTTGGGTGACACTGAACCAGGGCTTTATGGCAGCCCCATGTAGGCTAGGTGTCCCTTCATCCCTCCCCACCACTACCACCACAGACCTTACCTCTGTCCCACAGTGAGGGATGAGGATTACATTACTCTCCATCCTATCTCGCCCTATTGCTGTAAGGATCAACAAGTATGCATAGAAGGCCCTTAGAATGGTGACACACAAAGCAAAAGCTATCAGCTCTCATCACTAGCATCTACAGAGGTGAGATTAAAGGGTAACTTTTATTTTCTTCTTTCTATGTTATTTTCCAAAATTGGGATAAGAAAATGTACTTCATGATAAATATAAATACTTATAATAAAAATTATTATCTACTATAATACTAACATATGAATACTTGAGCTACATATGTACGTGTCCAGCCCAGGCAGCCAGAGTCTCCATCTATGAGGTCAAGTATCTGAAAAGTTTTCAGGATCACTGCCAAAGCCAGGGAACAAAGACTGTCCCTGCCTGCATCCCTTCCCAAAGTATTCTGTCCTACCTATAGCCCACTGCCTTCAATCAGTCACAACTATGGGGACCACACGGAGATCTGTCCCAAGAGTGCTCTAGTCAGAAACTGACCAATGTCATGTGACCTCTGTGAGCAGGGCCAACAGGGCTCCCCTGAGGCTCTTGCAAGCAATTCACTGGGAAACAGGGCCAGTGAGCTGGGCACTGAGGCTAAGGGTGTGACAGAGACCCCATGTACGGCCAGCCATCAGAGGACAGTACAGGCGTGAGTGGGCTGGTCGAGGGGCAGAGGGGCAGGTGGGTGGGCAGGTAACGTGGCTGAGGCAGGTGGAAGGCCTAGCAGGGACATCACTGTGGCTGTCTGGTATGGAGAGCCACCTGCTCCAACTTGGGCTTAGCATGCCCAGCCCAGGCACAGCTCTGCTGCTCCCAACAAATCCTTTTACTAGAGCCACCTTGAGCTAGTTTCGGCTTCTACAACCAATCAAGCCTAAACTGCAGCTCCAGATCTGCAGACTGGTTAGTGGACATGAAACCACCCCCCAGTGGAAAATGAGCTTGGTGACTGGCCAAGCTTTGATGTTCCTCCATCCCACAACTGGCCCGAGTCTCAATTTGTTTATTTTTCTGTATAACTTTTGCAGTGTTTCAACTAAATGGGACAGTTTTTATCAACAGTTTCCTGAGCAAGAAAAATAGCAGAATGCTTGGTTTGAAATGAAGACTGGTGGATCTGCTGGGCTGTGTGATGTATGAGAAATTCTCCTCCTCTGAGAGATTTGGAAACCCATGCAAGAACTATGCATCCCCATTGTTATGGAGACCTAGCACTCCACTGGCACAGGGTCTCTTTCCCTTTAGGATCGCCTCTCTCCCCTTCTCAGTCCCTAATGTTTAGACAGTAGGAACTCTGGTCCCAGCTCCAGGGATAGGCGTGGGACCTAGAGCTGGCCACTCAGTCTCTCCTGTGCTTTTTGCTGAACTAGGAAATATCTCTTTCTGTGAGAGGGGCAAACTTGGCAGAAAGCAAGCAGAATGGATGGCAGCTCTGCAATCTCACAGGAGCCGGGTGGCCTAAGAATTAAGCCAGCATGAGGTAAGCAATCTGGAAAATGGGGCAGTGTCCTAACAACATTATTTGAGGCCCTGGATCCAGCTGTGCTTAAAGCTAGTCCTCACAAACTTCCTGGTTTTAAGAATCAGTTTGGGGTGGATTTTTGTCCTTTATAACCACAGATTATAGACTAATACAGTGTATTAGCCCATGTTTTAACAATGCAGTTCAACTCAAGCATCATTATTTTAATAGCTTTATAGCATGTTCCATGCCAGTGAACTGACTACTCATGTGCATCATCTCATCTGATCCATCAACGCTGTCCAAGGTGCACTATGACTACCCTTACTTCACAGACAGGATCCTATGAAGTAGTTAACTTCTGCCATCACCGTCATAATCATCATCATTTTATCCAAAGTCACATAGACACTAGGGAGTGGAGCCAGGATCCTAACCCAAGTCCTCTGAATTCAGACCCAGGTTCCTTCCCCCAGGGAAGGCCATGTTGCCTCTGTGTGCTCAATCTCATCTTAAATGCAGGCAGAGAGACACAAAAGGAGCTTCACCCCCTAACATTCAAGTGCATGCAATCACCTTCAAATAAGACATATATCCATGAACCAATTAGGGTTGCTGAGAGCCATAATATAATTGAGATCCCAAATGTGTGGTCCAGGTACTATTAACATGGCAGAAAGGCAAGGAGGTGAAGAGACTACACTTCAGGGCTGGATATTGGTGTATAATCTCACCAACATTATTACAACCACAATAATGAAATACTATGTCTTCTAATTCAACTCCTCACCAGCCACCTCAACTTTCCCACATCCATCTTCAACAAAGGTTTCTGATGTTACATGATTTTGCTGTTACCTCCTCCTCCTCAGGAAAATCATTCACTGGTATCAGTGCACCCAGAGGAACACCAGATCGCAGCTGTAAGTGCTGCCCACCACCATCTTCAAAGAGCCTTCCTTATAGCTTTCAGGTGGCACAGAGCAAGATAATTTCCAGTTTCCCTCCGGGAAATGAAGAGATCCCAGGTAATTCTATAATCCTATCATACATCATTAATATTCTAGTGTTAACTGATGGCCTCTGGGCCTGTACTAGGTCATTTTCTATTGAATACATATCTTAACTGGTGGCCACAAATGGTTACTCAATGATTTCTGCCTCATTGAGACAAAAATTTCAATTTAGCCACCTCATTTTATATAACTAAGAAAACTGAATTTTTTGATCTCATATCATATTTTCTAACCAAGTTACATTATATTAGTATGTGTCACTGAATGATTTTTCTTAGGTCAAAAATTTTTCTTATCAAATTATAATACAAAATTAAAGATATGTTCCAGAAATGAAAAGTCAGCAAGGACTTCAAAAGGACCTGAAGGAAAGTCCCACAGCACAATGGTTCTCAAATGTTCATCATTCCTGGGCCACCATTACAAAATTAGCTGAAAGAACAGAATACTGAACACAGCACAGCCCTCGCCTCACTGCTGCCAGCTGTTAGCAGTATGCTACATTTGTGTGCATTCCTGCATGTTCTCGTTCTCTTTCCATATACATATATGTGAATATATATAATGCTGATATATAAAAAGGATTCCCAAACCATTTTAAAGCAGGTTACAGTTACAATGACACTGGAGCCCTTACCATCTGTCTTCTAAGAATTAGGAGATTCCCCTACCCAAGAAATTTAACACTGACTTATACCATAATATTACTTAATCTATTGCCTATATTCAAATTTCTCCCAATTGTCCCCATTATGTCTTTCAGAGGTGTTCTTTATATCTTCCAGATTTGTTGTCTTTAGTTTCCTTTAATCTAGAAGCATCACCTGCTCTTTACTTGGCTGAGGTTGGGGCAGGGAGGTTAGTTCTTTTGTGACTTTGACATTCTTGGAGAGTCTTGCCTGGTTTATTACTTACTTAATATTTTCCTTTAAATTGACTTTTTTTAAATACTAAAACTATAAAACCAAAAAGAAAGCAAAAACTTCCATAAAAAGTACAGATTTGATGTACTACTTATTTGATTTTTTTCTAACGTACATTAAAGTAAGTATGTGAGTTTAAAACTTAATGTGCCTGTCCACTGGTCTTCCCTCACGTGGCCCGGCACTCCCCGTGAGACATGACCTCAACCCTGCTGGGTCCTGCCCAGCTTCACCTGACTCCCCCACAAGCAGGAGCTCAGCATCCCCAAGGGCCCTGGCACTGTGTAAGGCAGTTCCTGGGCTACAGAGCCCCTTCTTCCTCTGGATCGTTCAGGACCTACATGCCTGTGACCTCTACCATGTCTTGAATGGCACTGGGCCAGGTATCTGAAGTGTCAATTCTTCAGGTACAGACAAGAAAACAGGCTCATAGAGATTAAGCAGCTTACCCACACCCTCCAAATCAGCTAGACTGCATTTTCTACTACGCCAACTACATGCCAAGGACATGCCAAGCACTTTCTTCCCGTCACAGCTAAGGCTCCCCAGACCCTTCACCTGGTATCACCAACCAGGGGTATCATCAATCCCATGTTCCAGGTGAGGAGCCTAAGATCCGGAAGACGAAAGGTTTGCCCAGGCCACACAGCCTATAAGTAATGCAGCAACTGCCACAACCCAGGTCTCGGACCTAGCGTCCTTGCTCTCCCTCCCACTCACCCTAGCCAAGGCTTTCCTTGGGAGAAATACCACCCATGAGGCAATGCAGAAGGTGTGGTGGGCAGCCAACCCCCACTGAGGGTCAATGAGAATTTGTCAGATTTGCTATTAAAACATGAGACCAAGGATGGAAGCTGGCGCTGCAGATGTGTGCTAGCAGAGGACTGCTGCTCCCCGGGATGTGGCTGCCATGCTCCCAGGAAGGCAGCCCTGGAAGGAGCTGGCTGATGTGGCAGCGCCAGCCCATCACTGCCTGGGGAGGCTGGTGGCCGGCTTGAACTCGCAACACTCGTCCTGTTTATGCTTGCTTCATTTCATCATGTTGGCTTTGGCTCACTGTCCAAGCCCACAGAGACTATCTGAATTTTGATTCTGCTGTCTCAAAGAGGGTAGAAACTATACCTCCAAACATGCTTTTACTCCTCTCGAATGCCATTTTTAAAAACATTGAACAGAAGGCCAAAGCAAAAGCCCTGTTTCTAAACCAGATCTTCTCCATGTCGACATAGGGCTTTTAACAAATGTTCTTAGGATGTGACTGCTCATTCGGTTTTAAATCCTTTTCCTGGGTGGCCCTCACTCCATTACTTTATGCACTCAATATCAGGGAGAGGTACCAGCAGCTTTCCTGAGGTGAAGATCAAAAGCAGGGCTCTGAGTCCAACAAGAGCCCTCTGGGGCCCTTCCAGACCAGAGCACTTCTGTGAAGCAGAGGCCCAGAGGCTTACAGGCCAGCAGAAGCATGGTGGCTGGTCTCTAAGGAGCAACACATGAAGTTCACTCTGGTACTAAAGGTAGTGGCAGGAACACCTCTGATGAGGGTCAGCCCCTGTCCAGATATGAGCTGGGGCAGCTCCCCAGCCTCCCAGGGGCTCCCACAGCCTCCAAAGAAATCATAGACGTTTCCAAACTCCCATTTCACACCAACATTCTGTGAGTGTTAAGAAGTGTATGTATTTCTGGCTGGGCGCAGTGGCTCACGCCTGTAATGCCAGCACTTTGGGAGGCCGAGGCAGGCAGATCATGAGGTCAGGAGATCGAGACTATCCTGGCTAACATGGTGAAACCTTGTCTCTACTAAAAATACAAAAAAAAGTAGTCGGGCTTGGTGGCGGGCACCTGTAGTCCCAGCCACTGAGGAGGCTGAGGCAGGAGAATGGCATGAACCCGGGAGGCGGAGCTTACAGTGAGCCAAGATCATGCCACTGCACTCCAGCCTGTGCAACACAGCAAGACTCTGTCTCAAAAAAAAAAAAAAAAAAAAAAAAAAGGAAAGGAAAAAGAAAAGAAGTATATGTATTTCTTGCCAGGTGTGGTGGCTCACGCCTGTAATCCTAGCATGTTGGGAGGCTGAGGCAGGCAAATTGCCTGAACTCAGGAGTTTGAGACCATCCTAGGCAATATGGTGAAACCCAGTCTCTACAAAAAATACAAAAATTAGCTGGGCACAGTGGCATGCACCTGTAGTCCCAGCTACTTGGGGGGCTGAGGCATGGGAATCACTTGAACCAGGGAGGCAGAGGTTGCAGTGAGCCGAGATCACACCACTGTACTGAGATCACAGAGCAAGACTCTGTCTCCAGAAAAAAAAAAAAGAAGTATATGTATTTCTCTTTTGGTCAGTCTAAATTTTTACATGTTGTATTGTCAAGTAACAGTATGTTATCTCTAGATACCTCATATTCATAACAGCCTTCCTAGAGCTTGGTGGTGTGGCTCACACCTGTAGTCCCAGCCACTCAAGAGGCTGAGTTGGGAGGATTCCTTGAACCCAGGAGTTCAAGGCTTCAAGGAGCTGTGATCATGCCACTACACTCCAGCCTGGACAACAGAGCAAGACCCTGTCTCTAAAATAAATAAAATAATAATAAATAGCCTTCCTACATTTCTGTAGAGGTGAGAGGAGGTTAACACACAACAACTAAGGGCAATAGCACCCATATTTTAAGCATATAGTATACCTTGGGCTAAGACAGCTCTCTATGATCTCTAGTCCTCCAAAACACTCTGCAAAATGGATATTATTAACCCTGTTTTGCAAATGACAACATAGAGACTTAAGGACATGCCACTGTCCAGGCTTAAACAGCCAGTAAGCGACAGAGGATGTCTGACCACCAAGCTCTGGCTTTCCCACTACTCCTTTCAAGGCCATTTGGCAGTTGGCGAAGTCAGTCTAACAGATTGGCAGGACATTTTCATTTCTGCTGCCTAGAAAGCAGACAGAAATGGGCAGGAAAAAATGCCAGTGATGCCCAGCTGGCCTGATGCCTAAGTCTCTGAACCCTGACAGAAGGAGCTCTTCTGCAGAAGATAAAAGGTCAGCAATCAGCATTTTCTATACCAAAATTCCCACCAAACACAAGAATGCTCAATGTCATGACACGTGTGAATCAAGGCTTCTTTCATTCCAGGGGAAATCCGTAGGAATTGGCTGAATCTGAGGCTAGCTTTCTCCAAAAAATTCAGAGATGTAATTGGGAAGCTAGAAGGAACTTAAAATAAACATTGCTGACTCTGGGCTCTGCCCTGTGCCACAGTTATCCCAAGCACTCTACCACTAGTAACCTTCCCAATCATCCTTAAGGTTGGGGTTTACAATTTTTCACCGTCGAAAAAGGAAACCAAGATCCTAGATGTGAGGGGTGAAGCCATGGGTCATGCACAGATTTACCTGGCTCTAAAATCAGTTCTCTTTCCACCCACCAGAGATCTGGAGTTACATACACATAATCCCTTACTCCCCTGGACACCTCCATACTGACTTCCTGCAGAAGCCTCAAGTCAGCGTGCCTCTCTGCCAACTACTCAATCTGCCTCTCTGCCAACTACCAACCTCAGTCTGAGCTGCTATGACCTCTCCAGGAGACCAAGCCAAGTCATTTCTGGGACCCCCTTCTCTGTTTGTCCCCCAGTCCTGCCATTCTCTCTACTAAATAACGAAACAGTTTCTCCTACCATTCTATGGGCATAGCCCCAAAGCCCAGACCTCTGCATTTCTCCCCTGGGCTTCTTTTTTTCTTAAACAATGGATTTCCTGCCTCCAGTCTTACCCATTCGGAACCACCACCATCCATAAAAGTACACAAACTGGCTTTCTAAAGCAAAGAAAGGTGCTCCTGTTTACAAGCCTTCAGTGGTTCCCCACTGCCCAGAGCAAAGTTTCCCAAAGTGGGAGATATTTTTGATGGCACACAGATCTGGCATTATATTGTAAGAAAATTATTAACATTTTGGTTATCTGTCCATTTCTTTGATTGAACGATGAGCAAGTCTCAACTGGGGACATAATCTACTTATTACCTCTCTAAAATACCCAAATCTCCCTTTATAACAAAAGCGAATCATAGCTCAAGTTCATAGTTTGTAGCTAGAATTTGACAACTGTTTGGTTTTCAGCATGTGTGCGTGTATATATGTGTACTTGTGTACATACGTGTGTTTATTCTACTTTTGCAAAGGCTACTGGTTTTTCACTTGCCTTAGTGATGCAAAATTTCCTTATGATTATCTACAATTTAAAAATTGGATTATAAAAATATATTAAATCAGAATATATATGGCATTGAGCCTGTAAGAGAGATGTGAAGATGGTTCTAAAATGACTGTAGTTTGAGTAAGACTGGCGCCTAGCCTTACCTAGCACCCAAAGGAGTTCTCCCAGAAGCTGGCCCATACCATCCAAATTCCCCACATCTCTTCACTGTCTTCCCCTCCTACACTCCCCCTCTACTCAGACACACAAACCCACCATTTCCTGAATTAGCCATGGTCTTTCAAAGCTTCATGCCTCTGCAGGAGCTGTCTACCTTGCCTAAACCAGGTTTCCAAGAAAAGTCTCACCTAGTACAAACACTGTACCTCACTCTTTAAGATTCACGATACACCGAAGTGTATTAAGGATGAAAGGCTCTGAGAAGTTCTTTAAGGGGTGAGAGCAATTGCTGAACTGAGTTTAACCAGCATCTCTCAACTAATGGGTTCTCTTCTTTCCCCACATTAACATGCCATGGAACACATGTTCTACAAAGTATGCTTTGGGAAACGCTGGCCTAGAATGTTCTCCTTTCCCCTGATCTGATCAAATTCTACTCTGAACTTATCCTTCAAGAACTCACTCAAATGTCATTTCTTTGAGAAGTCTTTCCTCCCTCCCCACATAGAATCAGTTGTTCTCTCTCATCTATGCTCCTATAAGACTGTGAATTCACAACGTATGGTTTAATTCATGGGAATTCAAAGGTAAGCATTCAGTGAGAAGTAGTGCAGGAGCTTTTGCCCAAAACTCCATTTAATAAGCCGATGTGCCAAAGTGACCCCTGAATTGTCGCAGTTCTCACAGGCCCCTCCCAATGTGGCCATCTCACTGGGTGAGCTGTGACTCTAACATCTGATAGAGATTTTTCATAAAACATAGCTCCTAAACATCAACCAACTGCTTCAGCTAGGCCCCACCTCAGACATAGCAATCCACTCAATGCCAGAGGAAACACTGGCCCTATGTGGAGCTCACTGAGGAGCAAGGCATTCATCTTCAACACAGCCCCTTCCCAAGGAATTTTCAAGGTCAATTCTGGCAACAGATTGCCTTGGGCACTAACACTACACCTGAACATTCTTCAGGTTGAAGGTGTGACTCCCTCCAGCACTCACTAGATAGAGTTTGTCTACAGTTTCAAGTCTCTCCCTCTAGACTATGAGCCCCATAAAAGCAGAACAATTTGGTCATTTTTCCTGAGCCTAACTTACAGTCATCATCCAATATCTATGACATCACGGACAGAAGGGAGAAAAAGAAGCGCAGGTCAATAGAGGTCAAGTAACTTGGGTGCCTGTTAGAGTGAAATCCGCAACAAAAAACTCTTAGTGTGCTAACAGGACCAAAGAGGCTTCCCGTCCAACCATCCGCCACTTAGAGGCAGAGACCAGCCTGTGCTGGAAACTTGAGGCAGCCCCACACTATGTGGGCTGCTCCATTTTAAATCACTTCCTTATCTGGATTGAGCCAAAATCCAACTTCCTGTAGTTTCCGTAGCAGTACTGATCCAGACTCCCGGGACAGAAAATTTCCCAACAGTGGGGACAAGAAATCTGGCATTTACCAAAGGAAAAAAAGAAACAGGCAGGTAGGCAACCTTCCCAGGTAATTCTGATGCTACCAACAGCCTAGCACCCCCTGTCAGAACTGAAATCTGGGGGTGCCACAGACAATAAGCCCTGAAGTCAGACCAGAAGTTCATTTGGCAGCCAGATGAATGTCGAAACTCTCTCTAGAACCTTTCAGAAATTCTCAGGGGTCCGTGATTATTAACAGAGATCTTCTCATCTAGAATTTTACTGAGCTGTCTACCCATTATCAGTCCTGGCTTAGTAAACTCCAAATGGAAATTCTGAACAGCAAAGAAGAAAAGCTTTGTCAGATAGCACCCTGTGTTCCTGCTTTGAACGCCAACATGGAACAAAAACATTAAGTCAAAAGAAAGGTCTAGTTTACGTTATCCTTATCTTGTTAAGCGTGTGTGTGTGTGTGTGTGTGTGTGTGTGTGTGTGTGTGTGTATGCAATGTGTCTGTGGGAGAGGGGAAAGGCTTAAAGATGCAATGAGATTTTGACCCAATTTTGCAGATCTCAAAATTGGATCCTCACCTTAGCGACCCAAGAGTCCAAGCCTCCCTGGCAATTTATAATCGAGTGGGTGTTAAAAAACAAACAACGTGGCTCCTCTTCATAGTTCACAGTTAACATAACCTCCTAGGGGAGCCACAAGATGGGCAACACACTCCAGAGACCTGCTCTCACAGAGCCAAGGGAAACTGAAGCCAGACAATTGAAAGCAAGGAGTCAGGAAGATGGAGGGAAGAAAATGGAGGGAGGGGGGAGGGAAAGAGAGAGATGGAGGGAGGAAGAGAGAGAAGGAAGAAGGGAAATAGAGGGAGAGAGGGGAGCAGGAAGGGAGGGCTGGCCATCTTTAAATACTGTTTTATAAGACTCTTACTCAAATTGAGCTAGGTTAGATGGTTCAGAATTAAGCAAGAAGCCCTGAATTATAGCAGTAGAAGTACTCTTCTTCACTCTGATATCCAAAGATGCAATTTTCTTGAACTAGGGCTCTTAAGGGGCCCCCTCAGCTGCAGGCAGAAGTGCTGCACGGGCCAGTCTGGGTCTGGAGAGTGAGCCTGTGTTTGGTGCGGACTCCTGGCTGTCCACCCACTGCTCTTCCTACAACTCCAGCTGCTCCCTTCTACACCTGGGCTTATTCTGTCTCCGGGCCAGCCGTGAGAAGTCGGCAGGGCAGCAGAAGTAAAGTGAAGTCCCCAACCCAGCTCTGCACTGTCTGTGTCTCAGCATCCTCATCTGTTAGACAGAGAGGAGCCCACCTACCTTACAGGTCACTATGAGGATCGAAATAATATGTTGAGCAACCAACGTTAATAAGCAAATCATAAAGGTGATTATTATATCTACCCTCTTTCTCTCATATCAAAAGGTTTTCACCTCTTCACACAGATCCATGGCCACTAAGAGAAACTACTGCCAGCAGCTGTGTTTTATACAGCTGTTTATATGTCCTATTCTCATCATCTTTCCTTCAGGTAGGTCCAGTTTTCAAAACAGATTTGTGTTCTGTGCTCACACAGACAGAAGTGACTGGCTTGCTCCAAGCCAAGTTAATCCCACAGCAGAGATGGAACCTTTCCCAACACCCCTTCCTCTAATGCCTAGATTCAAGTTCAAAACGCGCCTGATAAAAACAAGGGTAATTTTGGGAGGTTAACGATTGGTCAAATGCCTCCAAGCAAGCCAAGCACAAAGAGGAGCTCCTGCCTCTTCCTGGAGGCCTAGGAGAATTCTAACACAGGGTTGTTTATAAATATTACCAGATTTTGCCCAGGGCAGATGGATCTAAGCTCTCTGGACAGTCTCTTCCCAGAAAGGTGTTCCAGATTGTGCCTCACACAATCCTGCTCCACACACCCACCATCATTCTCAGTTCCATGTCCCTTACAAGAACATAGGATATAAAATGAAATACCAGCATGATTTGTGGACTGCATTTATCCCCTACATCTTAGCAGATTCTGAAATCAACATTACATTGCATTGTAAAATACTTAAAGAGTCGTTATTTTAACTTGAAAAAGGAGGACACAGACATGTTCCAAATGGGTTGCTACACTTGGCACACCCCACTCCCAAAATGCTGTACTGTCAATAATTCTTTACAAGAATAGTTTTTTAAAGGCATATAATTGTAATGCACTAAAGAATTCCTTAGCAGGCCAGGGCCTCCTGAAGTTATCTAGCCCATCTCTCAGCTCCAGGAAAGCCCTCCCTTTCAGACAACTATCCCAGTCACACAAAGCAAGCCAGATCTGTGGGATGAGGATTCAAGATAAATTAGGTCAAAGAATAAGCCTCTGGAAAAGCAAGAGTTTTCATAAAAATGGAAGCCTATGCTCAGCCTGCTCAGGCATTAGTAAATGTGGGAGAGGCTGACGGCAACTTAATGGTCTAATAAAATGTTTACACAGGGCGAAGGATTCTTACAGACAAACATTGCCTGAGATCAGCAGACAATTTGCTGGGGTCTGGAGATCCTATTATTAGGCAGATCTCACTGTGATGGCATTAATTGTGGGAGGGAACACACCCTCACCCTCATCACCCTGGGACTCTTCCTCAAGGGCACCCCCGCAGCAGGAGTCCAGCCTTGCTCTTCCCCTCATTAGGCTCAACTTGGCACCCTCTTTCCCTCCCTCCATCTCTGCACTGCTCAGAGGCACTGAAAAGGGGGCTTCTGTGTTTGTCTCCTCAGTAGACTGGGCAGGGGTCTTCCCAGATACATCTGAGTCCCTGAGCTCCACACAGGGCCTACATGGCCCAGAGGAGGGGTCCAATAATGTTCAGGTGACCAGATGAGTGAGCATACAAATGAACCAATCAATAAATGATTAAACAAGGGGATAACTGAATGAAGGAAGGGTGCCTATCCTCACTTTAATTAATTTTAACTAGTTCCTTCAACTAGTTAAAATTCCTTCAACTTTTTGAGCACCAACCTTATATCAAGTCACACAGAATTAGTAAACAGTGAATCAAATCTGCCTTATAACCTACAACTTCACAACTTCAGTTTGAACAACTCTTCTAGGGAAGTCCGTCACGCAGCAGACAAAAGTACCTAATGGGGAAGTGTAACAATTGGGCTCCTTTCTTTTGTATTATCATCCAGGTAAATAAGTCTTTTATAATTCAGTTTTGAACCATTCTGTCACTTGATCAGGCAAAAATGGCTGGGTGGGTCTCAGTGAAGCACCAACTTGGGAGGGTCTCACTGAGCTCGGGAGGGTCTCACTGACGCACAGACTGCTCAGCACACTTACCATGCCCTGGGGAAGGCGGCATCCCAGGAGGGAACCAACACACATCCTGCTGCTGTCCAGGCACTGTGCAACCTGGCTTTGAACGTGGAGATGCTCCCAGGAAAGGAGTGGCTGGGAGCATCGTATTTGTTAATAAGAGATATTGATTCTTAAGAGCAACCCTAGGGAGGCCAGCTGAACACAGAGTAGTTAGACACTGTGACAAACAGCAAAACTCTGAAAGAACCCTACCTCAGACACAAGGAGAGAGAGGGAAATACCTAATCTTACGGCAAGCTAAAACAAGCAAGGAAATTCTGCCAAAAATTAAGAAATAAATGTCATAATTAAAGCAATACAAATATCAGTAACCATAGCAATAATAACAGTTAATATTTATTGAGAGTTGACTATGCAACAGGCTTTGTGTTAAGTACTTTACATACTAATTCATTAATCCTTACAATGACTGTCATAAGTACATACAATATTATTATCCTTATTTTACAGATAAGAAGCTGAGGTAAAAAGTGGGTAAGTCACCAGCTTAAGATCCCAAAACAAGCAAGTGATGGAGCCAGGATTCAAGTAGTATGGTGCTAGAATCTGTGCTCTTAATAGTTTTATTCCGTGACACTGTCCAGAATCTTCTATATTCCTTCCTTACAAAAGTTAACCACTGTTTACAAAGGACTTGTTCCTTGGGAATACATCACTTAATCTTAGAATATGCAAGTCACTGAGAAAATAGGACTCACTTCACAGAGCTGCTTTGCAGCCCACTTAGAGAACTATCTAATACAATACTCCTATAAATAACTCTAGTGTTTCATTTACATTTGGTAACCATGTTTCCTGTTAAGAATTCCTGGGATTATTGATTTATTCCAAAACCAGGTTTCCTATCTAATGGAATGCCAAGCTTGATATTCAACTGGCCAAGTATAACAGTGGCTCAATTATTAAATCAATAAGATAGGTGGTATCAATTAATGGATTATCCTGGAAACTTCTGTTACAACTTTATCCTCAAAGCTCACACTCACTCCAAAATGTAGATATCCTCATGTTGCATGATAAAAAAAGGTAGATACTGCCTGGGAAAAGTCCACCAGCTTTGAGGGCTAGCAGACCTGGCTCCAGCCTCGTTTCTGCCCCTACTCATGTCACCTGCAGCAGATGATTTACTTCCTACAGACCTCCATCTCCTCAGTGCTGTGGACTCACACCTAACACATGCAGGTGATCTAGCCCAGTGCCCGCACACAAGGGAGGTGGCTGACAGTGCTGGCTGACATTTGCCTTCCTTATTCCTGGACTTGTGTCCATCCCCTTCCTCTGCCATCGCCAACACTCATCATCTTCCTCTGCCCAGGTGGAAACAATGACATCACTTTAAGGAAATAGCCTATCATGATTTAAGATCATGAATTAGAACACACCTGAAGGGAAATGTGAATGGCTTGGACTTTGCCATGATATAAGCATCACTAAATGGATAAAAATCAAATCACTTCCGTCAACAAATTCCATTAGGAAGTTGCTGATGAAACAAAGACTTTGCCATTCCTGCTGTTTCACAAATTGTCTCAAATTGCCAACATTTGGGTGTAACCATTCATTTATACTATCTACAATCTGTATTCTACCAACTGATTGATCCATGGGCCAAATAATCCATTCCTGGAAAATAAAAATCTACATGAACATGTTAAAACCATGTTAAAAAATATATTGGGTGAGGCTGAGGTAATGTTTAGAGGGAAATTTATAGCTTTTTATGTTTAATATTCAAAAAAATCAATCAGTATAATTCCCCACACTAACGGAATGAAGAAGAAAAACTATAAAATCATTTCAGTGGATGCAGAAAAAGCACTTGACAAAATTTAACAACCACTCCTGATAAAACCATTCACCACACTAGGAACAGGAGGAATTTCCTCAACACAGTAAAGGATGTGTATGGAAAAACCCACAGCTAACACCATACTTACTAGAGAAATATGAAATGATTTGTCACCATGATCAGAACGAGGCAAGGATGTCCACTCTCACCACTTCTACTCAACATTTTACTGGAAGTTGTAGCCAGTGTAATAAGTTAAGAAAAAGAACATAAAGGTTAGAAAAAGGTATAAAGAGTAGAAACAAAGAAGTAAAACTATCTTTATTCTTAGCTGACATGATTTTTTATGTAGGAAATCCTAAGGAGTCTATAAAACAACCACTAGGACTAATAAGAAGGTTTAGCAAGGTTGCAAGATACAAGATGAATATACATAAACTAATTATGTTAATATATTAGCAACAAATTAAAAATATCATTTATGATAGCATCAAAATACATAAAATACTTAGAAATAAATTTAACAACATATGTACAAGACCTCTATACTAAAAACTTAAAAATACATAAGTGAAGAGATGTGCTAAGTTCATAGATTGGAAAACTCAATATTGTTAAGAGTCAGTTTTCCCTCGATTGAGCTATAGTATAGATTCAATGTAATCCCAATCATAATCCCAGGATTTATTTTTTTTGTAGAAATTGAAAAGCTGCTTCTAAAATTTATATGGAACTACAAAGGATCAAGAATATTCAAAGCAATACTGGAAAAGAACAAAGTTGGAGGACTTACACTACTTGACTTCAAAACTTACTTTATAAAGCTACTAATAAAGACAGTGCGATATTGGTGTGAAGACAGACAAACAAATCAAAGTACAATAGAGTCCAGAAATAGACCTACACTTAAATGGTTATGTGATTTTTCACAAAGGCAACAAAACAATCTAAAAAACTTTTCAAGAAATGATGCACTGGAATAAATGAATAGCCATACGGAAAAAAATCTACTTTGACCCCCATCTCACACCACATACAAAAACTAATTCAAGATAGATTACAGGACTAAATGCAAACGCTAATGTCATTAAGCTTTTTAGAAGGAAACTGAGTAGAATGTCTTCATAACTTGGTGGTAAGCAAAGTTACTTAGAACATAGAAAGCAGTAACTACAACAGAAAAAAGTGATAAATTAGACTTCATCAAAACTTTTGGTTATCAAAAGACACCATTAAGAAAACAAATAGGTAAGCCATAAATTGTCAGAAGGTATTCACGACACATATATCTGACAAAGGACTGATAAGTAGGTTAAAGAACTCCTATAACTCAACAACAAAATAATTTTTTAAAATCTAATAAAAAATAGGCAAAAGATTTGAAAGCTGCTTCACAAAAGAAGATCTACAGATAGCCAATAAACACATTAAAAAGTATTCAATGTTATTAGTCATCAGAGAAATGCAAAATAAAACCACAATTAGATACCACCACAGGATCTCTGCTATGAGATTCTTTTTTTTTTTTCTTAAGCACACCCAGAACTCTGGGTCAGAGATGCCTCACTTCCCATCTCCTATCTCTGCCCCATCCTGTATGTGTACTCATTACCTAGTACCCTGGCAGGAAAGTGAGTGTAGAGCAATTAGAGAGCATGGTGTTGCCCAAAGTATAGGACATACCCTGCCAGATTTTAGGTGACACACACTTTTTTTATTATGGTAGTTAGGTGTTTATTTTAATATGCACTGAAGGAAAATGGAATTAGTATTTTAAACTCATTATTTCAAGGCTAATATTACTTAGGAGAAGGTTAAATAAATAGTCTGTTTAAAGTAAACATAATAATAATACTAATAAAGGTGGTGCATGGATAAGATGAAAATTGCAAAGGTGGGGACTGTGACCAACTCAAGTCCAGGATCACCAGCAGCACAGATCACCAGCAGTTAACTACATAATCAACAGCAAACTGTCCCATTCTAGGGCTGTGGGGAACTTTAACTTCTCTCTTCATTGAGCCCTCCACTTGACCCTACAGTGTCACATTCACACAAGTGACCACAGATGTCCTGAAAAAAAGACATCCTAATGAGACAATCTGGGTGGTGTAAAACCAGGACTCTGATTGCAAAGAACAAAGGCTTATTCCATAACAGTCTCACGATTGTTCTGCGGGAAACCTGCATCCAATTCATTTTTGCCCAATTCCATACTGCCAGACATAATTCTCCCCATCGTTTCAGCTAGCATTCTTTCCTTACCTGCCCAAGGCATGGCTGGGGATCTGTAAAAACATGGCCATAAAGAGATTCATGTTAGAAGGCTGGGCGCGGTAGCTCATGCCTGTAATCCCAGCACTTTGGGAGGCCGAGGTGGGCGGATCACCTGAGGTGGGGAGCTCGAGACCAGCCTGACCAACATGGAGAAACCCCATCTCTACTAAAAATACGAAATTAGCCGGGCATGGTGGCACATGCCTGTAATCCCAGCTACTGGGGAGGCTGAGGCATGAGAATCACTTGAACCTGAGAGGCGGAGGTTGCGGTGAGCCAAGATCGCGCCATTGCACTCCAGCCTGGGCAACAAGAGCAAAACTCCATCTCAAAAAAAAAAGAGATTCATGTTAGAGTTTGGAGAAAGATTTCCTTGTGTTACCGCCACAGAACTGGAGGTCTGGCTCATAGCAGACGGACAATAAATATATCATGAGTGAAAGCTGACTGATCTTGAAGCTAGACTTTTCAAATTCAAGTTTATAAGCCCAGGTGTGTATGATGGTGTCAGGCACAGAAAGTCATAAGATAAACGTAGCCCTGAGATTTTAGACAAAGCTTTACTTTTCCTCGGTGGTAACTCACTTAAAATAATATTTTTAGGCTGGGCACGGTGGCTCACGCCTGTAATCCCAGCACTTTGGGAGGCCGAGATGGGTGGATCACCTGAGGTCAGGAGTTCAAGGCCAGCCTGGCCAAAGTGCCAAAACGCTGTCTCTACTAAAAATATAAAAATTAGCAGGGCGTGGTGGCGTGCGCCTGTAATCCCAGCTACTCGGGAGGCTGAGGCAGGAGAATCACTTGAACCTGGGAGGCAGAGGTTGCAGTGAGCCAAGATCTTGCCACTGCACTCCAGCCTGGGCAACAGAGTGAGACCCCATCTCAAAAAAAAAATTATTTTTATAAAACAGACAACCAGTATGACTTTTTTGCAGGGAGGGGCAATTTGGCAATACTTTTTAAAATGCAACTGCCCCAACAATTTCCAATTCTAAGACAGAAACTTGCAGAAACACTTCTACAAGGTGCAAAGAGATTACGTTCACCTAGCAAAAGACTGGAGACACCAAAAACATCCATTAAAAGACTGGTTAAATGGTAAATAGACACAAGGGAATATCCTACAGCCACTAAACAGAGTGAATTTGAACTCTCTGAACTCATGCTCCAAGACATTGCTAAGCAGAGGGAAAACAAAATGCAAAATAGCAGATGTAGTATAGCCCCACACTTAACTTTAAAAACAAATTTTAAAGTGACAATACTAATAGACTAACATAAGCATAAATATACATATATGTGGACAAAGTCAGATGAATAGGCACCAACCCTCTGTTAACATCACCGTAAAGGGGTGAGGAGGCTCTTGCATTCTCTGAAGGCATTTATAAAATGCTGGAGTCATAGAAGCTTTGTAGTGAGAAAAAAGGTTTAAAAACAAACAGGGTGTGTTGACATGTAAAAATGCACAAAAAATGTACACACTTGAAAAAACATACACACAGGCCAGGTGTGGTAGCTCAAGCCTGTAATCCCAGCACTTTGGGAGACCGAGGCAGGCGGATCACCTGAGGTCAGGAGATGGAGACCAGCCTGGTCAACACAGTGAAACCCTGTCTCTACTAAAAATACAAAAATTAGCTGGGTGCGGTGGCGCATGCCTATAGTCCCAGGTACTCAGAAGGCTGAGGCAAGAAAATCGCTTGAACCTGGGAGGTGGAGGTTGCAGTGAGCCAAGATAGTGCCACCGCACTCCAGCATGGGCGACAGGGTGAGACTCCACCTCAAAAAAAGAAAAAAAAACAGAAAGTCTTTAAGAAAAAAAAAACACACATATGAAAAAATGTCTCCTTCCTGGCCTTCAGACCTGCACCTCCACATCCAAGTGATAGGTTCCCTCCCTCTGCATTGTGTGGCTCTTCACAGAAAGGTGCCAGCAACACTCTTAAAGACCATTCTTTTTGTATGCAAGGAGCCTTCTTCAGAAAGGAATGTCCCCAGTGTCTCTGCAAAAGAGAGGATGGTTTCCTAATGCTCCCTGTCAGCCAAGCTCATGGCCCTGTCACTGGTTTTTACATCCAGCATTCTCTGGCTGGCCTTGTGCAAGAAGACACTGAGAACCACATGTGCTGCCGGAAGAGTGCCCTTTCTGAAATGGAAGATGTTGTTGTGTTCTGAGCTTTCTGGTTGTGTTTTAAGGGGGTTGGGGTGAAGATCCTTTCTTGGGACTTTTGCTTTTAGACACACATATACATAATTCAACCACAAGAACTACTTCTCAGGAAGAAATGCTAAGAGGCACTGTAAGATGTAAACTTATTAAGCCTAAGCAACTCAGAAACGGTACAAGTCTACCAAATTTGAAAATGGGGAGAGAATGGAACGGAGGCACTCCACTCCAGAGCTATGTAAAAATAGTTTTGGCAAAGTTCAAATGATTGCTGGAGGCAAGAAGAGCTGACCTCTCTTCTCCTTCCCTTTCATCCCCCCCTTGCCTACCCTGAAACAACATCACTCAGGGCTACAACCATCTGTAGCTGTCAGGGGAAGCCACAGTACATTCAGAAAGTCTTGGACCCACGTATCCCTGAGCTCGGAACTGCACAAACAAAAGGTTAAGGGAAGGGGGATGGGGTAAAGGGAATAAAGGCTTAAAGATTAAAGTCACAGGCAGAGACAGACGGCTCAGTTTTTTAATAACTGAAAACACGAGTCGGGTCTGAATGTGTCCATTGTTTAGCAGAGAGGGCAATCTATGCAGGCAGGACTGGCTGGCGACAGGACTGCCTTCCCATCAGAAATAAGATTTACCAAAACCGGGGGACCTGGGGCAGACCTCAACCCTGAGCTCCATTTACTGATGATGATGCAGAACACAGCATCCAGGTGAGAATCAGATTGTTGCTACCCTGGGCCATGACAAGAAATGGGGCTTGAAAGAAAGAGGCCAGTCAGTCATGGAGTCAGTGGCACTGGTCTTCTCGTACCATTAATGGTGGGAGTGTAGATTGGTACAGCCTTCTGAGAAGAAATTGGATCAGAGATGTAAAAATGCGTATTTCCGGCCGGGCGCAGTGGCTCACACCTGTAATCCTAGCACTTTAGGTGGCCAAGATGGCCAGGTCACTTGAGGTCAGGAGTTCGAAATCAGCCTGGCCAATATGGTGAAACCCTGTCTCTACTAAAAATACAAAAAAATTAGCTGGGCGTGATGGCATGTGCCTGTAATCCCAGCTACTTGGGAGGCTGAGGCAGAAGAATTGCTGGAACCCGGAAAGCAGAGGTTGCAGTGAGCCGAGATCGCACCACTGCACTACAGCGTGGCAACAGAGCGAGACTCCGTCTCAAAAAAAAGAAAAACAAAATGCGTATTTCCGCCTCCAGGATTCTAGCCCCAGCAAATAATCCAACCTAGGACAGACCCTGATGCACTAAGATATTCTATGCAGAATGATTCACAATAGCAAGAAATCAGAAACAACCTAAACAACCAACACTAGAGGGAATAGTCAGTGTTTATTTATTTATAATCTGCCTTACTGCAAAAACGATGTAAAGCAACTTACAAAAGTACACAGAACAAAGAGGAAAAATGCAAAAGAAGAAATCACAGCAATAAGAGAAAAAGAAAGTATTCATTTAAAAAACGAGGCCAGAGCTGGGCTGCAAATTCTTAACATACTGCGAGCATCCAAACTCTCCCTAGAGGAGCCACAAGACAAAGCTGCCACTGCTGTCACCAATAATAATAATGGCAACTATTTGCTGAGTGCATGCCCCACACTGTGCGAGGCTCTTTGAGGTCTCTCAGTAACCCAAGGTACTGTCATTCAGTCTCCCTTCTGCAGACAAGGAGACTGAGGTTCCAGAGGCCATCGAGTGCCAGTAAGTGACAGACACAGGTTTGGGTCACATTTCTTCAAGTCAGAGCTTATATGCTTTCCACACAACCAAACACTTAAATTGTGTATTCATACAATGGAACTCCTGCAGGCATGAAAAAATGATGTTTACAGAAAGTGATTAATGGCATGGGAAAAATGTTTAGGATATAATGTTAAATTTAAAAGCAGCCAAAAAAAATTACATGAAATGTTTAATTTCCATCAAGTAAACCAGATGATTATTATTTTCTTCCTTATACTGTTATTACCCAAAGTTTCTAAAATAGGTCTGTATTAGTTTTATAATCAGAAAAAAGTGACTTTGTATTTAAATATATATAAAGGGCCACTGTATTTGTATCACAGCACACATCCCATGATACGCACAACAACTCACTTTTGTTTTAAATAAAAATCTTACATATATAGTAGAATCAGAAAATACACATGCCAAATCTTGAGCAAGGAAAATCGTGTGTTTCTTGTGTTTATGTTCATCATTTAATTGATCATAAACGAATAATTTCATTTGGCTCAGAACCTTGTCTTTGCAGTTTTTTGGAGTTATATATGTCAGAAGACAATTATTATAAATTGGTTTCATTTCCTTTTTATTTTCCTCTTCACATACAGACTCTCACACAATCAAACAGCAGAGAGTCACAGACACACTGTCTCAGGCCTTCCTCCTGGCTACAGCACTGACCCACACACGTGGACAAGGGCCCCGTTTTGCAGGCCTTCGCAGAAAGGCGGTGGGGGCAATACCCACAGGGTCATGCCATTGCCCAAGTCTAGCCAGGCCACGGTTGCTTCTTGAAGAGCAGTTCTTCATCTTGGGTCCAAACACTTCCTGAAATAGTTATATGCGTTCTGTTTGGGAGAAGGGCCAGAGCTCTCCCCAGTTTCTCAAAGAGCTCTGTAATCACTAATCTAGACATGCCAGTCTCACTCTTGCCATGAAGTCTGGGACAAATCCCTTGTCTCTACCATCTTGACCTCAAGCCCAAGCCCCAACCTATCTTCCAAGGATATTATATAGGAAGGTTTAGCCACTGAAAACTGACAGAGGGAAACACTTACGCAATAACTACACTTGTGAATGGGAGGCGCCTTCATCTCCATTATGGAGAGAGGAGACGAGGCTCAGCAGAGGTTCGCAGAGCCTGGATTCCCCTGTGTCTGTCAGGTCCCACACATTCCGCCAGATAAAATGCATCTGGTAGACGACAGTGGCTCCAAGTTTGGCTTTGGAGTGTCCTTTTATCTGCTGATCACCAAATACTGTGCTCAGCTGCAGACACAGGCCTGGTTTTCTATTATGAGACAAAAGAATAATGATTTTCCAAGATCTATTTAATTATTTCTTTAAAACTTGCCCCCTCCATTGCCATGGTGTTAATCACCCACATTGAGAGCTACCTTTCAGCACTGTGCAGCAATGGCAAGTCAGCTGTGTTTTGATTATCTGAAAGAAGGAAAAAATATTTTAAATGCTTTAATATTTAAACAAATAGAAGGCAGATTTCTTTCATGTTTCCTCAACTCCTAAAGCCATAGAACAGCCTGGGCCCTAAATTTGAAAATGAGTTCAGACTAAAAGAAGTATCTCAAACTACCACCAGACTTTAGGCGAAGATCGTGTAAAATATTAATTGTACTGCTGCTACTGGAAACCAGCCACAGTGCTCGGGTGGGAGAAGGGGAGGGGTGGGAGGAGGAGAAAAGCAGCACTGGCTGACCAGCTCCAAGAAGGAGGAGCGAGGTGGGAGGAGGGTAACTATTCAACTAATAATGTTCATTGTAGAAATTTTAGAAAATAACATTGGGAAAGAAAAAGCCTTGGGGAAAAAAAATTCTTTATAAAAGGAAATTAAAAGCCACCTAGATCTTAGCCCCTAATGTTAGCTACTGTTAACATTTAATGTCTTTCTTTCTAGTCTTTTTCTTGCACATATGTATTTTGTATATTACTGAACTCAAAAAGAATTCCTTGCCCTGCTTTTTTTCACTTAACATATGTAGGATGACTTTTCACATTTTTAAATTTTCTTCATAAATATCATTTTAAAGAAGGGTGCACAAAGTACCTTATTTTGCTTCATTTGGGTGGCTCCCAATTTTTTGCTCTTATAAATAATGCTGTGAAGAACATTTTTGTGCATAAAGCTCTGGCTCATTTCAGATTATTCCCTGAAAGAGGAATTATGAAATCACAAAGCAGAACTTATTTCAGGATCCAGATAGATTTCCCAGAATTAGTTCCCTGAAAGGCAGGGCCAAGCTGAAGTTCTCTAATAACTTATTGTTAAAACAACCATCCCAGTCCCACCCAGCCACTGCTGCACCCTGCCACCCCAAAAGCATCTGACCTGCAGATGCCTCCCAGAGGAGCCTTTTCCATCCTGTGCTGGGAAAAAGAACAATGGCCTCAGGACAGCACAGATCCTCAATCCAGGTGGGAGCTCAGCACCCTCCAGCTGGGAAGGCTGTGGTGTCCAAGCTCTCCGGAAGTCCCAAGAGGCTCAGACACCTCCCAGCCTTATTTTCTCCATTAAAAACACCATGTGGGCACCCTGTCTTTTTTATGAGCTGAAAAGATTTCACGTCCCAAGACGGAAGAGAGGAGAAATTGGGGTGCAAAACTTACCTCCACACCAGGAATATTGGGTAAGTGCAGCCTTTGTGGCAGCTTAGCTTTATGTCATTTTTGGTTGGGTTTTTTCTTCTTCATTCAAGTTGGGGGATAGGGGGAAGATGGTCTTCCCTCTATCCCCCAAGATAAGATTTTACTTGCACAGAAAACCGCTACTCAGCCTTCATGGCTCATTCTCACTTAGATAACTATACTGTTTCTCTTCCCTTCTGTCCTCCCATGCCAGAGGAAAAACACATCTGCTGATATCAGAGTCCCTCCTCCTCTGGAGGGAGGAAGGCAAAGAGAGGGACAGCCGAGCAACTAGGAGAAATGGCTTTGGAGTTGTACAAGTTATGTCCAAATCCTGGCCTGCGGATTAGTGTGTGATCCTAGGCAAGTCACTTGCCATTGCTGAGGCTCAGTAATGGGAACTGATGATGTGGTCCTTACAGGGTCATGGTAAGGATCACAGAAGGTGACATTTGTAAAACACATAGGTATGGTGGCTGCTACAAAGCAAATAAGTCAATTCATTTTTAAATAATATTTTAGAATCATTATTACCACCCAAATGACCAGGCAAATGATCATCTGAAGGGAAAAAATTACGTAACTGGATAAATGAATGAATGCAGAAAAATGGGCCCTTGCCAATAGTCAGGCTACAGGCAGAGGGCAGCCCCTCCCCCGAAGTGCCAGTAGGTTAGCTCTGTCACAGCCACAGGAGCCTGCTCTGCAGAGAGCAACACCCTCTCAGATGCACCCTGCTGGAAAACAATGGTGAGCCCTTGCCTCCTCTGCCTCCCTTGGAGGCTGGTCTGGAGGGCACTTTCTTTCTGGGGTATGTGGCTATACAATAGGACCTGTGTCTGAGCCCACTGGTTTAGAGCATCCCCTGATTCCCCCAAGTCCTGAGAGGGGAACTTCAGTGATACATAAGGACAGCATAAGTGAAGTCTGGGGAGTCCCACTCCTTGGGAGGAGGACACAGTCACTAACAGCAAGGTCCCTGAGTGTGGCCACCCTGCAGAGGATTCATGCAAGCCGTCCCATTTAACCCTGAAGGGACATGATGGAATTCCCATGTTGTCACGTAAGATCATGTAGCTGGTAAGGGACAGTGCCAACATTTGAACCTAGGCTCTAAAACCCAGGCTCTTTTCTACCAGTGCTGTACAGTCCCTGTTTAAAGCAAGCAGATGCCCCCCTGCCCTGAAGCTTGGATAGTCTCCAGAAAGAAAAATACCTGTTAGGATGCTTTACACATTATTACTACTACCCACCAATTTCAAGAATGTCTTCCTTTTCTACCCAAGTAGACTAAAAGTATTGGGGGTGGGAGGTGTCTTCTGTATCTTTTCTGTACCTCCTCCCCCAACAAATATATGCTCCTCCTTCCAGTATCACAGGTGTCCAACAAATACTGTGGAAAGAGTTAATCAATCAATTAACTGAATGAAAGGGGTCAAAAGACAAAGAAGTTAAATAGGAGAGGGGAAGAAAAAGACAAGCTACAGATAAAATTGGCAGAAGAGTGTAAGCACTATAAAAATACGTTTGTGAAGTCCAGGAAGAGTCCTGATCTTCTGGGGTAATGTTCTAGGTGTCACAGTAGCAGGCAGCCAGGGTGACAGGAAAGAAAGTGATTAGGAAACAGCCAGCTGAAGCTCAAGAGCCCAGCTCGGAACCCCACAGGCACAGCCTTGAATGAATCTGCAGGAGAAGAGCGGGTCCAGGGCCTGCTGCAGCCACCATGGTCTCTAAGCACGCAGAGAAAAATCGGGAAAGGGGCACACCTGAGAACCAGCAGGCTTCTCACACCCAACCGTGTCAGGTTCACATGGCAGCCTGGAGAGAAACGAGGCATCAGCCCTGTTTTACAGATGGATAGGTTGAGACCCGGAGTGAAGTCACAGCCAAGGCCACACAGAATTCTGCCAGGCTGGTAAGACATTTGCACACTGCACCAGCCACCACTCCAGGGTCAGCTCCATCATTTCTACTCCATCACAATGCCACACACAATATTACTTAATATTTTTCTTTAAATAACTAATTTTGCCCTGCCCTGTTTTATAAAACCCACTTTTTTCCCTTAAAGGAACATTGATACCACTTTATCCAGTAATTCCTCTCCTAGGTATAGGAATTCTCGAAGGACTTGAAAACAAGAATCAAACAGATACCTAGACACCAATATTCAAGAAGCACTATTCACAACAGGCAAAAGGTGGAAACAACCCAAGTGCCCATTAATAGATGGAGGGAAAAACAAAATGTGGTCTATCGATATGCTGGAATATTATCTTTCCCTTAAAAGGGAAAGAAATTCTGATCCATGATACAACGTGGATGAACCTTGAGGACATTATGCTAAATGAAATAAACCAGCCACCAAGCCTGTATGATTCTGCTTATATGAGTTCCCTAGAGTAGTCAAATTTATAAACAAAAAGTAGAATGGTGGATGCCAGGGGCTGGGAGTAGGGAGAATGGGGAGGTAGTGTTTAATGGGTACAGAGTTTCAGTTTGGGGTGATGGAAAGTTAGAAATAATAGTGGTGACAGTTGCACAACAATGTGAATCTACTTAATGCCACTGAATTGTACATTTAAAAATGGGAATGGTAAATGTTATATATTTTTTACCATAATAAAAAAAATACCCCCAGGCCAGGCACAGTGAGCTGAAGTCTAAGCTACTCAAGAGGCTAAGGTGGGAGGATTGCTTGAGCCCATGTTGCAGTGAGCTAAATGATCATGCCACCACACTCCAGCCTGGGCAAGAGAATGTGACCCATCTATAAAATAAAATAATTTTTTTAATTTTGTAAACAAATAAATTTAAAAATAAAAAATAGCCCCCCAAAAAAGGAAACTTTATATGGCAGCCATAGATGAAACCACGACATGGCAATATTAGAAGGCAACCATTAAAAATATACATATCAAGCTATGTTGGTATACAACCATGCATTGCTTAATGATGAAGATACATTCTGAGAAATGTGTCATTAGGCAATTTCATCTTTGTGCAAACATCATAGAGAGCACTTACACAAACCTAGATGGCAGAGCCTACCACACACCTAGGTTGTGTGAAATAGCCTATTGCTCCTAGGCTACAAACCTGTACATTTAAAAATGGGAATGGTAAATGTTATATATTTTTTACCATAATAAAAAAAATACCCCCAGGCAAGGCACAGTGAGCTGAAGCAGGTGACTGTACTAAATACTGCAGGCAATTGTAACCCAGTGGTATCTGTGTACTTGAACTGTATCTAAACATAAAAAAGGGACAGTAAAAATACAACATAAAAGATTAAAAAGGGTACCCCTGTATAGAGTACTTAGCATAAATGGAGCTTACAGGACTGGAAGGTGTTCTGGGTGAGTCAGTGAGTGAGTGGTTGAGTGAATGTGAAGGCCTAGGGCATGACTCTGCACTCCTGTAGGCTCTACAAACAATGGACACTTAGACAACACTAAATTTATAATAAAAACATTTTTCTTTAATAATAAATTAATCTTAGTTCACTATAACTTTTTTACTTTATAAACTTTAAAATTTTTTAACTTTTTGACTCTTGTAATAACACTTAGCTTAAAACACAAACACACTGTACAGCTGTATAAAAATATTTTCTTTCTTTATATCCTTATTCTATAAGCCTTTTTCCATTAAAAACTTTTTTCTTTTACTTTTTAAACTTTTTTGTTAAAAACTAAAACACAAACATGCACATTAGCCTAGGCCTACACAGGGTCAGGATCATCAACATCACTGTCTTCCACCTCATACATCTTGTTCCACTGGAAGGTCTTCAGAGGCAGTAACATGCATGGAGCTGTCACCTCCTGTGATGACAATGCCTTCTCCTGGATACATCCTGAAGGACCTGCCTGAGGCTGTTTTACAGTTAATTTTTGTTGTTAGAAGTAGAAGGAGCGGCTGGGCATGGTGGCTCATGCCTGTAATCCTAGCACTTTGAGAGGCTGAGGCGGGTGCATTGCCTGAGCTCAGGAGTTCGAGACCAGCCTGGGGGACATGGTGAAACCCCGTCTCTACTAAAATACAGAAAATTTGCCAGGCATGGCAGCATGCACCTGTAGTCCCAGCTACTCAGGAGGCTGAGGCAGGAGAACTGCTTGAATCCGGGAGGTGGAGGTTGCAGTGAGCCAAGATCGTGCCACTGCACTCCAGCCTGGGCAACAGAGCGAGACTCCATCTCCAAAAAAAGACACAAAAGGAAGTAGAAGGAGGCTGGGCACAGTGGCTCATCCTAGCACTTTGCAATGCCTTGGCAGGTGGATCACTTGAGCCCAGAAGTTCGAGATCAGCCTGGGCAACATGGTGAGACCCCCGTCTCTACAAAATAAATACAAAAACTAGCTGGGCATGGTGGTGAGGACCTTAGTCCCAGCTACTCAGGAGGCTGAGGTGGGAGGATCGCTTGAGGCAAGGCGGCAGAGGTTGCAGTGAGCTGAGATGGTGCCACTGCACTGCAGCCTGGAAGACAGCCAGACCCTGGCTCGGAAAAAAAAAAAAAAAGAAAAGAAGTCGAAGGAGTACACACTAAAATAATAACAAGTCTAGTATAGTAAAGACATAAACCAGTCATGTATTATCATAATAGGTACTATAAGTAACTATATGTGCTATAAGACTGAGCACAGTAGGTTTGGTTACACCAGCATCACCACAAACACCTGAGTAACCTGCTCTATGATGTTACCACAGCTATGACAGCACTAGGCTATAGGAATTTTTTGGCCCCACTATAATCTTATGGGACCACCATCATATATACCTTCCATCATTGACCTAAGCTGTCATTATGCATTGTGTGAATGGAGTTTTGTCTTCTGCGAGGCGCTTGTCAAGGAGGGAGATGAGCAATGTCCAGAGAACCAGTGCTCACAGGCCTCCTCCTCCACATGGCCAGAGGGGCTGCCCACGGACTGAGAAAGGAAGGACTTGCTCAGCAGATGATTCAGTGTCACTTGATCTGGGCAGCCCCTAACAGCAGTGCCTGTCTTGCTGTGCTGGAAGTATCCAACTTTGGGAGCCCCCCCCATGTAAAGGTACTGGGCACCGAGGCTGGGCTCCATCAGTGCCTGGGGGTCTACCCCTACCTGTCCAACTCCCCTACAGACTCACAAGGGAGGAAAGGCAGTCCATGCTGAACCATCCTTTGCACACAATAGCCCCTCTATCAAACTCCCAGGTGAGCGGGGCTGGAGGACAACAGGTGGGCAAGGCTGGGAGGGGAATCCAGTAAGATCACCATGCCCCCTCAGGCACAGGGCTCCCAGGCAGAAAGGAACCAGGAACCCTGGGAAAGGAGGGTGGTGCCAGCAAACTTTGCAGATGAGGCAGCCCCGGCAAAGAGGGGCTGCTGGAAACCTACTTTGCTTGTACAGTCAAAATATACAAGAACATTTAGAAATAGTCAATTAGATGCGATACTGTGGAACAATAATACCAACGGACTGGAGTGGAACACATTAGCTATGCATTCCAAATACCTGATTCCAGGGCCTGGTCTGCAAGGCAGATACTTTCACCATCTAGTACAAAGGGTCAACAATACCAAGGCCGCCAAACTTTTGCCTGAGGGCAACATGGCAGCTAGCCAGGAATCCAAAAGCTGCACCTGATTGGCATAAAACAAAGGCAAATGGACCCCCTTTCATCTACCCCACAAAAAAGAAGCCCTGGGGCTGCTGCATGCCTGCCACCCCCTCAGCCTGCCTGCCTGCCAGCCCTCATCATGATCGCAGCAGCATCCTCATCCCACACCCATACCTCATACCCATTCTGTTCCAAGTACCTCTTTCGTTCCCTGTCTCCTTGAAACTGCACTGTACCCTCTACCTAGAGCTAGTCTCCCAGTCTGGAGAGTCTATTTCCTAACTTGGGTTTCGGCCTTCCTTCCTTTCCATCCCTCCCTCATCACCCTAACCACTGGCACTGCCCTCCAAAATGGTCTCCTGGCCTCTCTCCCCTCCAACCCATCAATGCCAGGGTAAACTCTGTAAACCACAGACCTGTCTGCTGCCCCCAGAACAAAGTGTAAATGTTTTGGTCCAAGATACAAAGCCCTTCATAATCTGCTTCCAACCTGCTTCACCAGCTCACCATTGGCTGCTTACACTTGTGACCAATCACACAAGCCTTCTCTGGATTGTCCAAACCCTCCAAATCCTTCATACTTCTAGGCTCCCTGCAGTCAATGCCCATTTTCTGAAACTGAATCTCTCATTGCTACCAGGCAGACTTTAATCATCCATGAGGACTCCACACAAATGTCACTTTTTCTGTGAAGTCTTCCCTGACTCGCACCTCTGAAACCCTCTGGTGTATTGTATGGTCTTTGATGCACCTATCTCATATTCAGTACATCTGCTTTATGGTCTATCCCCTACCCTCCAACTCATTGAACAGTGAGTCCCAAGGGGCAGGGCCACCTTTTATCTGCCAGATGTTCTCAGTGCCTAACATTCAGAATGTCCTGCTCTCAGCAGGTGCTAAATGTACATTTGCAAAAGAAAAAAATAACAAAAATGACATCCACTCTTCACCAAGTGAACACATTCATTGATGAAGAATTTTTTTTTCTTACAAGTAACCAACTGGCTGAAGAATTGTAAACAAAAAGGAGGGTTTACAAGAAGGATTCCAGGTACCTCACAGAAGCTCTGGGAAAGCCCAGAAGCAGAACAGCTCCCAGCCTTCTCTCTGGTCTAGCACACTATTTCTATCAACATGCTGATTTCCAGAACTCCTAGTGTCCCTGCCTCTCTTTCCCTAGTTTCAAATTCCCACAGAAGAACTTGTTTAGTACATCTTGGCTCAGGTATCTATCCCTGAACCAATTAAATATCAATGGGGCTGGAGGCAGTCAGGGTGCCCGGGTTCAAATGTGGTCCCTGGGTACCCACTCCTGTATAGCAGAGTATTCAGAGATGGGAGACTTGCTGGGTAGCTACACCTTCCCAGTTGGGATCTCCAACATCTCATATTCATGTTCAAGGTTTGAAATGTTCAAAGTTTGAAATGTAATGGCATTATCAGTCTGAAAACCTGCTTCTACCACTCCTGTGGCCATGAGCCTCAGCACTGTCCTCAGACACTGTCCCTAGGGTGTGCCATGGAGCTCACACAGGAAGACAGGCTGGGAAGGTAAGCACAGGGATATCTGAGGAGTTGGAGAAACAGCCCTCCCCATGGCTCAGTAGCAATCTACTATTATTACCTAATCCCTAAGCCGCTGGGGGAAAATGTTTCAGAATTTAGAACTTAAAAAAAAAAATAGTTCAGAATAAGGCTAGACATATAAATCAATGAAATATTGAGAATCTAGAAAGAGACTTTCACATTTACAGTCAACTGATTTTTGTTAAGAGTGCCAACACAAATCAATAGAGGGAATAGTTTTTTTAACAAAAACTGGGACAACCAGATATCCACAAGCTAAAGAATTAAGTTGGACCTCTACCTCATGCCATATACAAAAATCAACTCCAAATAGATGAAAGACTTAAATGGAAGAGCTAAAACTATAAAACTGAGAAGAAAACATAGGTATGCATCTATGTAACCTTGGATTAAGCACTTATTTCTTAGATATGACACCAAAAGCACAAGCAACAAAAGTAAATAAATAAACTTGAATGTTTCAAAAATTAAAAGCTTCTGTGCTTCAAAGGACACTATCAAGAAAGTGAAAAGACAACCCACAGAATGGGAGAAAATATTTGCAAATCATATATCTGATAAGGAACTATCTAGAATATATTAAAAACTCTTATGAGTCAACAATAAAAAGCCAACTCAATTTTTAAACGAACAAAGAGCTGAATAGGCATTTCTCCAAAGAAGATATATTAACAACCACATGAAAAGATGCTAAATATCACTCACCATCAGGGAAATGCAAATCAAAATCACAATGAGATAGCACTTCACACCCACTAGGATGGATATGATCAGACAGACAGACAATAACAAGTGTTGGTGAGGATGTGGAGAAACCAGAACCTTCATACATTGCTGTGAGAGTGAAAAATGGTGTACCAGCTGTGAAAAAGTTTGGCAGTTCCTCATAAAGGTAACATAGAGTTACCATATGATCCAGCAATTCCTGGGTATATTTATACCCAGGAGAACAGAAATGTATGTTTACACAAAAACATGTACATGACTCCTCATGGTAGCATTATTCATAATAATCAAAAAGTGAAAACAATCCAAATGCCTATCAACTAATGAATGGATTCTTTAAATGTGGTATATCCAGGCATGGAATATTATTCAGTCTTAAAAAGGAATGAAGTAGAGACTCAGGCTACAATATGGGTGAATCTAGAAATATTACACTGGCCAGGCGTGGTAGCTAACACCTGTAATCGTAGCACTTTGGGATGCTGAAGCAGGAGGATTGCTTGAGCCCAGGAGTTCAAGGCTGCAGTGAGCTATGATCATACCACTGCACTCCAGCCTGAGCAACAGAGCAAGACCTTATTTCAAAAAAAGAAAATATTACACTAAGTGAAAGAAGCCAGACACGAAAGGTCATAAAGTATATATAATTCCATTTAATTCACGTCATTGCACTCCAGCCTGGGTGATAAGAGTGAAACTCTGTCTCAAAAAAGAAAAAAAAAAAGTTTCTAAAAAAATATGATATGGTTGCACACAAAAGAATATTCTATTATAAATTAATGTCACAGAAAAAGTCTGTTTTATTGCTTAGTAAAGAGAAGGTATATATGAAGTGCTTCATAATATTAAGTTATAAAATGATGAATAAATTAAAATAATTATCCCCCCAAAAGATAATTCTGTACATACATAAATATATCATACATTATATAATACCCCAGCAGCGATGGGGCCATTCCCTATAATCAAACATTAAATATTCACACTAAATGGGAAAAATAAAAGATTCAGTCAGTTCAGATGGGGTTTTGCATCCACTCCAAAAAACTGCTTTCAGTTTACAGAGCTATTTGAATTTTCAAATTTATGGATAAGGTATGGCAGACTTGTATTTGTTTTTTTCCTTCTTTCAGGATCTCGCTCCGTTACCCAAGCTGGAGTGCAGTGACACAATCATAGCACACTGTAGCCTCAAACTCCTGGGCTCAAACAATCTCTAGCTTCAGCCTCCCAAAATGCTGGGATTACAGCCATGAGCCATCATGCCATGCCAGACCTGTATTTCTTACCATGTCTGGGTAAGGTGCAAAATACAATCACTGCAGGGTTTGTGATACAATTGAGAATTTCTAAACTGTCCCTTGGAAATGTCAATTCTAGAAATATGCAAACAGTGTAATACAGCTAGTTCATTCTATAAGAGATAAGGAAAAAAAATGTCCTTCATTTTAAACAGAATCAGAACAGTATGGTATCACTAATAATACTCACAAAATTTAAGTAATAACTTGAAAAATACACGTTAAGCCAAAGCAAAATACAGAACTACAGAGATGGCTATAAATAAATATACTGATAGATACTTACATACTTACCCTATACTTTTAAAACATGGGAAAATATATATACAAAGGAATATTATTCAGCCTTAAAAAAGGAAATTCTGACACATGCTACAACATGTATGAACTCTGAGAACATTATGCCGAGTGAAATAAACCAGTCACAGAAGGGCAAATACTGTATGATTCCACTTAGTAGTCCAAGTCACAGAGAGAATAGAATGGCGGTGGCCAGGAGCTGGTGGGAGGGGGAAATAAGGAGTAAGTGTGTAATGGATACAGAGTTGCAGTTTGAGAAGATGAAAAGGTTCTGGAGATGGATAGCAGTGATGGTTGCACTACAATATGCATGTACTTAATGCCACTGAACTGTATACTTAAATATAGTCAAAAAGGTAAATCTTATATTATGAATATGTTATCACAATTTTTTTTAACTTGGAAGAAAATAGGAAAAAACACTAAAAGTAGTTGTTGGTGGAATTTGAGGGTATCTGGAAGGCCAGATCAATCAAATCTAGGAATTGTTTGGCTTCGATGCCTCTCCCTTTATTCTTACCATCTCTCTGGAACACTGAACACTGGGTCCAGGGCTACAAAAAGCTGCTCAGTGGTCTGCACTGCTGTTCCTGCTGGTGGTCTATTGTATCCTCTCAGGCAATGCAAAAAGCATGTTTTCACAGTCACACTAAACCTCAGAACACAAACTGTGCCCACACTCACCCAATTTAATACTCCAGAACATCACTCCTTACACAGATAAGGAATGGAAAGCAACTTATGTCAAGCCATTCTACAAACACTTGAAGAATTCTCGAATATCTCTCCAGTAGTCTATGAATGACCCAAATGAGGAAGAAAAAGACAACAACACATCAACTGAGGACCCGCTATCCACCAGGCAGTTAGTATGTAGGGTGCCCTGCACGCATCGGTTCTCACAATACCATGAGAAGGTAAGTATTGCTATCAATGTTTTACAAAGATGGAAACTGAGGTGCAAAGAAATGATGCATCTTGTTCCAGGTCACATTTCCAATAAGCACCGTAAGAAGCAACGCTCCAAAAGCCTTCCTTAGGAAGAATGATGATCTCTAACATTAAAGTGCAGGAAAAGAGCTTAAGTGTCACCAGAAGTAGAATTCAATGATTAGACAGACATAGAGTATACACAATCAACTCTGGCTGCATTTATGGGAGGCAGCATAGCCTAGT
This sequence comes from Homo sapiens, assembly GCF_000001405.40. NCBI lineage: Eukaryota > Metazoa > Chordata > Mammalia > Primates > Hominidae > Homo > Homo sapiens. Next base: position 52,485 of record NW_019805490.1, on the reverse strand, counting down.
GGTCAAGATCATGGGCTTGGGAGCCCAACAGGTTGGGGTCAAATGTTTACTAACATTTTTAGATTTCAAGTCACATATAAGAGGATAGGAACAGTGTCTAACTCATTAGAGGTTTATCAGGATTAAATCAGATTAACACAGGTTAAAGGGTTTAGGAAGTACCTGACATAGTCAAAGCTCAATAAAGTACTAGCAGTAATATTTATTCTATGTTCTCGAAGCAACTCTAACAGGTAGGTATTCTGAGCACCATTTTTACTCATGGTAAGCCTTAATACTCATGGTAAGCCTTAAGTTCAGAAAGGTTAAATAAGTTGACAAAGATCATTCAGCTAGTAAAATGGTAAAACTAGAATTCAGGCCTGGATCAGCGGGATTCCAAAGAAAAACAAGATTATGGCATACAAAAAGAGGGTAAATTGAAAAGAAAGGCCTCTTCCTGCTCCTTCTCTCTGGCAACCCGCCCACCCCCACTACTAGACCAACCACCGCCCCCCCCCCGATCTCTGTGGCTGGTGGGAAGCAGGCCAAGTGCCAAAGCCACAGTGGTCGCCAGGTCTCTGCTAGCAGCAGGGCTGGTGGGAGCCCTCTGGCTCCTTCTAGGCAAGAGCAGCAACCCTAACCCCTACTGCACAGGTCTGGGTGTGAGGACACCCAGGTTCCAGCAGGCACTGTCTCTAGGAACTGACCCTGTGACATGTACACACAACCATAAAAGACAGAATAACCAAGGCCTTCCAGACACTACTGTTCGAGATAGCACAAGTCATCCTGAGAGTGGAACAGTATGTTGTCAATACAAAGAATGAGGGGAAACTATTATAAAGTAATATGGACCCATCTCCAAAACACGCTCACAAATGAAAACTGATGATGTGTGTTGGCAGTGCGGGGAGTGTAAGGAGACTGAAACACAGAGACAGAAGGAAGGCATACTTTTCTCTGCATATCCTTTAACATTATTTAAGTTTTCTATCATGTACATATATAACCTAATCCAAAATGTAATACTTTTTTAAAATCCTGGATTGACCACCTTCTTACTACAGAATTTTTTTTTTTTTTTTGGATAGTTACTTAACCTGTCTGAGTCACCTTTTCTTCATTTATTTAAAAAACTAAAACCAAAACAAAACTCTTCTCCCAGATGTGCGGGGGCATTACACAAGATAATTTAATAGGCACTCAAACATGGAACTTGATTATCATTAGCTGTCGTCTATAAACTTAATCTGGGTACCTTGCCCCATCAAAGAAAACAAAAATAGGCCAGGCACAGTGGCTCATGCCTGTAATCCCGGCACTTTGGGAGCCCAAGGCAGGCGGATCACTTGAGGGCAGGAGCCAAGACCAGCCTGGCCAACATGGTGAAACCCCGTCTCTACTAAAAATACAAAAATTAGCCGGGCATGGTGGCACATGCCTGTAATCCCAGCTACTCAGGAGCCTGAGGTGGGAGAATCGCTTGAACCCGGGAGGCGGAGGTTCCAGTGAGCTGAGATCGTGCCATTGCACTCCAGCCTGAGCAATAGAGCGAGACTTCGTATCAAAAAACAAACAAACAAAAAGAAACAAAGAAAAACAAAAACAAAAACAAACATGGCTTGACAACATTAACCCTGTATTGCTCATGTTTCATTTCTTATTCCTCAGGACATTTCTGAAGTTAAAGAAACCCAGCCTCAGTGTGATGAGGACCGACCCCCACCAGCCCAGGTGGGCTGTGCACAAGGATCAGACATACTGGGGGAGCAGTGATCCAACAAGAAAGACCTTTCAAAGGAGAGACACTTCAAAACTCCTTATCGCCGTCTCCACTAGCCAACGCCAAGTTCTACTTCCATTTTATATCACCGCTTCTCTTTTGTTTTTGTTGTGTTTCTAAATCTGGATCAGGATGGAGACTGGCAGTATCCCTTGAGAAAAGAGGACCATGGCTGAAAACACAAAAAAGTGTTCAGAATGCCCACTTGTGGGCCAAGCACATGTGATCTGCTTAGAAGAATGTCGGCATAGGCTGTAGGTCTTGATGGGAGGACAGTAAACAAACAGACAAACTCAGAATGCTCTCCACACACAGAAAAGGATTTGGGAATGGGAACAATGAAAGTTATTCTACCAAGTATTTTATCCTTCATCTGAAATAGAAAGGCTGTCCCACTGGATGGAAAAGATGGGGCCCCTTAGGAAACTGTGGCAGCTCTTTGCCAGGGAGCCAGCCACACACCCACTCACGTCCAGGCTGACTCCCTGCGTCACCTGCCAAAGGACATGGTCAGTCCCCATCCATGTCCTGAAGTGCCCCCTGAAGCAGCCAAGGCTAGATGCTTCTAAGGGACAAGGAGGCCCTGGCAAAAGGGCAACTTGCTACCCAGGAGTGATCTCTCAAATTTCCGAGGTCTCCAAACTCCTGAAATGAGGCAGATGGTCAAATCAAAGCTTTCAGAAGAAAAAGATCTCCACAATAAATACAGAAATAAAGGCCTTCAGGACTTCATTAGCCCCCTTTTTTTAAATTCATTTTTAAGTCACATCTGATTTTCAAAGACTATGCCTTCCTGCTGTACCACCAGGTTCCCTGTCTTCTGGAGTAAAGCAGCAATTCCCAGGCCTCAATGGCACACTAGCTCGCAGGTTCTGCTGGCTCTGGACCTGCTGCTCTGCTCCTTTCACAGGCCTGCCTGGTCCCATCGATGCAGGGCCTGGAGTCTCTTGCACTGAGTCAAGGGCAGAGGAAGCTGCAACTCAATGGCACTGCACATCTGTAATTCACTGCCTTTGGCTCCCTCCAGCTGTTGTTCCACACCATCCTCACAACTCTTTAAGGTCTTACATTCTTACTTTCCCCATTTTAAAGTCAAGGAAATTGTGTTAAGTAACCTCTTCTCCCCAAGACTGCACAGCCACTTGTGTGGCTGAGTGCCACACAATAAAAATACACCTCATGCCTCTGAATGCTGCCTGCCAGGTGGGAAAACAGGTGTAAGGGTTCTGGCTGTGTAGAAGAAGAAAAACGGTGTTGTCAAAGGAATAGCTGTTCCCCTGGCCAGGTCATTATGGTCAGGAAATCATACAGCAACTCGGATGGAGTGTGTCTAGATTCACAGAGCACATGAGAGGTTAACCATATATTGAAGTCCTTCGTAGTTTTGTCTTAAGTACTCGATCTGATGAGACAAAAACAACTTCATGTGTTTTGAGCAGTTCAGTGAATGATTTTTTCAAGAAAGAAAATTAAGTTTCCTCTCAATCTATGTTAACAAAATGGCAAAAAAAAACAAAAACATGAGGAAGGAAATTGGGGTCTCCTCTATGCTAAGCATAATGCAAATAACAGATCAGAGATTTTAAATGCAATTATTCCCTCCTCTGTGTTTTAGTGGTTAAAACCTGGCAATTTGAGGTGGTCACTCACAAACATGAATCTCAAACAATGGAGTTTTTATCTACCTCCAAAAAAGTATGGATCTTGGAAAAAGAATTTTTTTTTTTACTCTGATAAGACAGTAATCTCCTACCTTGCTGACTCAAATGTACTTGCATATTAATTGCTTCAGACCCCAAAATCCCTGCTGAACTGGCTAAATTTTGGGCCAAATTCAATAATCCAGCAACCTCCCATTCAATACCTCACCAAGATAACTTTGCATGTTTAATTTAAAAGTACCGATCGCTTTTAAATGAAATGTTAACGCAAGCCCGTCTGCCGGCCCAAGCCACGACTGCATCTCTGAGGGACAAGCTGCAAGTTGGAGAGCTGACTAAAGTCTGAGCAGCCTTCGGACAACGAGGTAAACACAGCCTACCATCTCTCTCCTAAATGGTATCTGTTTCCCCAAATCAAACTTTTAAAACTTGCCCCTTTTGGTTCATTTCCCTGATATAGAGGCAATGAGATCTAGCCTCAGATACTCAAATATTATCTGCTCCAATTGTATCTGATTAGCAAGAAATACACAACTAACCCTCTAGCCAATGCGAATGCCTACACGATTCTAGCTGAACTGACCTAAGGCATTTTTTCCTTTCTCTTTTGCAACTGTGTTCCATGTTTGACCCTTCAAATTTATTTTAAGTAGTTTTGCAAACAGCTTCCTCTCCCCCTTCCTCCCCTATGCAGCCAGCATCTCACATTTCGCCTGCACAGAACATGTTTTGTCCACCTTGGGAAGTGGCACTTTGGGAAATGTAGAGACTGCTTCAGAAAAATCAGAATCAGAAATAGGTTCCATTCATTTAAAAGAGTATCAACGGCTAATTTTTATTTATTTTAGTAGACTAAATCAGAATTAAAGCTGTGACTCCCAAGTGTTAAAATTCACAGCAATCTTTCCAGCCTGTAAAAACAAATATCTTACTCCCTACAATCACAGTAAAAAAATGCCCTAAAAATATTTATAAAATCTCTGCATTGCTTCACTGCTTAGCTATACACAGGCACTAGTCATCATAATCAAAATACTTGATTGAATCTTTTCAAACCAAACATCCAAAGCTTGTTCAATAGCAGTAACAACAATAACTGTTACAATAAAATAACAATTACAATAGTAGTAACAGGTATTTGGAGATTAAAGGAGTAAGGCACAGAAAACAGTGAGAAATAATTTCTGGTCTGTGGTAAAGTGAAAAGGTTTTGATAGACCGTACAGAAAAAGAAGTCAATCTGAATTCATTTAGGGTTCTGGGCTCCTGGACTCACAAATGTTTCATTGTAAAGATTCAGTATGAATTTTTGAAACAGCAAACAGCAAAAGAGTTTAATAGAAAAAAAACAAAGTGCCATTTTGTCCTTGGGTTTTATATATTACTTCTACCAATCTGAATGACCGTTAGGAAGTTTCATTTAGAAATTTCTCTTTTAAACTAACTTTGAGTCTAAACACAATGGTAGCAAAATTTGTTTATGGTTTAGAAAATATTCACATGATAATTTGTCTGGAGGCTATTGACATCTCATGAAGAATGATCTTTAGGAGCTGAATTTTCTAGTGCTTTTCCTCAGCCCCCAAAATACAAGTTACTTAACAAAACTACTTCCAGTTTCACTTTATATGCTAGAAATTTTCATGAGAAAAAAGGTATTTAAATGTTTCATTTTACATGAAAATAAGATGACTTTCATATTTCAAATTTTCCTAAAAGAGAGTCTTTTAAGGCAATTAAAAAGACCTCATTTATAAAATAATAAAACCTTCACTGAAAATTACTTAGTTCATGCATTTTTACCACATAACTCGACTCTGAACTATGTTTTATTTGCTGAACTTGCATTTATTATGGTACATTATTTTGCCATGAGCTTCTGCACATGTACCAACATGCACATAAACTAATCCAAAAGTCTGAAATTCACCTTGAGGTCTATCATGTTTGTCAACAAGCATTTTTTTGAGAACCAGATGGCCTACCCATTTATATAAAGAATGTGTGTCTACTCATTCTTTATGGCTATGGTTTCTCCAAATTCTAAATGTGCCACACGTCATCTCCTGTCTGATACTCTGCCTTCATCTCTTTGCAAATCAATTTTCCTATTTATAAAAGCAAACTTGAGCCTGCTCCTTCAAGACAAATTTGACAAAAATGAGTATCTCCAAGTTTCAAAAAAACTCACAGCTATTTCTCACTTGGTTTAAGCAATCTATGCCGCAACAAAACACAAAAAGAATGAACGGGGGGAGATTCTTTGGAGTTTAATGAACTCCTCAAATGGAGTTCTTTACCATCTCTAAACAGAGGTGCGTTTTGGCTCAGCTAGAGATGCAGAGAAAGCTTCCAGAAATTTCAGAGACCTACAAATCTGGGGAAACGAAAAGTCAGCAAGACCTTTTTAAAACCCCTGTGAAGGTCTAATGCTTTATTGATAGTTTAAAAACTTCAAAATGCATCATTTATATTTGATGTATTTGGAAACGTGTGCCAAAAAATAAACAGTAAAATCCAGAGATGCGGGTGGGGGTGGGGGTGGGGGTGGTGTCACTATTTCTCCAATTGAAAGGAGGACACCCCCAACAAGTCTTTAAAAAATCTAAAGCTTTCTGAATGTTTCCCTTTCTTCCCCAGGCCAACACATAGGCCTGGCTCAGACCCTAAAAATATTAAGCTATTAAGGCTTTTTTTATCTTGGTTTTAAGATAAGGAATCAACAAAAAAAAGCTTTCCAAAACTTAATCATATAAATTCACTTATAAGCCTCCCCACAACATTGAATCAATAATCCAGTATGGCCTGTAATCCCAGCTACCTAGGAGGCTGAGGCAGGAGAATCACTTGAACCTGGGAAGCGGAGGTTGCAGTGAGCTGAGATCATGCTACCGCACTCCAGCCTGGGTGACAGAGCGAGACTCTGTCTCAAAAATAATAATAATAATAATAATAATAATAATAATAATCCAGTATGTTCATTTAAACTACAGAAAAAAATTACAGCATCTCAGGGAAGACCACATTTATAGCTGGCAATGGAGTGTCATGTGAGGCCGGGAGTCTTTATTATCAGTAGTAAAATAGTGGTCATAATAGTAATGATGTTTATTAAAAGCTTATCATGTACTAGATATATATTCTAATCCTTAAAATAGTTCTTTCTGATCTTGCAAACAAGGAAGTTGAGGCCCAGAGAAGGTAATCTACCCAAGACCATATAGCTAACAAATGTTGAAGCCAGGATTCAAATTCAGTTTCTCAGACTCTAAACCTCAAGCTTTTTCAATTATACCATGTTTGCAATTTATGCTGTTCTATGCATTTTTTTCCTTTAGTATTAATGCATAAATTATTTCAAGAGAAGTTCCTGTCATCACATATTTTTGGGTACATTTGCATGTAGCAGTGATTGGTACCTATCAGTGTGCAAACATAAAACAAGCCACTGCTTCCAGCAGACTGGTCTCTCCCGGCAGACAAGGCGTGTGGCTTGCTAACACTCCACCCACATTTCTCTTCTGGTGTGTGTCTTCTGGTTGGGTCTTTTCCCTTCGTGGCCTTCTTCGTCTTAACTCTAACTGCACTCACAATTTTACAGCCGATCAACGCAGTTAAGCTCCCATACTCTGATTACTTCAAGTATATTAATTTAGTTTCTCTCCAATCGGATTATCACCAATTTAAAAACAGAGACAAAAATCATATGTTACACGTGGTATCAGAGACCATCCATCTAGCCTGCCTTCCCAACCAAAAAAAAAGGAAAATAAGATTTCTGACAAATGGTTTATTTTTATATGAAGTCGTATAAAGATTAAAACTTAAGTCATATTAAATTATGATCACAATAGCTAACACCACTTACAGAGTATAGGTTCCATACACTGAGATAAATACTACATTTAGCTTATCTCATTGGATTCTCACACACACGAAAACACTTGTAAGTTTATTCTCCCCATTTTGAAGATGAGAAAACTGAGGCTCAGAGCTGTGCATTCTCACAAGCTGGTCCATCAGGATTCAAACGTGGACCAGCATGCTGAGCCTCAGCTCTTTCCACTGCTCCACTTAACTGAGCACAGCTATGGGTGTCACAAACCTCTAACCGAAGGACAGGGTGCAAATCCAGGCCCCACGCTGAGGCCTACCTGCAGGCCTAATTAGAGGGCTCACTACTAAACCCATGTTCTCCCTCCTTCTGAAAAAGAGGCCCAGCAGGCTTCTCCCAGCACTATGAGTTCCCCCAACAGCAGGGACCATGTCGTTTTCATTTGGGCTTTCCAAAGCCTGCACTCTGTTGGGCTGGCATAGCCCATGTATCTGGGACTCATTAAATGGTAAGGTGATGTCGAATTTTATCAGCCTCCCCTAGAGAACTCCCTCAGCATCTGCCAGCCTTCATGTTGCCTGGGATCCCAGGCCAGTTTTACCGAGAAGGTCGGTCTACATTTTTTCCACCTACGCTCGTCTTCCCCACACCTTGTTCACTCCAATGCCACCCTGTCACCACCCACTGCCCAGGCTGCACAGCAGTAGGACTGCTGCACGCTGGTGTCACAGCTGCTTTACAGCATTCCTCACTAGCCAAAACTAGCCACAGGGCCAGCACCTGGCACCTCCCTTAGAAAGCAACAGGAAACCTGAAGGAAAGACCAAAGACCACAAAAGAGGAAATAATTCCTAGCATTAGAGTATCTCCAGAGCATGAGATTTAATCCCAGGCTCAGGACCTGGGGTTGACTTGGAGAAAAGGGGGGGTTTGCAGCAGTACTAGTAAGAAGAGGAGGGGAAGGAGGAGCGGGGGGAGGCGTGGGAAGAGAAGGGAGGAGGAGTAGAGCAGAGGGGGAGGAGAGGGAGGAAGAGAAGGAGAGAAAAAGAGAGAATGCCGATGATGACATTAGACAGGAGAGAGGCCAGCTTTATCCTGCATCCTATTGAATAGCCAACTAAAACAATAAATCTATTTTTCCCTCTTCTTTGCCTTAAAAAAATTCAAGAATTTCATTTCCTTCTTTGAAACATAGCTCTTGCATAATTGCAATGCTCTTTCCTGCTGTCTGCAATGCTGAGGGAAGAGGACTTTTGACTGCCCCAAGGACTTCAGAAGTGGCTACATTCTGGTGCCAAGCCTGCAGTGCACTAACCCTACAGTAAGGCCTGCTTCCATTTACCAAGTGTCTACCTTGCACCCAGAATGATGCTAACTGTATCACAGTTACTGCTAACTCTAACAGCAAACCCGAAGGTAGGCATTATTCCCTTTCTCTCCTGTTTTAAACAGGTGAAGAAATGAAGGCTCAGAAAAGCTACACGTCCACAGTAATACAAAAAGCCAGCAGAAGGGCCAAGATTCCAATTTCAATCTTCCTGACTCCAGAGCCCAGGCCTGTTGTGCTGCAGCTTCTCCACTCTCTGGGAAGTTCTTTGAGGCAGTCTGAAACCTCCTCTGCGTTTTCCAGAGGCAACTATTAATTAGGCACAATAAGCAAAGCACCAAAGCTTACAGAGTGTTTGCAAACATAAAAAAACTTACTGGCTCCAAAATACAAAAAGAAAACTGCAAAAACTGAAATTACTCAAAGTTCAATTAAATGCCTACTACAATGCAAGAGAACGCCACCTAGTACACTGGGATTCAACTCTGATGTAGGTATTGTAAACTGTATTTTCTGTGTGATGGCAGCACAGTCTATTTGTGTTAGTCTGCTTTCCAGGCTGCAGCGCAGGCCTTAAACCAGCCCTGGGTTTCACTGGCCTTTTTCACCAAAGGGCATTCGTACCAGGCCATGGCAGTCAGAGAGCAGGATCTGTGGAAACAGAGGGGAGGGCCTCTGAGAGCAGCGGCCAGAGCAATGTTTCCTCCTCCAGGTGGCAGAAATAGCTTTTCTAGCCTTGTCATAGTGCCCAACCCTAAGAGATCGCCTTGCAGTTGGGTGCCCACCATTCCTCTCACTTATCTGTGCGAGAATGCGGATAGGGCTGGAAGAGAGCAGGCCATCCACGTGGCAGGCCAAGCCCCTGAAGCACTCTGCCACTGTACACACAAGGCCACACACAACCCCTCCCTGCTATCTTCACTTGGGGCACCATTCTCTCAGCAGTATTTCCTCCATTTTCAACTCTTCCCCAGTATTGGTAAATATTGATAATTACCTCCAAACGCAAAAGTGAAGAAGTTTGTGTTTTGAAATATGATCATAATTCAAACTGGAAGCTGACACTAATCATTTGATGTTCACTTGAAAAGACCAGATAGGCTGTGCAGGAACATTTCAGTAGGGGAACCGATAAGGAGAAGGGAAATAAAAATTATTGGTATTTACTCAGCCTGCAATGCTTGTGGAAGGAAACTCTTTTAAAAGGGGAGCACTTCAGAATGGTTATTCAATCTGAATTTTACAGATAGCACTGGAAATATTTTCTTGCAGAATGCACTCTATCTCCACCATCATATCTCTCCGGTGCGCCATTCACGTCGTTCATTGCAGGAATTCTCACTCAATTTTGCTCCATTATGAGCTGACGGTGACCCAGAGTATACAAGGCATTCAAGAATCTGACTGGAAATTACTACCACAAAACATCTGTCCCATTCCCCGCTTGCCAGCCCTGCCTTAGGGAGTGAAGATGGAAAACAACCCAGAATCCACACGCAGGAACAACTTTTCATTCCCCTCACAAACCAGGCTCCTTTGGAAACTGATGGTTCCAGCATTTTTTTAGAAACTATGTTCCCGGAAAAACATGGCGTGGGCCTCTTTTGAAAGCCTTCAGCTCAAAACCCTTCTTTTCCTACCCAGACCCTTCTAATAAAAGCCAGGACAGGAGCTTCACGGGGAAGCAAACATGAAGGCCACCCAGGGTTCTCCCTACTTTGTGTGGTCAGATTCAAATTTTGCATTAAATGCCACTGATCAATTAAAAGACCACAGGGATGTCACACATACTAATACATTCCACAGCTTATGTGGCATCTATCTTATAGACATACTCCCTTTGGAAGATTTATGTTGCGATTACAAAAGAGTAAAAGAAGACATCTGATTTCATACAGGGCTAAGCCTCGGAACCCAGCTTTTCTCCTCGATTGCTATCAGAGGATCGAGGCGGCAGCATGGCACCTCCCATCTAGATTGCATTTCACTTTGCTGCAGATGCTCCAAGGGACCAAGCAATGGACATGCTCAATGAATCAAATAAATGAATAATCCAGAAAGAACTGGTTTGTCTGCAATCAAGAATCAGTGTCTGTGTCTCCATCCTCATGTCCAACAGTGCCCCACCACCTCCATATGCTTATAATTCGTCAGGGGTCAGAGAGATCATTGGCACAGTAACTGCTCCCAGCCAGTCACAGTGGTTCACACCTGTAATCCCAGCACTTTGGGCACTCAAAGCAGGAGGATCACTTGAGCCCAGGAGTTTGAGACCAACCTGCGCAACACAGCAAGCGCTTGGCTCTACAAAAAATAAACAAACAAAACAATAACTGCTCCCTACTATGTGCCTGAAGCTTTATTTATGGACATCTTTGATGCAACCACCCTGTGAGATAATCATCTGCATTTGAGGTGCACAGACAGGCTCAGAGAGGCCAGGTGGCATTTCCGCTAGACCCAGGCCACCCCTATGCATGGGTTCCTTCGGCCTGACCATCACTATGTCCTTAATGTGCTGGGCCTTGCTACCACTGCTGTTTTCAGTTAAACTCTCTTGGGTGCTAAAGTTATGGAGGCACCTCAAATCAGAAGTTCCAGGTTTGAGGAAGAGAGAGCAGAAAGATATGAGATCCCAATTCTTGCATAGGCTGGAATCTGGTGGGACAGGAGTTGTAAACCAATGCCACTGTCCTTTGTTATCTGTGGGGGATTGATTTGAGGACCCCTGAAGGACCAAAATCTGAGGATGCTTAAGGCCCTGATATAAAATGACAGAGTATTTTCATATAACTTATGCATATCCTCCCATATATTTAAATCATCTCTAGATCACTTGTAACTAATAAAATAAAAATGCTATGTAAATAGTTGCTATACTCTATTGTGTTTTTAAACATATCATTTTTTTGTTGTTGAATTGTTATTTTTGTTGTTTTCATTTTTTTTTTTTTTTAATATTTTCAATCTTCAATTGGTTGAATCCACAGATTTGGAGGGCCAGCTATGTCTTTCTGGCTTAAAAGTCTCTATAGAAAAACACCATGGAAGAACTTAAAAAGGCAAATCATTATACAAAAGCAGACATGGCCTATGGTTCAGATAGAACATTGTGCCTCTGGAAGGCAGGGAGATCTCCTTTTTTTCTCCTGGAAAGTCCTTGCTTTGGTTAATACTGTGAACTTGCAGAAAAACAAAACTGAGTATAGAAGGGTTGATGACTGAAGCCCACATCTTCAAATGCTTTAAAAGTTAAGTCAGATAATCTTTACACTGATATGAAAGGGGGAGAAAATACATTTGACCCCTTGCTTCAAACAAAAATCTTCCCATCTGGTTTTTAATTAGAAAGCAGTTGTTTTGCTTTTGCAACACTTTTTAACCTCTGCCATTGTAGGTACAAGCCTGCAAACCATATTTTCATTGATTAAAAAAAAATTAAAAATAAACCTTGAAAGAAACAATATTTTTCTTTTTAAGGAAAAAAGATAGCAAGCAGCAATTTTTCTGAAGGGATCAGACACTTAAAGGCATCTATGGGAAGCCATCATGGCTGTGGCCTACAGTTTATTTTGTCTTGAAAAAGTCAGAGGTCATTTTAACTATGCTGACCTGTGAAACTACACATTGATCATCCCGATCCAAGACTGTAAGCAAATACTGCCCTCTTGTGCACCAAATAGTTCGGAGTCGGCATGGAGATGATTTCCACCCCACCGCCCTGTGGACAGTTTGCGATTGTACAGCTGGGTCTCCAGGGCTGGGAGATGTGTCAGGAAGAGGAGGACACACATCTGTTACCAGAGTGCTTGCTAAAGTGTCCCCAGATTGCCTTATGAGATAGATTTCAAGATAAGAGGAAGAGGGAAAGATTCAGCTGAAGAAATCAGACCAAACATAACTGACTCTTATCTTTCCTAGAAAATATTCATTCCTCGAAAAGAAACTTTATTGGTTGCCATAACAAGTTTTCTTATTATGTACTTTTAAAAACTTTTAGAAACTATTAACGAACCTACAAAAATGACTAAGTAGTACCTCTTTTTATCTAGGAAATCTTTGCCAGGAAAAGAGATTCTATTTGATTCTAGAGGGAAAAAAAGCAGGGAGTTAGGGGGATGCCAGGTTGCTGTTTCTCAGACAAATCCTCAAAAGTTGGCAACATGCCCTTCTTTCTGAGATCCCCCAAGCTGGGGGTGTTGCTGAAAGTATTATTTCCTCTAACCTGTGGGCAAGGTTCTGTCACCAGAAGACCACACTGGTATCCCAAGAAAGCTTTTTTTTTTTTTAGACGTGGTCTCACTCTGCCACCCAGGCTGGAGTGCAGTCTCATGCCTCAGCCTCCCAAGTAGCTGGGATTACAGGTGCTCACCACCACGCATGGCTAATTTTTGTAGTTTTAGTAGAGACGGGGTTTCGTCATGTTGGCTAGGCTGGTCTCGAACTCCTGCTTCAGGTGATCCACCCACCTCCGCCTCCCAAAGTGCTGGGATTACAGGCGTGAGCCACCGTGCCCAGCCTCAAGAAAGCTTTAAAGGATGTAAACTACTGTTCCCTTGTGAAAGAATTTGAGAAAATCAACAGCAGAAAAATATGCATGCAAGTCTGAGGCTAGGCCATGCCTGCTCAACAGGAACCTCGGGCCAGGCGGGGGAGGCGGGGCGGAGGGTGAGGAGCTGGTCTTCCCTACAGTGAGTGTCCAGTTCTGGTTCTGAGGTACAAAAATTATCCCAACATCTGCACCCACGCCTTCACACTTCCAGGCACAGATCAAGACTGACCAAGTCCCATGCCAAACTTGTTTCTGGAGGAAAAAGAAAAGGCAAAATATGCCGCCTGCCCCACCGCCATGCATTGCCTTCAGCCCAAGAGGCAGCCCCGCAGGAAAGGGGATGGAGGGAAGCATGAAGGGCCTGTGCTCTGTGAGGCTATGCAGGGAAAGGAGCACTAACCAGGAGTGAGACGAGGTCTAGGTGTCAGGGGAATTTTATTTACAATTCTATGATGTTAGATACTTAGTATCTCTGATGTCTAATTCTTGAGTTAGTGGTTCAGGAATGTGTCCTTAACCTCCATGTGGCATTCAAGTCATAAGCAGCCAGTGGGCCAATGTTTAATGACCAAACACAATCACAGAGTTGTGAAAAATGTCTAATTCACTTTCTGCCAGGATTGCCTGCCAACGCTGATTCCACATCAGCCCATCCCTCTACCATGGAAATAAGGGGTTACAGTACCAGAAATAAGACTAAGGATGGATAAAGGCCAATAGGATAGCCATAGTGAGACCAGGCATCTCCAGAAGGCTGGCCTGCCTTCTTCTGTCTCACCGTGTCCTATTTCAGAATGATAGGATGTGCCACGCTTATCTTTCAGCAAAACTGGGACTTCCAGAGAGTCCAGATATATGCATCTGTCCAAATATACCTGCAACACCAGGTCTGCTGTGTGAAAACCAGCTGATACCCTCTCACTCGTAGCTAGCCCCAGGAGATGTCCAGCCTCAGGACCCTCATGTGTGCTACACCTTTGGTCTGGAACACCTCCCAACATTCCAGGGACGGGCTTTTGTGCCATAGTTTAGCTTCAGCTTTATTGCTTCAGAAAGGCCTTCCCTGGCCTCCAAACTAAAGTAGATGCCCCACATCCATTAGTCCCTATCTGGGCATCCTGTCTTGTCCTGCTTAGCACTTACATAATTTATAATTCCGCATGTTTTATTTACTTCTGTACCATCTGCCTCCCCAACTAGACAGGAAGCTACATGAAAGCAGAAGCCACTTCTGCTTTGTTGACCACTAGAAACTCAACCCCTGGCAAGCAGTAGTTGCTCGGAGTTTGTTGAATGAATTAATGTCATGATCCACCTTTCCTTCTATACCATCTGAGCTTAAGGAATAAGGTCGCCTAACCAAATCTTCAGGACACTAAGAATCCTGGGAAAATAAATCAAAGAAAGCCACGGAACAAGCCAGATGTTCAAACAACTCTCAACCTGTCGCAAAGAGTAAGTGACAGAACCAGCAAGGAGATGCCTGGGGAGGTACCAGAGGGCCTCCCCTCTTAGGGTCCAGTTTCAAACACTGCACACCCATGACAACAGCCTCGAAGCCCCAGGGGGCCTATGACTGTGACATTTCACATTTATGGGTGTCTTGGGCTTCCTGTGAAAAGACACAAGAAGAACTAAAGGGTGAAACTGGCTAGCTGATGGAGGTGAGTGACCTGGTCTACAGAGGGATACTCACTCAGAAAGGCTCAGGCCAGCACCAGGACAGCAGCAGAGCAAATCTCTACCCTCTTGCCTCAGGGAGCCTTCCTCTCTCTCCCCAGAAAGTTTTTTTTACCATGCAAGCACTTGGTAATGGTATATGGAGCCCCAGGTTCACCTCTGGCCTCCCAGGTTCTTAGCAACCTGGCACTCCAGGAATTTTACATTCAGGAGGAACTCTGGACCCAGAACTAGTGATCAGAGACAGTGACCTCTTTTTGTCATGTAGTCAACAAACCCTGGGCAAAGCTGTGGCCTCCCACTGGACAGCTGGCACATTCCTCTGCCTCTGGAGGGCCTCTTCTCCCTTCACCCTCACAGACTATTTGCAGAACAATTACTGGCATCAGCCACAGGCTTGCATTACGCTCATTTCCCCATCCCCAAGCTCTGGGGCAAGTTTAAAAGTGCTCGTCCTGTCTCAGAGTCAGGTCTGAATTAATACCCTTCCTCAAAAGAACTCCAGTAGCAAAGTGAAAACAGACGCCCTAGACAATGCTCTTTGAAAGCCCCAGCAGGGACGACTGGTGACAATGCAGCCCTGGCTCGAAAAGAAACCCCAAGGTTAAAGGTTCACAGAGGCAGAAGAATTACCAAAGTACAACTTTGTTCAAATTTCCTCCGGCAGATTTAAACAACCAGGGTCAAGCTGAAGATTGCCGGCAAAAACCTATGAGACAACTCAGCCCCTTTGAACTGCATGGAGAAAGGAAAATATACGATCTGGGAGGGATCTATGTTATAGCTTTTAAAAATGTTCTTGAAAGGGTCACCCCTGTTAACTCAAAATCAGAAGGATGTTTGAGAACTGCTTCTCTAAAACAACAGGGCCGCTGGGCCCTCACTGTGTGCGGTGAGCTGCACTGAGGTCGCCGTGTTCCCGGCATTAGTGTGCTGACCCTCTGTGGGCCACGAAATTAACCATCAGCATGGCAGAAATCTGCTATGAGTTAAACTACTTTGCTACGCAAAGTGGCCTGAAAATGAAATATGAGGATTGAATTTCCATTGAAAGATTAACTTGTCTAACCTCAAGGCAAGCTTCCTCCACTGTTGAACTCTATTTGGCCAGTTGTTTAAAGCACCATAAGAGCATGGGTAATTGGTGCAGGCAGTGGGAAATGACCTCTTCATTCATTCATTCATTCCGATATGCATGCACCAAATATTTACTCTGTACCAAGGCCTGTCCTGGGCCCTCGGACATACAGTTGAATGCTAACAGGCCCCTACCCTCAAAGAGATCAAGTCCAGTGGAAAACATAATCCAGTAAACAGAAAAGGCATAAGATGGGGAGAAAATGAGATCATAGGGGAATGTGTAGGATGTTACAGGCCCTCAAATGAGGGTGACCTAATCTAGCCTGAGGAGGGTGGACAATGACCCTTCCCAGAAAAGTGCACGTAGCCAGAATATGCAGCATGAGAGAGCACAGTCTGTCTGTCCACAGACCTGCATGTGGTTCATTCGGCCTGGAGTCCTGAGATCTCAACCCCTCAGGAGGGGCCTCGTCAGCCAGCTAAGACTTAGTTAAGCCTTTATGCCAGCAGAGAGCAAACAAAGACTTCTACACAGGGAAGTAGTTTTTAAACTCTCTTCTATCCCTATACCTTCTGCGGGGGGTTGGAATCAAGGAGACTATGTGAGGGAATGCTGTACTCATCCGGCCAGGAACTAGCAGAAGCCTGTCTTCAGGTCGCAGCTGTGGTGATGGGAAATGCAAAGACAGAGAGCAAGCAGGAGGGAGAAGGCGTGGTGATGGATCCAGAGGCAGGTGAAGGAGGAGGACACACTGAGGAGCAGTTCAAGGGCCGCACCTTGGGAGAGTGGAGGTGTCCTTCACTAGGAAGGTGAAGAAGCTGAGAGGGTGGAATCTAAGGGCCTGTGGTAGTCACCCCAGGCCAGGACATCTCAGGAAGATGACAGTTCTTATAACCAAATCACATGTAGGGGACAGCTCAAACCCAACTCTACAATAGGGACACAGAACCTAGTCATTCCTCAGTCCATCCAGCCCTGCGCTGTCAAATACAGCAGCCACTAGCCACCTGTGCCTATATAAATTTAAATTAATTAAAATTAAATAAAACTAAAATTTCAGTCTTTAGTTACACTAGCCACAGTGCAAGTGCTCCAACAGCCATGAGGCTCGTGGCTGCCATGTTGGACCGTGCCACTGTAGAACATTCCTATCATCACAGAAAGTTCTGCTGGAAAGTACTGATCAAGCCACTGCAGAGATTTTTTAAAACACTGTTTTTTCCAGCCAAAGTGTCTGTCAGCCCTCTCTGCAAGGGCTGGGTGCTGATGGGAAACACGGCTGTGCTGTAAGCACCTCAGGGCTCCCTTCCAGTCTTCCTGTGTTCTACTTGTCTGTGAGGTCAGACAGCAAGTGCCGAAGAAATGGAGTCCTTCTTATGTAAAGTCTTTCCTCGCTAGAGCGTAAGTTCTGAAGATCATCTCTGAATGTCCCCTGGATCATCTTTTTAGAAAATAGAGAATGCTGAGAACACAAACCCGAGGGCCTTTACTGTTCATGGCGAAAGATCCTGAAACTCACCTGGAAATGACCACAAACAGGGCCATTTTTTCCTCAAGTGCCACACCGTCATGTATCTGGGAAGACTGAGCTCTAGTGCCAATGTCAAATGACCAAGGACAAGCCACTGACCCTCTGGAGCTCTAAGCAACCCAAATAAATCTATGGTAAGGGATGTAGCCACCAGGCCAAGCAAGGCAAGTTCCTGCTGCCAGACAGGGCAATGCTAGCAAATTTCAAGCACTAATTTTGAAAGAAAAAAGTCAGGTTTATCTTTAAGCAGCACCTGTGCATGGCACCAAATAAATATCCTCAGGAAGTAGGTTAGAGACAAAGGAAATTATTTTAGTCTTCCTGAAGGCCTCAAGACAAGAGAGGAATCATCACAACACAAGAGATATGGAAAGAGGGAAAGTCAACTTCTCTCTCAACAGCAAAAGTTGTTTTTTCTCCTGCCAAGAGAGGATCACCCACATTAACTAAGTCCTCCCTACCCACCCAACAAAGGCCACTTCAAAGCAGCAGGAGCCTAATCACACAGCACAAGAAAATAAAAGACCCAATTAACAAAAGACAAAAACTCAAATAATCGAGGGGAGAATAGAAGCAGAAATCTCTATTTTTGACAATTTGATTTATATATAAAGTGTTCCTCAGGAGCCACAATTTTCTATGGAAGCAGGCATGTGCTAAGGTCTGAGAGCAGCTTCTGGGCAAAGCCAGGGCCTCTGAAACAGAGCCTGGCACTGGCTACTTGTGTGCCCTGCAGCAAACTGCCTACTGCTCAGAGCCTCATTTCTAGTAGCTGAGCAATGTAGATGGAAACGCCTCCCTAGGAGACTGGCTGGGAGGATGCAGCAAGAGCCACGGGTCTAGAACAGTGTCCAGCAGACAGCAAGCGTTCTCCAAAAGTCCATTCTTTCATCTCCCTCCAAGAGGCAGAACTATCCCTTGGCCACTGCTCAGCACTGCCATGTCTGCAACCCCAGAGCCCCACTTTCCCTGCTGATGGCATCCGCCTTGCCTGCCTGAGGTGTCCTTCCTCTTCTCCTTCATCCAGCTGGGTCAGAAAGCTGAAGCTGGAATGATGAGAGGAATGACAGGCCCTAGGACCACTTGTCACAGTCCTCTCCTCAGACTCAGGGAGCTCACTAAAAGCCACCAGAAGCTTAAAACCTACCAGCCTTCCTCCCAGAAGAGACTCTCCCGGCTCCTGAGATCTGGTCCGGGCTACCCTCTGGAAGCTTGGCCTGATACCCCAGTCACACTCCAGCCCTCCCTTTGTCTCTAGGTCCTTGTTTACTCTGAGTCCTCTAGCTGGAATGCCTCCCATCTTCTAAAATGTAATATCTCAACCATCCTTCACAATTCCCACAAGCCAGTTGGACTGGCCTGTGACCCAGCCAACCTGGCCGCACCTCCTTTCACACCCCCCTGTGTGCAAGTGCCAGCCACCCTGACCACTCCCCTTCTTTAGCCAGGGCTGCTTCCATGCCTCTGGACTCTGCTAAGGCTGTTTCCTGGATCTCTCAGCCTGGAAATCCACAGGTCATCCTTCCAGGCCCAGCCGTGTGTCTCCTCCAGCAGGATTCCCTATCTGCCACCCCAGGCAGGTACTCACATTTCTATGCCCATCTCGATCAAAGCCCTTACCACTCCACATCTTAAACTGGCTGCTGGCACTGCCTGGCTTCCTCCTCCCTACTCGGGACTGTGAGCCCCTTGAACACAGGCACGACTGTGTATCTGCCCTCACGTCCAAAACAAAGCCATGCAACGTGTATGTGTAGAATCTCTGAGTGAGTGGAGAAAAACACCAAATGCAGCTCCATGTGGTCCTTTCCCACCACACAAGCTGCCGAAAGCCCTTAAAACAAGGCCTACCAGCCCAAATGTCTCCATGGGCCAGGCACATCACAGAAAGAGGAGGCAGCCTGAGGAGCACATGCCACACACTGTACACTTAAGATGGCTAAGATGGCAAATTGTACATTATTTATACTTTACCACAAGTAGAAATCAATAGAAATAGTTTTGTTTTTTGTTTTTTTTTCACAAAAAAATGCAATACTGGTTCCCAAAGCATATGCTCGCTTTGGGAGGCTGAGGCAAGAGGACTGCTTAACTTCAGGAGTTCAAGACCAGCCTGGGCAACATAGGAGGCCAAGCAAAAGTCGCCAGACAAAAAGGCCACATATTGTGTGATCTACTTATATGAAATGTCCAGGACCGGTCAATCCAGAGACATTAAGTAGATTCGTGGTTGCCTAGGCCTGGGAGAGGGGCGAATGGGGAATGACTCCTGGTAGGGATGTGGTTTCTTTATGGGGTGACGAAAATGGTCTAAACTGAGATTGTGTGATGACAGCTACACAACTGTATGAGTACAGTGAAAACCACTGAGTGTTCACTTAGTGTACACTCAGTGAAATGGGTGAATTTTATGGTATGTAATTTACATACCATAAAATTATTTTAAAAAATTATATAAACACTATATAAAATTAAAAATGTTTTTAAAATTATTATCTGCTGTATGCCAGGCTCTGGGTTGGCCCTAGACCTACAGAGATGATTCAGATATTGTCTCTACCCCATCAAGCTTCCAGGCTAATGGAAAGAGGAGACATGGAAACCAGCCATTGGAGTGAAGTGTTCACACCAAGAGGGATGCATGCTGTGCAACCAAGTCCAGAGCCTAGAAGAACGAGGACTCACTCCAGCTCCCTATCCTACCATGAGGCTGCCTCAGAAGTGCCAGGCTCTACCCTCACCAAGACTGGGCCTCCAAGATACCCAGAGTACCAGAGCTATAGATACCATCATTTTCCGCACATCAAAGCCTTTACTGGTAAAGGGGACACAGAATTGAGCTCTTAAGGTAAGAGTATCTCATCCCCAGCCTGGTTGAGGCTCCATCAAACAAAAGAATGACAGAAAGGGGAATATGTCTTAGGGCTTAATTTATGGGTTGTTTCCTGGGATGCCTGCCCGAATCCTATTCCAACCTGGATGGAATGATTCCGAAGAAAAACCCAAGAGACATGCTGATAGAAAACAAAGGGGATGCTCAGTGAAAAGTTTAAAAGCAATTAATTTTAAATGATTACAGCTTTACCGAAAGCTGTGGCTATGATTTCCTTCTGACTTTGATTATAACCTTCCAGCAAAATATTTGCCTCAAGAAGCCAGAGTCTTTGCATTATTTTCTATTCCTAGCATGACTACAAAAATATTCTTTGATTTAACTTTTGATATGTTTTGTTCTCAAGGGCAAGCCCCATGAGAAGAAAAATGTACCCCAACAGAATGAAATATGACTACCTGCTTCCATTTTTCTTTCCTGTTGGTTCCTGCTCAAATATTCTGCATTAATTTAAACTCAAGGCTGTGTCTCTGATGTTGCGCTACTCCCACACTGTCACCCAAGCTAAAGCAAAATCACCCGCTGTCCAGCGCCAAGAGAAGGTGCCGCAGACAAAGCTCAACTTGAGTCTCCTGGAGAGAGTTAAAGGCACTCCAGTGTATGGGGAGATCAGGTGGGGTCAGAGAGCAATAAGGTACCAGGCAAAACAAGAAAACTTGTACTTGAATAGTGGTACACTTTAGTGCTGAGTGAGGCAGACTCTATTGAACATAAGAGTCTTTGAAGCAAGTGAAGGCAAGCAACTCCAGTGTCAGCCTCAGCTTTAGTTGGTGGTAGAGGACGTCGAAGAAGCAGTACTGGAGAGTAGAATCTTCTAGTTATGGTGTGTACCTTTCAGTGAAGAAGAGAAAGAAACAGCTCTCACTGGATGGGCACAAAGAAACAGGGAACTAAGGCCTGATGGATACTAGGAACTAAAGAAGTAAAGCTGAAGAAAGCATTTCCACTTAGAACTCCTTCAAATATGCCTCAGTATTTTAGGACAAACATACATAATTACCACAATTTCACATAATATATTCCTACACAGATTCTCCTGAAAAGACTAGGGGTAAAGAAAACCAAAAGTGGTGTTTGGTTTGTTTGCTTTTGCATTAGAGTAACACCCAAATTCCTCAAGGACACCAAGGCCTACCTGGTCAAGCCCCCAGTATGTTATTTCTGCCTGGAGCAGGCTGCTTTCCGGGGATATGTGCAGATGCCTAACGGGTATCACAAAAAAATCTGGTTGAAATTCATTCACACACAAGAACCCCTTGTTTCATTTACGAGTCAAGAGAGGGCATCTGCAGAAAGAATGAAGGGCACACACCTCAATAAAACAGATGAAAGGGGAAGAGCCTTCTCCACATGGGCGCCAAGAACACAGAAGGCTGGAAAAAAGGAAAAGGCAAAGTCGCTTAAGTTTTACAAAGAATGTTCTCTCCAGGCTGCAGAGACAAAAATCTTGTAGGCTCTTGGATGTTTCTCTCCTTCAAGGAGAGTAACCTGAGTCAGACTTAGAAGTCTTTTGCAGCCCTCCTCAGCTCTTGGCAGGGAGGGCTCAGAGAGGGTCAGACCCACGCAGGAGGCACCGCTAAAATAGTGTGTACAGAAGGCAAGAGGTCCAGGCGACAAGTAGCAGTGCTGTTCATTAACAACCGAAACAAAAGACTGGGAGACAATACACTGTTAATCCTCACAGCCACCAGAGGACTATAAATTGCCAAGCCAAGATACCAGCATTTTTCAGCCCTCCTCTTTCCTGCCAGAGTTAGATTGAGGATGAGTCTAAGTCCCTCACACCCACCCAAGTCTTTAAAACATACATTACTGAATCTTTTTGAAGTTGTAACCCTGAAAGATTTATACTCTAAAATGGATTCAAGAAAAATACTGCTCTGAACCACTACAGGGGGCTGGAATGGACGGGTACACTTTTTCATTCACACTGAGAATGCCAGCGTATGGGCTGTGCAGTCAGATCAATATGGGTTCAAACCTAGTTCTGACACTTACTAACTGGGTTCCCTGACCTCTGAGCCATGGTTTTTTATCTGTAAAATGGGAATAGCAACTCTTACCTCCTAGGAATAGTGTGAAGATTAAACAAACAAATCAAAAAAACAGCATACAGACAAGCACTAAATAATGGTAAGTACAATTATCACTGTTAACCCCACAGCACCACTTAGTTTTATCTGTGGCCACATGCATCAAGGGAGATAAAACCCAATTTTCTCTAAGTTAAGATAGGATTCGTGTGTGTGTGTGTGTGTGTGCGCGTGTGTGTGCGCACACAGTGGAATTAGAGCCAGCTTTAATTTAAGATATATTAAACTTCAGAGATATCATCACAGAACTCAGACAACTGTTATAATTTCCTTCTCCTGGGAATAACATATTCCACAGGGGGTCTAAATCTTTCACAGTAGCAAGGAACTCTAACAAGAGCCCGATCTCCCAGGGATGCCAGGTGCAGGTGCAGCTAGAGAAAACCACACCTGCTGCCAGTGGGAATCCCTGCCCAGCAATCCTGCAACTTTCTATCAAAAGCTCAGCCCAATCATATCACACACCTGCTTTAACAGCCTTCCAAGGAGCTCCAGGACCCTTAGGAAAAATCTACACTAAGGGCCATTCTCTAGGGTCTGGCCCTGCCAACCCTTCTAGCTTCATCTTTAGCACACCTCCCACACACCACGCCGATTTCCAGCCATGCCTAAATGCTGGCAGTCATCTCTGATGTTGAGACACAATGGCATGTTTAAGGCTCAGAGCCTTGCCCTTGCCTAGGAAAGAAAAAGTGAGTTACTCCTGCTTTTGCCCTTGTGCAAAGAACTCCAGAAGATCACTTTGTACACAGCAGTGTCTTCCGGGTTCTGATGTAAGCTCCTAAAGGGGAGGACAAAGAACCAACCTGCATAATTCACTACAGGCCAGGCCCTAAGCTAGTTGCCTTCTGTCCACTAACCCACAAAGAAGGTTCTCTGCTCACTAAAACTGGCTAGCCCAGGAGCTGGTACACAGGCTTCATTCATCCAGAACTTACTAAATACCTATCCTATGCCAGGCTCTGGCCCAAGTGCTGAGAACACTGGTGAATGAGACAGACAAGGTTCCTGCTCTGGTCTCATGGAGCTCACATTCTAGCAGAGGACAGATACTCAACAAGTAAACACATGAAGAACGTCAGGTAGTGAAAAGGGCTGCTGGGGCAATGAAACAGGGACATGAGAAAGTATGAGGGGGTGAGGGTTGAAGAGACAACTTTAGATAGGTGGGGCAGGAGAGGCTGCTGAGGAGGTGCCATTAAAGCAGAGACTTAAGGAGCCAGATGTACCAAACAGAGGCAACAACAGGTGCAAATGTCCTGAGGGAAGCAGCTGGTGGGCCCACTGGAGGAAGAGAAATGAGGCCACCGTGACTGAAGGTCAGAGTGGGGAGCAGTCGTTGATGGGATCGTTGATGGGATCAGAGGAAAGCAGAGCCAGACCATTGTCCTATGGGCCATAAAGTGGCTGGATTTTACTCCAAGCACAATGAGAACTCACTGGAAAGTCTTGTCAAGTGTAGGGCTGACATGATCTGATGAACACCTGTAAAAGGAGAGCAATGCCCACTGTGCAGAGAATGAATCAGAGGGAGGAGGAGAATAAGCAGGCAGGGGGCAGAACTGTAGAAGTCCAGGTGCCATAAGCCAGGATGGCCTTGGGGGCCATTTCAAGAAGGCAAAGATGCCCACAAGTTTGTGGACCATGAGGTGAAATGAAGGTATTAACCAGATCCAGGTTAGGGGTGGCGGAGTTAGGTTCCAACACTAGCCCAAGGCACTTTGCTTGGGTTTCCTCATCTGAGAAATAAGACTAACTAACACTCCCACCACACAGGGTGGTATTGCATAGATGCAAGTTCCTGGCAACAGGCCTGGGCCCGAGCAGGCACTCAATGGGGAACACCTTCTCTTTACAAGAAAAACATTGTTTTTTCTCAATTCCCTGAAAAGGAAGGTGGGTCTCTGATGTATTCAAGGAAGAATGGTAGCAGCCTTGGTCTCAGCATTCCATTCCACTCAGGCCATATTTTAAGAAGATAAATCTCCCTACTCCAGAGATGAGACAAAAGATAAGCAACAATGTACATACAAAAATAAGTTCTTCTACAGTTTTAGTCGAAATAAAAAACTTGCCAAATTCTTCAGGGCATTACAATTGGTTATATAGGACCAGGCAAGTGCTGAAACTTTTTTGCAATATGAAGAGCTTCTCTACAAATGAGGCTTACCTCAAAGATATTGTGCATTCAGTTCCAGACCACTGCAGCACAGTGAATATCACAATAAAGCAAGTCAAATTTTTTGGTTTCCCAATGTGTATAAAAGTTATGTTTACATGACATGTCGTCAATTAAGTGTGCAATAGTAGTATGTCTCAAAAAACAATAAACATTCCTTAATTTTAAAATAATTCATTGCTAAAAAATGCTAATGATTACTGAACCTTCAGCAAGTCATAATCTTTTTGCTGGTGGAGGGTCTTGCCTCAGTGGTGATGGTTGCCGACTGATCAGGGTGGTGGTTGATGAAGGTTGGGGTGACTGTGGCAATCTAATGAAATAAGACAATGAAGTTTGCCACATCAGGTGACTCTTCCTTTTACAAAAATTTATCTGTAGCATGTGAAGCTGTTTGATGGCATTTTACTCACAGAATTGCTTTCAAAACTGGAGTCAGTCCTCTCAAATCTTGCCACTGCTTTATCAACTAAGTTTATGTAATATTCTAAATCCTTTGTTGTCATTTCAACAATGTTTACAGCATCTTCACCAGGAGTAGGTTCCATCTCAAGAAACTACTTTCTTTGCTCATGCACAAGAAGCAACTCCTCATCCACTCAAGATTGATCATGAGATTGTAGCAATTCAGTCATATCCTCAGGCACCACTTCTCATTCTAACTCTCTTGCTATTTCTACCACATCTGCAGTGACTTGCTCCACTGAAGTCTTGAACCCCTCAGTCATCCATGAGGGTTGGAATCAACCTCTTCCAAATTATTGTTACTGTTGATATTTTTACCTCCTCCCATGAATCACAAATGTTCTTTATGGCATCTAGAATGATAAATCCTTTCCAGAAGGTTTTCAATTTACTTTGTCCAGATCCATCAGAGGAATTATTATCTTGGGCAGCTATGGCCTTATGAAATATATTTCTTAAATAATAAGACCTGAAAGTCAAAATTACTCCTTGACCCATACACTGCAGAATGGATGCTGTGTTAGCAAGCATGATAACAAATTAATCTCTTTGTACATCTCCATCAGAGCCATTAGGTGACCAGGTGCATTATCAACAATCAGTAATATTTTGAAAGGAGTATTTTTTCTAAGCAGTAGGTCTCAACAGTGGGCTTAAAATATTCAGTAAACCATGCTATAAACAGATGTGCTGTCATCCAGGCTGCGTTGTGCCATTTCAAGAGCACAGGCTGAATAGATTTAGCATAATTCTTAAGGGCCCTAGGATTTTTGGAATGGTCAATGAGCAATGGCTTCAGCTGCATTAGCCCCTAACAAGAGTCAGCCTGTCCTTTGAAGCTTTGTACCCAGTCATTGACTTCTCTGTAGCTATGAAAGTCCTACATAGCATCTTCTCCATATAAGGCTGTTCCATCTACAGTGAAAATCTGTTTAGTGTACTCACCTTCATCAATGATCTTAGCTAGATCTCCTGGATAACTTGCTGCAGCTTCTCTATCACCATTTGTTGTTTCATCTTGTACATTTATGTTCTGGAGATGGCCTCTTTCCTCAAACCTCATGAACCAACTTCTGCTAGCTTCAAACTTTTCTTCTGCAGCTTCCTTACCTCTCTCAGCCTTCATAGAATTGAAGAGTTAGGGCCTTGCTCTGGATTAGGCTTCCACTTAAGGGAATGTGGTAGCTGGTTTGATTTTCTATCCAGACCACTAAAACTTTCTCTATAAAGCAATAAAGCTGTCTTGCTTTCTTATCATCTGTGTGTTCACTACAGTAGCACTTTTAATTTCCTTCAGGAACTTTTCCTTTGCGTCCAAAACTTTGCTGTTTGGTGTGGTGTAAGAGGCCTTGCTTTCAGCCTATCTCAGTCTTCAACATTGCCTTCATCACTAAGCTTAATCATTTCTAACTTTTGATTTAAAGTGAGAGACTTGCAACTCTTCCTTTCCCTTGAACGCATAAAGGCTATTAGCTGGATGAATTTTAATATTGTTGTGTCTCAGGGAATAGGGAGGCCTGAGGAGAGGGAGACAGACAGGGAAAAAGCCAGTAGGTAGAACAGTCAGAAAACACACAACATTTATTAAGTTTGCTGCCTTACATAAGCATTGTTTGTGACATTTCAAAATTACAATAGTAACATCAAAGATCACTGATCCCAGATCACCATTAACAGATGACATGTGTTTGAAATGAAGTGAAATGTTTGATGCTTAATATTTGATGAAAAGTTTGAAATATTGTTAAGAATAACCCAAATGTGGCATAGAGACACAAAGTAAGCAATGCTGTTGGATGGGTTGCCTTGAACCTTCGATTTGTAAAAACCACTATCTGCAAAGTACAATCAAGTGAAGCACAATAACATGAGGTATGCACGTATGTTGGAAGCGGATGAGGGAACTATAGGGTAACCTGGGGAAGCATGCAAAGGACTCCAGCTTTGGAGTCAGGCAGACCTGGACTGTTTCACTAACTACCTGCCTCCCTAAGTCCCAATTTTCTCAACTATTAAATGGTAACCACCACGCTCCTTGCAGGGTTTGCCTGGTAAGCAGCAAATACACAAGAAAAGTCAAGCCAATAAATAGTTGTGTGGTTACCACTATCTTCCAGTTGGAGCAAGGTCCAGAATTAGGTTCAAACGTCATACAGCTAAGGAAGAAAGCAAGCTAGGCTTCAAGCCCAGTTTTGTCTGACTCCAAAAGTATGTCCTTCACCACTCATCTACCCTATTTACTAGACAACACTAAAAACTCGCCATCTCATTTTTTAACCTCTGCCTTCCACCTCCAGTCTGGACTGGCTCAGAGTCCATGTTCTAAAATGTACTTTGATGTGACCAAACAGAATTCAGTTATAAGGGGGCAGGGAGGAATGGGTAGAGAATTGTGTGCCCCTTGAAATTCACCTGACTGAAACATGGATTGAGGAGAAGACTTTAGATAGTGTGACCCTGAGCAAGTCCCTTCACTTCTTCAAACTTCTATTTCCTCTACTGTAAAATGGGGAAATGATCTCAGACTGCCTGTAACATGAAACAGTTGGGAGGTAACAAAGATGAAGTACTGTACTTAACAAGCTCACCATTATAGCTGGGACCCAGAATGCCCAGTGACCAATGAGGCCATCTGCCACCAAGCCAATTATCATCTGCCCAATATATATTCCCATGTGTGGCATACAGAATATTGCTGGAAGGAAACACAAGAAAATGGGAACAGAAAGGTAATCAGGTACTGGGGTCAGCAGTGAGAAGTATACTTCTTTAGCTATATACCCTTTTATACCATGTGTTTATATTATTGTATCATTTTTTCTAAAAACAAAACATGTTTTAAAACTCTATCCATATATTTAAGTGG
Organism: Homo sapiens; assembly: GCF_000001405.40. Classification (NCBI taxonomy): domain Eukaryota; kingdom Metazoa; phylum Chordata; class Mammalia; order Primates; family Hominidae; genus Homo; species Homo sapiens. The sequence continues at coordinate 24,557 of NW_019805490.1, read as the reverse complement.
AGTTAAATGGGTCTGGAAAAGTAATCCACAAAGGTATAATAATGGTCTTTTCAGCCAGGCACAGTGGCTCACACCTGTAATCCCAGCACTTTGGGAGGCCGAGGCATGGGGATCACGAGGTCGAGATCAAGACCATCCTGGCCAATATGGTGAAACCCCATGTCTACTAAAAATATAAAAATTAGCCAGGTGTGGTGATGTGCACCTGTAGTCCCAGCTACTTGGGAGGCTGAGGCAGGAGAATCGCTTGAACCGGGGAGAAAGAGGTTGCAGTGAGCCAAGATTGCACCACTGCACTCCAGCCTGGTAACAGAGCGAGACTCCATCTCAGAAAAAAACAAAAAAACAAAAAAACAAAAAACGGGTCTTTTCATTTGCAGAGATAGGAGGGGTACAGAATTTAGGACAGAGGAGTGGGTAAGGGAATGTTTGTCTTATTTGTGATGTTCTATTTCTTCACAAGTAGCATGTATTCATGTATTACATGTATAATTAAAAATTAATGGTACCTCTTTGTGGGGCATTTTGGCAGTACCCACCACGACCGAAAACACACATGCCCCTTGCCCCAGCCAGTTATTATCTATTATCCTACATATATGCGAACATACCAAAGAGTTCTGTTCTAGAATATTCACTGCAAAATGGTTTGTAAATACTGGAAACAGCATAAACGTCCATCATTAAAAGATTTGTTCAGAAAATGTTGGTACAGGCCGGACGTGGTGGCTCACGCCTGTAATCCCAGGACTTTGGGAGGCCAGGGCGGGCGGGTCATGAAGTCAGGAGTTTGAGACCAGCCTGACCAACATGGTGAAACCCGTCTCTACTGAAAATACAAAAAAATTAGCCGGGCGTGGTGGCGCGCGCCTGTAATCCCAGCTACTCAGGAGACTGAGGCAGGACAATCGCTTGAACCCAGGAGGCGGAAGTTGCAGTGAGCCGAGATCGTGCCACTGCACTCCAGGCTGGGCGACAGAACAAGACTCTGTCTCAAAAAGAAAAAAAAAAAAAGAAAAAGAAAATGTTGGTACAAGGGTGCAGTTGAATTCTATGTGAGCTTTAAAAAGAATGATGTAGCTTTGTGTACAGATATGGGGCACTCTCCAGACACAATGTTGAGTGAAATCGTGTCTAAAAGGATGAGGGAAAGAGGGATTTATACATACACACAGATATGCTTGTATTGACGTGGAGCCTTTCTGAAATGATATACAAAAACTGGTAGCAGCGGTTGGCTCTAGGAACGGGAATCAGACCAAATGACAGGTGAATGAAGACAGCCTTTGTATGTATACCCTTTTTGTAGCTTGTGAGTTTTCTTATTTTGAGTTTTCTTTACTTGACCATGTATTATAAACACATTTGGTAGGGATTTTTTGATTTTTTTTTTTTTTTTTTTTAAGGAAGGCGCCTTGCAGCTCGGTTCTGCTGGATGGGAAAAGCTGAATCTCAAAGCCTCCGCTCACTTGCTGCGGAGCCCTAGGCAAGTCACGTCCGCCTCTTGGAGCGTCAGGAGCCCCACCAATGAGGTGGGGCGATTTCCCGTCCCGGCAAAGGCTCGAGCGAATTCGGACACGGGGCCCGGTCGCTCCGCCCGCGTCCCTGAGCCCGGCTCCCGCCCCGGCCCGCGCTCACCGCCGATGATGGTCCGGATGAGGGAGGCGTGCCCGGGGCAGTCGACCAGCGTGACCTGAAGCAGTGGCTCGCCGGGCTCGGGCTCGGCCTCGGGCGCTGCCTGGAACTCGGGCAAAGACGACCGCAGGCGCGCGGGCAGCGGCACCGAGAAGCACGAGAAGCCCAGATCGAGCGTGATGCCGCGCTCGCGGCTCTGCGGCTGCTTGTCAAAGGCGGCGGTGGAGGCTGTGGTGCTTAGCGCCCGCGCCAGCGCCGTCTTGCCGCTGTCGATGTGGCCCAGCACGCCCACGTTCACGTTCACCCGCCGCCCTGCCATGCCGCCGCCGCCGCCTCGGACACCCGCCCGGCCCGCCCCTCACCTCCCTCGGTAGTCGCCGCGGTCCGGCCCGTTAAGTTGCCCCCCCGTAACCGGCGCGCTGTGCACACCCGTTCCGGCCCGGAAGCTTCCGCCCTCCTGAGGCTCACGGGCACAGCCGAGCGCCGTGCTCCGACTGGGTGGTCTAGGAACTGGAGGTCACCGTAGGCAGGGTTTCTCTCTCACGTGGCTCCTCCTGCCTGAAGCCTCTAGGAGCCCGAGATGGAGGGATCCTTCTGAGAAGTGAAGCCATTTGGACTTTCTGGGTGAGTGGAGACTTGGAGAACTTTTCTATAGCTATCAAGAGGATTGTAAAATGCACCAATCAGCGCTCTGTAAAACGCACCAATCAGTGCTCTGTAACATGCACCAATCAGCAGGATCCTAAAAGAAGCCAATCACAGGGAGGATTGAAAAAAGGGCGCTCTGATAGGACAAAAACGGAACATGGGGGGGCGTGGGGGAGGGGGCAAATAAGGGAATAAAAGCTGGCCACCCCCGCCAGCAGCAGCAACCCTCTCAGGTGCCCTTTCGCATTGCAGAAGCTTTTTGCTCTTCACAATAAATCTTGCTGCTGCTCACTCTTTGGGACTGTGCCATCTTTAAGAGCTTTAACACTCACTGCGAAGGTCCGCGGCTCCATTCTTGAAGTCAGCGAGACTAGGAACCCACTGGAAGAAACCAACTCCGGACACACTTCCAATCATTCATACATTTCAGCAAGATCTTACCAAGTGCCTGGTGGGTTCCGCTGGGCTACAGTGCCCGCTAATATTACATTCAGGGGGTGAGGGCTAAGTCAAACAATACAGCCTGAACCAGACCATTTCAGAGAGCGAGAAGTCTCCTAGGGAAAATAAAAGCTGAGATAAAAAGGAGCAGGAGAGGGAGGATGGACAGCTACCTAACTGTGGGTCAGGGAAGACATCTAGGAGTTGCTGTTTGAGTTGAAACTCCAGTGTTGAGAAGGAGCCAACCATGGGAAAAGATGGTTTGAAGATGGAAGAGGACAACATTATCTCTGACTCAGAAATTCTCACCCTGAGAGTCTGTAGCCTGGGCTTAGGAGAGGCCACAAACCTCTAAATTGAACGCACAATGTGTTGTGATGTGCTCTTGCTAGACAGAGGGTCGACAACTCTCACTAGATTCTGAAGTGTCTAGAACCACAAAAAAGGTTGTCAGCCATAGTCACCAACCAGAGGTAACAAACCTAAGTGTCTGCTCTGGCCAGGTGGTGGGTAAATCAAAGAAGAGAAGTTAAAACAGTCTAAGATGACAGGGAGTGGTGGGGACCTGGGAGACCTGGAGAGCCCTTTTCCTGTGCAAAGAGGGAAGCCACTGCTCAGTCTCAGCCAGTGATACCAGGCAGGAATGCTAGCCCAACATTGCCTCCTCCTTCCATTTTTCTGGAGAAGAGAGTGTTTTTGTAACACTGTGGCGGTGGAGCACAAAGTTCACAGGATCTTACCTTTGCCCTCTGTGATGAGCCAGACCATGTGCGGATGTATTCATGCTTGCAGTAACTGCCTCCTTCGTTCCACCACTCTCCACTAGGAACAGAGTCCATGTCATAGACTGAATTGTGTCCCTCTCAAATTCATATGTGGACACCCTGACCCCCAGTGTGATAGTATTTGGAGATGGGACGTTTGGGAGGTTAGATGAGATCATGAGAGCGGGCCCTTGTGATGGGATTAGGGTCCTTACAAGAAGAGAACAGAATCTTTGTTTCCGTTTTCCCACCTTGCAAATAGGAAACTGTAAAAATACGCCTCCCATTAAAAAAAATCTAGTAGTAAAAGCAGTAAACGTATTTAAAAGGGAGGGTTAGTAAATAGGTAATAAGAGCTTTAGAGGCTTTATGTACCTCTGAGAAATATTTCAACTAACAAAGACTTTGTACAGGGCCTGGCTTCAAATAAACCTCATTTCTTACCTCTGTTTTAAACAGAATCCTGAAATGGTAATGAAAAGAAAAAAGGTTTGGCTGGGCACGGTGGTTCATGCCTGTAATCCCAGCACTTTGGGAGGCTGAGGCAGGCAGATCACTTGATATAGTTTATATATCTATATATAGAATATATATAGATTTTATATATAGATATATAGAGTATATATATATAGAATATATATAGTGTATATATAGAATATATAGAGTATATATAGAATGTATATAGAGTATATATAGAATATATATAGAATATATAGAATATATATAGAATATATATAGAATATATACAGAATATATATAGAATATATAGATATATAGAGAATATATAGAGAACATATAATATATATAGAATATATAGAATATAGAATATATATTATATATATAATATATAATATAATATATATAATATATATAGAATATATAATATATAATATATAGAATATATAATATATATAATATATAGAATATATTATATATAATATAGAATATTATATTATATATATAGAATATATATATAGAATATATATAGAATATATAATATATAGAATATATATAGAATATATAATATATAGAATATATAATATATAGAATATATATAGAATATATAATATATAGAATATATATAGAATATATAATATAGAATATATATAGAATATATAATATATAGAATATATATAGAATATATAATATATAGAATATATATAGAATATATGTATAGAATATGTATAGAATATATGTATAGAATATATATATAGAATATATATATTCTATTAGTTCTGTCAAATATATATATTCTGTGGAATATATATATGGAATATACATATATACATATGGAACATACATATATACATATGGATGTATATTCCATACAATGGAACATACATATATATATATATAATGGAATATATATACACATATATGGAATATATATACATATATGTATACATATTCCAAGATGGAAGAGGACAACATTATCTCTGACTCAGAAATTCTCACCCTGAGAGTCTGTAGCCTGGGCTTAGGAGATATATATATATTCCATGTATATTCCATTAGTTTTGTCCCTCTAGAGAATCCTGACTAATACAAATCTTCTAACAAATATTCTAACAAATATTGATTGAACACCTGCTGTGTGGCAGACATGATATTTTGGAGGGATACAACTGTGGATGAATAAGGCAAATAATGATGAAGTGCTTTGGGAGAAATAAGGCAGCATGGCTGAGAGTTACTGGTGCAAGGGAGGAGGATGCTTATTAAGGGAGAGGCATTTGAGCTGACAAAGATGCAAGAGAAGGGCCAGGCTGCACAGAACCGAGGGAAATTGATGAAAGAACGTGCTGCACAGAGAAAACAGCAGGCTCAGAGACAGCAGCAACCTAAGCCATGTGGCACGTGGCGAGGTGGGGCTGAAGAGAAGAAGCTGCATGCTAAGCATATCCTGAAAATGTCTTTCAAAGTATGGTTTTAGCCTGGTGGTGTGGCCTTCTGAAGCATCAAAGGCAGAAGCTCTGGAAAGCTGGCCAGAGGCCAAAGCCAGACTTCCCCAGAAAACAGAATCTCACCAATGCTGAGATTGGTGTTACAACATCACCGAAGTCTCCCTCCTTGTGTGGGCTCTGGTTGTGTGGCTGGCCCAAGGGTCTCAGAAACAGATTCCCATGGAGAGAAACCATTGAGACTCACTCCTTCCTCCAGACAGTTGCTCTGGAAGCGTTTCAGGCCCCAGCCTCTTGTTCTTTTGGGCCCCAAGGAAAGTAGTCTTCATGAAAAGGCATGTTCTAGTACCAAGTATTTCTTTTCTATATTGTATGTAGTAGCAAAATATTATAAACAAAGTAAATGTCCTTAAAAAGAATAATTATGGTAAGTTTGAAATTATATCAAGACAAAGGCCAGGCATAGTGGCTTACACCTGTAACCCCAGCACTTTGAGAGGCGAAGGCGGGCAGATCACTTCAGGCCAGAAGTTCAGGACCAGCCTGGCCAACATGGCAAAACCCCGTCTCTACTAAAAGTACAAAAATTAGCCAGGCATGGTGGTGCATGCCTGTAATCCCAACTGCTCGGGAGGCTGAGGCACGAGAATTGCTTGAACCCGGGATGCAGAGGTTGCAGTGAGCCATGATCGCACCACTGCACTCCAGCCTGGGCAACAGAGTCTTGCTCTGTCAAAAAAAAAAAAAAGAAAGAAAGAAAGAGGAAAGAAGAGAAATTATATCAGATACAAAGCTACCAAAAAGAAAAGAAAGAAAGGAAAGGAAAAGAAGAAAGAAAAAAGAAATTATATCAGACACAAAGCTACCAAAAATCATAATTTAAAAGAGGAGTGTGTGGCAGTCTAGACTGGCCCTGAGTTGATCATTGTTGGGTAATGGGTCTTGGGGGTTCATTATTCTGTCTACATTTTTGATATGTTCAAAGTTTTCCATAATGAAAAACTGTAAATAGAAAAAGAGAGATCATGGTCTGTCTATACTGTGGAATACGATGCAGACTTTGAAAAGAACAAAGAAGCTGTTTGTACACTACTTGGGAACAATCTCTAAGATAATATTGGTAACTGAAAAAATAGGGTGCACACTAGTGTGTGTAGCATGTTTGCATTTATGAAAAATGCACTCTCTCTATATATGTGCTTGTACAAGTACAGAATAGCCCTACAAGGATACATAAGAGATGGATAACAGCAGACACAAGAAGGTCCCAGGGCTCAGCCCTCCAACTTTCTCTCTATATGTTTACTCCCTGGTGATGTCTATGTCTCTTGGCGTTACAAGCCATTGACTCCCAAATTCAGGTTCTGTGTGTGAGCCTGCAGCTAGGAGCCTCCCCCTCCTAACTGCAGGCTCACATACACAACCTGAATGTGTAATAGGCATCTCAAACTTACATGTCAAGGTCAGAATTTCTGGTTTTACCCTCCACTCCACTCCCATCACAGTGAATGAGAACTGCATCCTCCCAGTTTTTTAAGCAGCAAACTGGCTCAGTTCTTGACTCCTCTCTTTCTTTCATACACCACATCCAATTCATTAAAAAATTCTGTTGGTTTTACCCTTAGAATCCAATCCCCTCTGAACATCTCTACCATCAGCACTTGATCTAAGCCATCATCTCTTCACCTGGATTACTGCAACAGTAAAATTCACCCTTGTTGGTGTACGGCTCTATGAGCTTTGGCCAATGCATGATATCAGGTAATCACCATCACAATCAAGATACAAAACAGACTCAACCCTCAAAAAAAAAAAGCCCTTTATGATCAACCCCTCCTACACCTTTAACCTCTGGCAGATAGTTATCTATGTTCTCTGTCTCTACAGGCTTTGCCTTTTCCAGAACATCATATAAGTGGAAGCAAACAGTAGGTAACCGTTGGGGTCCAGCTTCTTTCACTTAGCATAATGCATTTGAGATTTATCCATGTTGTTGTGTATAACTGCAGTGTGTGGTCCTTTTTATCACTGTGTAGTATTCCATCATATGGATGGATCATCATTTGGTTGCCCAGTCACCTGTTGAAGGGCATTTGGGTTGTTTCCAGGTTTTGGCTATTATAAAGCTGCTCTAAACACTTATGTATAGGTTTTATGCCAACATAAGTTTCACTCAGGTAAATACCAAAAGTGAGATTGTTGGGTCATATGGCAAGTGGGTTTTAACTTTATAAGAAACTGCTGAACTGTTTTCCAGAGTGGCTGTATCATTTTACATTCCCGCAGCAATGTATAAGAGTTTCGCTTGCTCAGCATCATCAGTTGTATTTGGTATTGTTGAGTGTCTTGTTTTTGTTTTTGTTTTAGAGATGGGGTCTCACTCTGTCATCCAGGCTGGAGTGCAGTGGCATAATCATAGCTCACTGCAGTTTCAAACTCCTGGGCTCAAACCATCCTCCCGCCCCAGCCTCCTGGGTAGCCTAGCCAATTTTTAAAATTTTTTGTAAAGATGGAGTCTCATTATGTTACCTAGGCTGTTTTGTTTTGTTTTTAATTTTAGCTTTTCTTGCAGGATGTGGTGGCTCATGCCTGTAATCCCAGCATTTTGGGAGGCCAAGGTGGGAAGATCATTTGAGCCCAGGAGTTGGAGACCAGCCTGGGAAACACAGTAGGGCTCCACCTCTACAAAAAACACAAAAATTAGCCAGGTATGGTGGCACATGCCTGTGGTCTCAGCTACTCAAGAGGCTGAGGTGCGCGGATCCCTTGACCCCAGGAGGTCAAGGCTGCAGTGAGCCGATTGTGCCACTGCACCCCAGCCCGGGCAACAGAGCAAAACCTTGTCTCAATAATAATTATAATGTTGGCCTTTCCAATAGGTGTGTTGTGGTATCTCATCATGGTTTTAATTTACTGAAGCTGTTCTTTTACTAGGACTCCCTGCATCTGCTCTTGTTCTCCTATAGCCTGTTCTGCTTACAGAAGCTGGAGTGAGCCTTTATCTCCTCATCTCACTTGGACGAGGAGCCACAGTCCTTACAGCAGCACAGTGGCAGGCAAATGGGGCCATGCACACTCACAGAGACACAAACGCACACAAGTGCGCACACACACAGATGCATGCACACACACACAGACACATGGACACACGTGCACACGCACAGAGACACACAGATGTACGTACACACACGTGCACACAGCGGCAGGCAGATGGGGCCATGCACACGCACAGAGACACATGTGCATGCACACAGATGCACACGCAAACACGTGCACACGCATGAGACACACACGCATACATGCACGCACACACAGACGTGCACACAGCGGCAGGCAAATGGGGCCATACACACACATAGAGATACACAGACGCACATGCACACGCCCGTGCACACGCACAGAGACACACACACACAGATGCACGCACACACACGTGCTCACAGCGGCAGGCAAATGGGGCCATACACACACATAGAGATACACAGACGCACATGCACACGCCCGTGCACACGCACAGAGACACACACACAGATGCACGCACACACACTTGCTCACAGCAGCAGGCAAATGGGGCCATGCATAAGCACAGAGACACACGCACACATGCACACACACACACAGACGCACGCACATGCACAGAGACACACATACACACACATACACACACCATGCTACCTTCCTGAACTCATCTCCTGTTTTCTTCTGGCTCCAGCCACACTGGCCCCCTTGCTGTTACTCAAAGCCCCCAAGCATGGACCAGAGCATTTTTCTCCCAAACCTCTAAATGGCTCACCCCTCACCTCCTCCAAGTTCAACTGTCACGTCCTGCATTAGCCCTGCCCTGGACAGCCTCTCTAAAAGTACAGCCCCCTCCCTACTCCTGATCCCCCTTATCCTGCTCCAGTTTCTCCTTTGCGCATATCACCTTTGAACATACGTGTATGGTTTATTTCCTTATTATGTTCATTCCTCATTATCTGCTTCCCCCTGGGTTTAGCACAGTGCATATAGGTGGTGCTCAATAAATGTTATCTCCAGGGAGGGGAACAGGTTGGCTGGAGGGAAGACAGAAAGACATTTTACTTGAAATACATTGGCATTTTTTGAATTTTAAATCATGTGAAAGTATTACCTATTCAATAAGTAAATTTTTTAAAATTTGAAAAAGTGTCCTAAAGGCACCAGTAGGACTAAGATTCCTTAGTTTGTAGTCCCCAAGGGAAGAGTTACAAATGCTTTATCACTGTCACCTGTGGATAGACTGACTCCTCACCCCACCCCAGCTCACCCTGCCATGCTCCTCTCCGTTTCTCTCCCTGTGCCTGGTGACCCTGAACCTGTGAAATCCTGCACACACACACCGTGCCCATCCACCCCACCCCAACACTCGCCCGCGGGCTACTTCCTTGGGCTGGCACGCCCTCTGGAAGCTTCCTCAGACCTCTGGGGGCTGGATTGGCTACCTCCATGTCATGTTCTGCACAGTCATGCTTTTTGAGGACAAATGACAGAAACTCACAGTGAAACTGACTTAAGCAAAAAAGGGAACATGCTGGCCCATGGTGTAGTGAAAAGCACAGACACTGCTTGTGTCCAGTCCTGCTCCCACCAGCTGGAAATTGTGGAGCCTTGGGCACATTACAAAACTGCTTTGTGCCTCAGTTTCTTCATTTGTCAAATGGGGCATAATACTTCCTAACTCACAGGGTAATGATGATTATATGAATTGGTATGTCTATAGCACTTAGAGCAATTCCTGGTATATTAATAAGTGCTATATCAGAGTTTGTGAATTTAAATAAATAAACCTAGCTAAAAAGTCTGGGGGAAGAGCTTGCTTCATCCAGGGGCTCAGATGACAACATGAAGACACTGACTTTGTCTCTTTCTCTCCGTTCCTCCTTCCTCTGAGTTGTCACCATTCCCAGACAGGCTCCCCCCTCACAATGACAAAGTGGCTGTCAGCAGCTCCACAAAGTCCCCAAACCAAGTCTCCTTGGCCCTGATGAAGTCATGTGCCCCTGCACCAAGAGAGAAATCCAGTGCTCTGCCTAGCCAGGTGTGGGTCATGAGCCCACCCCAAGAATGGGGGGAAGGAGGGACCAGGGGATCCCCTACAGGAAATGGAGAGCTGTTCCCAGCAAAATGCAGGTTGCTTCACGCCTCCTATAGTCTACTGTCTCTGTCCTACCATCCCTCCCACTAAGCTGAGTTTGCTTTAGACCAGGCAGGTGCTCCAGAGCTCTTCCCCTTCCTGGTAGCTGAGGATGCCTGGAGAGCAAGGGCCTCACCTTGCATATCTTTGATAGCCCTGGGCCTGGCACACGCAAAGCCCCATAACTGCTTCTTGAATGCACTCACCACCAAACCTCTAGCCCACGAAGACATCCTCCTCTGCAACAGACTCCGTGGGCCCCCTACAGTTCCACAGGCTGGACACAGTCCCTGGGAAAATTAGTGACGGGAAACAGCCTGCAGAACTGCGATTATTTGGGATTTGTTCTTCATGTTAATGCGATGCTGGTTCCTTTCTGTTTCTTTAATGCCATTTTGTACTAAGGTAGTTCAAAGTTCTTTACAAACAGCTAGTAATTAATTCAACTTCATTAAGGCCAATTAATCCAGGATTAATTATAAATTTGCCCAGAGGAAGTTATTATACTTTGCTCTTTGATTTGAGTTTTGGCTTTAAAGAGTCTTTCAGGAGTGAAATGGAAATTTCCCTTTTCTCTGAGGGTATCTACCTCGCCAGTAATTGTGTTAACCATGTGCCTTCCTCAGTAGGTCCCATGCCAACCTCTAAGGAGGCTGCCACCCAGGTCAGCTGAGCTACATAACATTCAGCATTAATCAGATCTGCCAATGCCACATTTAGCCACGGGTCAAGGAAGCCTGATATAGTGGCAAGAACTCCTCCACGCGGGTTCAAATCATGGCTGTACCTCATGCTGGCAGTGTGACTTCACCATCTCTTCCACCTGCAAAATGGGCATCACAGTGTTTCACAAGATCATTGTGGTCGGTAGTGGTCAGCACCTACTCCCTCTTCTTTTGTAAGAGCTCCTCAATTATCCTTGGAAAGTTCTTCCCTCCTTTCTTCCAGGTCTCGAGGGGGCTGACCTCAGTCTCAGTTCCAGGGATGAGCCTGAGACTCAGTACTAACCAAGCAGCATGGTCCATCCTGCTGGCCGCAGTGACTGGATTGTTAGTGAACCTAACAACCCAAGTTGGCCTAGTCACAGCCAACCCTGGCATATTTCCCAGGGCAAGCAATACGAAAGTGTACTCTTTGCCACTGGACTGAAATCTGGGGCATGCAGGCCTGGGCTATGATGGGACCTCAGGAGAGGAGACCAGCCATGGCAGAATAGTGGCCCCCACAAAGATGTTCACATCCCGGAGCCAGTGAATATGTTACCTTCCATGGCCAAAGGGACTCCACAGATGTGATTAAGATGAGGGTCTTGGCGGGGCACTGTGGCTCACGCCTGTAATCCCAGCACTTTGGGAGGCTGAGAAGGGCGAATCACAAGGTCAGGAGTTTGAGACCAGCCTGACCAACATAATGAAACCTCGTCTCTACTAAAAATACAAAAATTAGCTGGGCATAGTGGCCCATGCCTGTAGTCCCAGCTACTCGAGAGGCTAAGGCAGGAGAATTGCTTGAACCCAGGAGGCGGAGGTTGTGGTGAGCCAAGATTGTGCCACTGAACTCCAGCCTGGGCAACAGAGCGAGACTCTGTCTCAAAAAAAAAAAAAAAAAATAGATAAGGGTCTTGAGATGAGGAGATTATCCTGGAGTATCAGGGTGGGCCTGGTGTAATCATGAAGGGACCTTATAAGAGAGTGGCAGGAGGGTCTGGGCACTGTGGCTCAGGCCTGTCACCCCAGAACTTTGGGAGGCTGAGGTGGGTGGATCATCTGAGGTCAGGAGTTCGAGACCAGCCTGGCCAACATGTTAAAACCCCGTCTCTAATAAAAATACAAAAATTAGCTGAGTGTGGTGGCGTGCGCCTGTAATGCCAGCTACTCTGGAGGCTGAGGTGACAGAATTGCTTAAACCTGGCAGGCAGAAGTTGCAGTGAACCAAGATCACCCCTCTACATTCCAGCCTGGGCGACAGAGTGAGACTCCATCTCAAAAACAAAAAAAGGAGAGAGGCAGGAGGGTCAGAAGCAGAAAGATGACATCATAAGAAAGACTCAACTGGCCATTTTTGGCTTTGAAGGTGGAAAGGGGACCTGAGTCCAGGCATGTGGGCAGCCTGGAGAAGGCGAGAAAATGGATTCTTCCCCAGAATCCCTGGAAAGGAACGTGGCCCTAACAACACGTTCATTTTAGCCCAGTGAGACCCATTTTGGACTTCTGGCCTCCAAAACTGTAAGATTATTGATTTGTGTTGTTTTAAGCCACTAAATATGTTATGGCAGCAATAGGAAACCAATATAAACACTTAACTGGAGTGTCAAATCTATGTTCGTATTTATTGATTAAATGGATGGCTCCTAATTCCACCCTACCTCATCAGAGCTCTGCAAGGTCTTTACCAGGCTTATTCCACATCCTAGACCCAGGACCACAATTTGACAGTTAAGATCTTCACCAGAAGAGACCTCAATGCCTGCCCTCTTGTCAGACCAGCTGCATTCATCCAACCTACCCTGATTGACCTCTGACCCCACTACCATGTGCTCCAGACAGGACCCATGGGAGCTCCAGGCTCGGCCACGTTCCCAGGCAGACTCTGGGAGTCAGCGGATGTGGCCAGGTTTACCCATTGCGTTGGGACGTGCCTGCTGAAACGGAAACACTGCTCCCAGCAGAGGACTTTATGGTGGGAGGCATGGGCTTTGCCCTTGCTAACCTGACCTCTGTCCCCAGCCCAATTTCCCGTCTCTAGGCTCCAAAGCAGTTCCTGTGAGTGCCTAGGGGTACTGTTTCCATTTAAAAAATATGGCAAGTGCTCTCTTCAGCAGCACATATACTAAAATTAGAATGAGACAGAGACAGCATGGCCCCTGGGCAAGGATGACACACAAAACAAAAATTAATTAAAAACATAATCATGAAGGGGGAAAAGCATGACAAAATCTACTGCTAAGGCCAGGACACACAGAGAGAAGGCAACTATTAAGAAAAGAAAGCTGAGCACGGTGGCTCGTGCCTATAATCCCAGCACTTTGGGAGGCCGAGGCGGGTGGATCACCTGAGGTCAGGAGTTCGAGACCAGCCTGACCAATATGGTGAAACCCCGTCTCTACTAAAAATGAAAAATTAGCTGGGTGTTGTAGTGGGCATCTGTAATCCCAGCTACTCAGGAGTCTGAGGCAGGAGAATCGCTTGATCTGGGGAGGCAGAGGTTGCCGTGAGCCGAGATTGTGCCACTTACACTCCGGCCTGGGTGACAGAGCGAGACTCTGTCTCAAAAGAAAAGAAAAGAAAAGAAAAGAAAAAAAGTCCATGTCTTCATACTCCAAGGTGTTGACACCATGTGTTATGCCCCTCCCAGTGCTAGAGTCCCTCATTAAGATCTCATTTAATTATCTTAATAATCCTGTGAGTGTTGTCATCACTGTTTTACAGCAGAGGGGAATGAGAGGTAACTTGCTCAGAAAAAGCAGGATTTGAACCTGGGACATTTTGTGAGGTAAGGCTTACCAGGCCACCTGGAGCATCAGGACAGACCCCTCTGTTCCCAGACGAACCTTGGTTTATGTCAGATTTCCCCAGCCTTGGTGATATGAAGAGCCATCTTCAGAATTTCTGTGCTATCTAGGGAACACCTATGACTTAATTACCATTTTTCTTTCAATTGACCTGCTTTTTTTACTTAATGAAGTATTTCTCCATACATAGAAAACCATTATAACTTACCAGAAATAGTCAGAAACCACAAAAATAAATACAATAAAAACAACAGTAGGCTTTCCAAAGAATCTTTAATAAAAAGGAAGTCTAGCAAGTACAGTCATGTGTCCCTTAATGCCAGGGATACTTTTTGAGAAATGTGTCTTTAAGTGATTTTGTCATTGCATGAACATCATAGAGTATACTTATACAAACCTAGATGGTATATATACTAGTAAATATACATTTTTTTAATCTGGAAAACTAAATGTCCCAACATCTTTACTGAATATTGAATATCAATTATTTCCCCTACTTGATCTGAAATGCCAATGTCAAGTTTCTAATCAGGTTTTTATATATGCTCCATGATAATCTTATGAGACCACTATCTTATATGTGGTCTGTCATTGACCAAAATGTTGCTATGGGACACATGACGGTATGAGGAAGGAATTAAAGGCACACTCCAGTACACTAAAACTTACTAAAAGAAAACTAAAAAGGCAATAGTGTTCTCACTATATAAATCAATGTTAGTTACTTTTATGACTTTGTACCACCTATAAGGTGTCAGCAAAATCATCTCTATCCCTTTTGGCCCCAGAAGTCAGCCCAGGTCTGAAATAATAAGCATGCCCATTAGCTTGCCAATAATTAGAAAGGTGGATAAGTCCAAATGCTGCTGAAAACGTGGGAGCAGGTGCAGGGAGTGTGCCTATAATCTAAAAGCCAGCAGCCCCACCCCTGAGTAAGCTTTGTTCTCAGGTCTATTAGCACACAAGGATGAGGATGTTAATTGCAACTCTGTTGTAATTGTTGGGAGTTAGAGGCAGTGGAAGGTCTAACACTGGGAGGAGAATAAGATGTGGTGGATGCTTAGGGTGGGACTTGGACAACAGCAGGGATTACCAATCTGGTGGGGAGCAATGAGAAATGGAGAGATTGTACACACACACACACACACACACACACACACAAAACATACACATACATCACACCCTCGGTGTTGGGTGGAAAAGGTAACAAACAGAATGAGATCTGTAGTACAAGGGCATGTATGTACTTGCTTATATAAATGAATGCCACATATTTGCCAGGGATAGAAAGCCAGCCAGGACCTGGACCAAATGCATTAGAGTGGGCACCTCCATGGGGAAATGAAATCAGAGTGGAGATTAGGGATGGAGAGGGGAAATATTTAAAATAAAATAAATCAAGAGAGCTTACTGGCTGGGCACAGTGGCTCAGGCCTGTAATCCCAACACTTTGGGAGGCCGAGGCGGGCAGATCTCTTGAGGTCAGGAGTTCGAGACCAGCCTGGCCAACATGGTAAAACCCCATCTCTACTAAAAATACAAAAACATTAGCCAGGTGTGGTGGTGCGTGCCCATAATCCCAGCTACTCGGGAGGTTGAGGCAGGAGAATTGCTTGAACCCAGGAGGCAGAGGTTGTGGTGAGCTGAGATCACGCCACTGCACTACAGCCTGGGTGACAGAGCGAGACTCCTTCTCAAAAAAAAAAAAAAAAAAAATGGGGGCTTACCACTGACCTCCCACTTACCCGAAATGATAGTGACTCATGAAACCGAAGGGAAGATGAACTCAACTCTCTGCACCTGAGATCCGGAAGAAAGAGAAAAATAAAATAGACATAGGCAAGGACCTATGAATGGGGTGATGAGGCTACAGTGCAGGGTGTCAAAGGAGTGGGAGATGAGGCTGGAGTGACAGAGAGCCAGGCCATCCCCAGTGCTGGGTTGAGAATTTGCACTCTCTTCTGAAAGCACAGGGTGTTGTTGAAAGTTGCTAAGCAGGGGAATGATCTAGTGGACTGGTCTCTCTGGTAGCCAGGAAGGAGGAGGGTGAGAGATAGGGTGGAGCCTCCAAGCGAGCAGACCATTTACTCATTGAACAAATATTTTCTGAGCGTCTTATATGTGCCCGACACAGGCCTGGAGCCTGGGGGTTCCACGGTGAAAAGAACAAACAAGAATCCCTACCTTGGTACACACCCAGTTATGGTAGGGAAGGCAGGCAATAAACAAATAAGCAATAGATGTATAGTGTATGCTATGTGGTGATGAATGCTGTGGGGACAACTGTGGGGAAGGGGAAGAGCTGGTTAGGGTAAGGGAGAAGTTTCAATTGCAAATGTGGCCCGGGCAAGTCTCCCCTAGAGAGAATCCTGAAGAAAGTGAGGAGTGATTATATAATAATTATCGGGTGAAAAATGCTGAGGCCTGATCAAGGGATGGGGGCCAAGCCATTGACTGGGGCACTGGGCCCTGTAGGTTTCAAAATGTTCTAGAATCACATGGGAAGGTGGTGCCACTTAGGTTTCCACACATGACTCCATATCGAATCTGCAAAATGTCAGTTGCTCTTGTTACAGTATCTAGCCCCCTCAGGTGGAAATTTTAAAATCACTCCTTGCTAGCACCAACTATTTTGTTTTGTTTTGTTTTGTTTTGTTTTGCGTTTTGAGACAGGGTCTTGCTCTGTCACCCAGGCTGGAGTGCAGTGGCACGATCATGGCTTGCTGTAGCCTCCACCTCCTGTGCTCAAGCCAGTCTCCCACCTCAGCTTCCTGAACAGCTGAGACCACAGATGCATACCACCACACCTGCCTAATTAAGAAAAAAAAAAAACTGTAGAGACGGGTATCACCCTATTTCCCAGGCTGGAAACCAACTATTCTTGTTACCTCTTTGGAGAGCTCTTCGAGGTTATCCTATTGGAAGTAGCCTTCCATCCCCGCTCTCCTCTGTCACAGCATCCTGCTGTGGAGTCTTCTGGTGCCACCAGTTGGAACAACCTACTTAGTTGCTTACATGTTAATAAACCCTCTCCCTCACTTGAAGGTAAACTCTGTGAGGGCTGTTGCTTCCTGCTGTATCCTCAAGGCCTAGAGGAGTGTCCAGCTCATAGAAAGCACTTCATAAACATTTTTGAATGAATGGACGAATGTGTCTATAGCTCAGGCGTTGGGTCAGGTAGAAGTTATGTGTGTGTTTGGGATTCCCTGATGAGGGGTGATAGCTGAAAGCAGGGGCTGGGAGGTGCATGGGCTCAGGGAAAGAACCTGGAATGAAAAAGGAAGTGAGCCGAAGTCAGAATGTGGGGAAATGCTGAATGGTCAAGGGTGAGCCAGAGGAAACAGTAGTGAGAGAGCTGGAGAAGCCAGAATCAGGGGCCAGGGGCACCCCTGAAGCCAGGGGGCAGGTTTTGCCAGTGGCCTCCTCATTCTCCACTCTTCTTTCTTCCTTTCTGACAGAGCTCTATTTAGATTTTGGGAAGAGGTATGCTCAGGTAAAAGCCTTTTCACACTCCCATCCTGCTTTGCCATTAGAGAGGAGTATGTGACCCGGTTCTGGACAGTGAGATGTAAGTGGGCATCACTGATTGGGTTTCCTAGAAAGCCCCTTAGAGAGGACAGTCTTTGCTGGCCAGGATCTTCAGCATTTAGCCAATGGCTCTTTCTCTGTCCTTATTTTTCCTGCCTGGGATGTGGAAGTGAAGCCTGGAGGTGCAGCAGCCATCCTTGAATCATGAGAACCAAAGCTGTATGCTAAGGGCGAAGGAGCATCAGACACAATCCCCTAATTGCTGAAGCTACTGTGTGTCTTGTTTTTTGTTGCTTGAAGTCAAAAGCATTCCTAACTGACACCCTAGGTGAGTTGAGAGTTTCCAGATAGGGTTGGTGGTCAGTGGTGTTAAATGTTGCAGAGAAATCCTATAAGCTTGGAAGATGTCTGGAGGATTTGGCTCTTGAGAAGTCAATTTTACCTTTTTTTCTTTTTTAAAATTTTTTGGTAAAATATACATAACATAAAATCTTTTAAGCTGTGGTTAAATGTACAATTCAATGGTATTAAGTACATCCAAGATGTTGTGAAACCATCATCACTATTTTCATAACTTTTTTTATCTCAAAAACAAAATACTCATTGATAATAACTTATCACTGCTCCCATCTCCTGTTAACCTCTATTCTACTTTCTGTCTCTATGAATATGCCTATTATAGATATTTCATATAAGTAGAATCATACATATTTGTTCATACATATATGTCCTTTTGTGTCTGGCTTATTTCACTTATCATAATGTTTTCAATGTTCATCTGTATTGTAACATGTGCCAAAAGAACCTCATCTTTTTTTTTTTTTTTTTTTTTTTTGAGACAGAGTCTTGCTTTGTCGGCCAGGCTGGAGTGCAGTGACGCGATCTCAGCTCACTGCAACCTCTGCCCCCCAGGTTCAAGCAATTCTCCTGCCTCAGCCTCCCGAGTAGCTGACATATTGTTGTTCACAGTATTTTTAGTAGAGACGGGGTTTCACCATGCTGGCAAGGCTGGTCTCGAACTCCTGACTTCGTGATCCACTCGCTTGGCCTCCCAAAGTGCTGGGATTACAGGCGTGAGCCACCGCGCCAGGCCTAAGAATGTCATCCTTTTTATGGATGAATAATATTCCACTGCATGTGTAGGCCACATTTTGTTTGTCATTCACCCATTGATGAACATGTGGGTTGTTTCCACCCTTTGGCAATTGTGAATATTGCTGATATGAACATGGGTACAGAAGAATCTGTTTGAGTCCCTGTTTTCAATTCTTTTAAATATTGAAATAGGAGAGGAATTGTTGGGTCATATGGTAAGTCTATGATTAACTTTTTGAGGAATCAATAAATTTTCCACAGCAGCTGCACCATTTTACATTCCCACCAGCACTGCACAAGGGTTCCAATTTCCCCATATTCTTACCAACACTTGTTATTTTCCATTTTTAAATTATAGCCATCTTGGGGGGTATGAAATAGTATCTGACCGTGGTTAGTATTTCCATTTCCCTGATAACTAATGATGTTAAACATCGTTACATATGTTTACTAGCCATTTGTGTGTCTTCTCTGGGAAATTGTCTATCACATCCTTTATCCATTTTTTAATTGGATTGTTTGTTTGTTTTTGTTTTGAATTGTGGGAGTTCTTTATATATTCTAAATATTAAACCCTCATGGGATATATGATTTGCAAATATTTTCTCCCATTCTGTGAGTTGTCTTTTTACTCTTTTGACGGTGTCCTTTGATACACAAAATTTTACATTTGATGAAGTCCAACATATTTAGTTTTTCTTTCGTTATATGTGCCTTTGGTGCCATAGTTAAGAAACCATTGCCATGACACAAGTTCACGAAGATTTGCTCCTTTGTTGTCATCTAAGAGTTTTGTATTTTAAGCTCTTAAATTTAGGGCTTTAAAAAATCCATTCTCAGTTAACTTTTATACATTGTGTAACATAAGGCTCCAACTTCATTCCTTTGCATCCAGATATCCAATTTTTCTGCCAGCATTTGTTGAAGAGACTCTGCTTTCCTCATTGAATGGTCCTGACACCCTTGTCAGAAATCTGTTGGTCATATATGTGAGGGTTTGTTTCTGGACTCTCAATTCTATTCACTGGTCTACATGTCCATCTTTATGCCAGTTCCACACTGTTTTGATTAATATTGCTTATATTAAGTTTTGAAATCACAAATTATGAATACCCCACCTTTGTTCTTTTTCAGGATTATTTTGGCTATTTGGGGTTCCTTGAAATTTCATATGAATTTTAGGATGAGTTTTTCTGTTTTTGCAAAAGCATACCGTTTGGATTCTGATAGGAATGTGTTGATTCTGCAGACTACTTTGGATAGTATTGTCATCTTAACAATATTAAGTCTTCTAATCCGTGAATCCAGAATGTCTATTTATTTAAGCTTTCTGTAAATTCCTTCAACAGTTATTTGCTTCCACCTCCTTTGATGTACAAGTCTTGCACCTCCTTAGTTAAATTTACTAAGTATTTTTTTCTTTTTGATACTGTTGTAAATGGAATTTTTTAAATTTCTTTTTTTAGTGTTTTTTGCTAGTGCATAGAAATACGATTGATTTGTCAATTTTTCATCCTGCAACTTTGCTCAGTTTGTTTATTAGTTCTAAAAGGGTTTTTTTTGTTGTTATTGTTTGTTTGTTTGTTTGTTTGTTTTAGAGACAGAGTATCACCCTCTTGCCTAGGCTGGAGTGCAGTGGCAAAATCATAGCTCACTTCAGCCTTGAACTCCTGGGCTCAGGTGATTCTCCTGCCTTGGCCTCCTAAAGCTCTGAGATTGCAGATGTGAATCACTGCTCTTGGCCTCTAACAGTGTTTTTTGGATGGATTCTTCAGGGTTTTCTACATACAGGATTGTCATTTAAGACAGAAGTAGTTTTACCTCTTCCTTTCCAATTTGGATGCCCTTTAATTCATTTTGCCTAATTGCTCTGTGTAGAACTTCCAGTAGTATATTGAGTAGAAGTGGTAAAAGTGGACATCCTTGCTTGTTCTCGATAGGGGGAAATTTTAGTTTTTTTGTTTGTTTGTTTTGAGCAGAGGTTTACTAGGCAGAAGAGAAGAAAAAGAGAAACAGGCCGGGCACGGTGGCTCACGCCTGTAATCCCAGCACTTTGGGAGGCCGAGGAGGGCAGATCACAAGGTCAGAAGATCGAGACCATCCTGGCTAACACGGTGAAACCCCGTCTCTACTAAAAATACAAAAAATTAGCCAGGTGTGGTGGCGGGCGCCTGTAGTCCTAGCTACTTGGGAGGCTGAGGCAGGAGAATGGCGTGAACCCGGGAGGCGGAGCTTGCAGTGAGCCGAGATGGCGCCACTGCACTCCAGCCTGGGCAACAGAGTGAGGCTCATGTCTCAAAAAAAAAAAATAAATAAATAAGAAACAACTCTCTTTGCAGAGAGGGGTCTCCAAGTGGAAAGAACCAGTGGGTGGTGGATGCACAGGATTTTATAGTCAGGTTTGAGGAGGTGTGTCTGATTTATACGGGGCACTGTCATACCCAAAGAGGATAAGAGATATGGCGGTCGCGGACAGGAAAGGGGAAATTACCATAGGAAAGTTGGAGATCCTGTTGCCGACACTCCATGGTGGTCAGAGGCTGGGGTCAGTCCAAAAGCCTTTGGATAACACTGTGGAGTAGCCCAGCCAGAAATCCTCAGTTGCTCCAAAACCTCCTCCAGCCCCATGCCACGGCTAAGTCCTCCATGAAATGAAGCTGATTCAAACATAGCCAATATGCCCAGCAACCCATGGGTACTGGGGGATTCTCCATGTTCTCCCCAGCAAGCCTGTCCCCCAAGTCTTGTAACGCTGGCAGCCATGCTAATCGTTTTTAAATGGCTGAAGGGGGCCCAGTATTTGGTTTGATTTAGTTCTAAAATGGAGGCTGAGAGCCTTGAAATGAAAGGACAGAGTTGGAGTCTGCTCCTCTACTCACTGTTTCGATGAATGTTGTACCTTGGTATCCCAGACAAGGTCCCCAATATGAAGCGGCTACATTGTCTAGGGTATGTACCCTGGGATTCGTTATCTCATGCCAGGAAAATTTAGGACATGGACACACACAAGGAATTTAGGAGCAGAGATTTAATAGGCAGAAGAGAAAAGAAAGAGAAATAGCACTCTCTGTATAGAGAGAAGGGTCTCAGTGTGGAAAGGACCCGGTCTCTTACCATTATGATGTTAGCTGTGGGTTTTTCATAAAGAAGTTTGTATCGTTTGAAACTGGGCACGGTGGCTCACGCCTGTAATCCCAGCACTTTGGGAAGCCTAGGTGGCAGATCACCTGATGTCAGGAGTTTGAGACCAGCCTGGCAAACATGGTGAAACCCCGTCCCTACTAAAAATAAAAAAATTAGCCAGGCATGGTGGTGGGTGCCTGTAATCCCACCTACTTGGGAGGCTGAGGCAGGAAAATCGCTTGAACCCGGGAGGCGGAGGTTGCAGTGAGCCCAGATCACGCCACTGCCCTCTAGCCTGGGTAACAGAGGGAGACTCCGTCTCAAAAAAAAAAAAAAAAACAAACAAAAAAACTTGTATCATATCATATTGAGGAAGTTTTTAAAAATTTTTTAATTATATGGGTACATAGTAGGTACATACATTTAAGGAGTACATGAGATATTTTGACACAGGCATACAATGTATAATCACATCAGGGTAAATAAGGTATTCACCATTTCAAGCGTACATAATTTATTTGTGTTACAAACAACCCAATTATACTCTTTTAGTTATTTTTAAATGTACAATAAGTTATTGTTGACTATAGTCACGCTGCTGTGCTATCAAACACTAGATTTTATTCATTCTAACTATAGTTTTGTACCCATTAAGCATTCCCACTCCGCATCCCCACTACCCTTCCCAGCCTCTTGTAACCATTATTGTACTCCCTATCTCATGGGAGTACAATTAAAAATTCTTTTAATTTTTAGTGTCGACAAATGAGTGAGAACATACAAAATTTGTCTTTCTGTGCCTGGCTTATTACACTTAACATCATCACCTCCAGTTACATCCATGTTGTTGCAAGTGACAGGATCTCATTCTTTTTTATTTTCTTTATCCATTCACCTGTTAATGGACACTTAGGATGCTTCTAAATTGTGGCTATTGTGAATAGTGCTGCAGTAAACACGGGAGTACAGATGTCTCTTAGACATACTGATTACTTTTTCTCCAGATTGTCACCAGCATTTTTTATTGCCTGTCTTTTGGATAAAAGCCATTTTAACTGGAGTGAGATGATACCCATTGTACTTTTGATTTGCATCTCTCTGATGATCAGTGATGGTGAGCACCTTTTCATATGCCTACTTGCCATTTGTATGTCTTCTTTTGAGAAACACCTATTCAGATCTTCTGCCTGTTTTTTCTAAATTGGATTATTAGATTTTTTCCTATTGAGTTGTTTGAGCTCCTTATATATTCTGGTTATTAATCCCTTGTCAGGTAAATAGTTTGCAAATATTTTCCCCCATTCTGTGGGTTGTCTCTTCACTTTGTTGATTGTTTCTTTGTTGTGCAGAGACTTTTTAACTTTATATAATCTCATTTGCCCATTTGTGTTTTGGTTGTCTGTGTTTATGGGGTATTACTCAAGAAATCTTTGCCCAGAAGGATGTCCTGGAGAGTTTCTCCAATGTTTTATTTTAGTGGTTTCATAGTTTGAGGTCATAGATTTAAGTCTTTAATCCATTTTGATTTGATTTTTGTATATGGAGAGAGATAGGGGTCTAGTTTCATTTTCTCTCGTATGGCTATCCACCATTTATTGAAGAGGCTATCCTTTCACCAGTGTATGTTCTTGGCACCTTTGTCTAATGAGTTCATTGTAAATGTATGGATTTGTTTCTGGGTTCTCTATTCTATTCCATTAGACTATGTTTTTGTTTTTGTTTTTAATGCCAGAACCATGCTGTTTTGGTTACTATAGCTCTGTAGCATAATTTGAAGTCAGGTTATGTGATTGCTACAGTTTTGTTCTTTTTGCTCAGGATGGCTTTGGTTATCCTGAGTCTTTCATGGTTGCATATAGATTTTAGGATTTTTTTTTCTATTTCTGTGAAAAATGTGATTGGTATTTTTATAGGGATTGCACTGAATCTGTAGATTGCTTTGGGTAGTATGAACATTTTAACAATATTGATTTTTTCAATTCATAAACATGGACTATCTTTCATTTTTTGTGGCCTCTTCAATTTCCTGCATGTTTTATAGTTTTCACTGTAGAGATCTCTGACTTCTTTGGTTGTTTATTCTTAGTATTTTATTGTATTTGTAGATATTGCAAATGGGATTTTCTTGATTTCTTTTTCAGACTGTTCACAGTTGGCATATAGAAATGCTACTGATTTTTGCATGTTGACTTTATATCCTACAACTTTATTGAATTTGTTTATCACTTTTAACAGTTTGTGTGTCGGTGTGTTTGTGTGTGTGTGCATGTAATCTTTAGTTTTTTGTAAATATAAGATCATATCTGCAAGGAAGAATAATTTGACCTCTTTCTTTCCGATTTGAATGCCTTTTATTTCTTTGTGTTGTCTGATTGCTCTAGCTAGGACTTCCAGTACTATGTTGAATAATAGTAGCAAAGGGGCATCCTTGTCTTGTTCTGGATTATAGGGGAAAGGCTTTCAGTTTTCCCCCATTCAGTATGACACTAGCTGTGGGTCTGTTGTATATGGCTTGTATTGTGTTGAGGTAGGTTCCTTCTATGCCAAGTTTTTTGAGGGCTTTTACTATAGTAGGATATTGAATTTTATCAAATGCTTTTTCAGCACCACTTGAAATGACCATATGGCTTTTGTCCTTCATTTTATTGATATGATGTACCACACTGGTTGATTTGCATATGTTGAAACATCCTTGCATCCCTATGGTAAATCCCACTTGGTTATGATGAATGATCTTTTTAATGTGTTGTTGAATT